>NC_000001.11:112584138-112887168 GCF_000001405.40 Homo sapiens | reverse complement strand
TGCTTGAAGGACAAATAGAAATTGACCAAATTAAGCAGAGGGAAACAAGGGGTATGTGTACCAATGCTCATTCCACCTTGAGGGGGCATACACATACACAAAGCCCTGAATGATGGAGGGAGCATGGCATTTGCCAGGCCAGGAGTAGACAGTTTGGTCTGACCAGTGCATAGAGAGATGGTGAGGGTGGTGGGTAAGAGATGCAGCTGGAGAGGAAAGCAGGGACAGGGGTCAGAGGTCTCAGGGGGCATTGTGTGTCATTTTAAAGAATTTGATTTAGGCCAAGCTCGGTGGCTCATGCTTGTAATCCCAGCACTTTGGGAGGCCGAGGCGGGTGGATCACAAGGTCAGGATTTCGAGACCAGCCTGGCCAACATGGTGAAACCTCGTCTCTACTGAAAATACAAAAATTGGCTGAGCATGGTGGCGGGTGCCCGTAGTGCCATCTACTCGGGAGGCTGAGGCAGGAGAATCGCTTGAACCCAGGAGGTGGAGGTTGCAATGAGCCAAGATCATGCCACTGCATTCCAGCCTGGGTGACAGAGTGAGACTCCTTCTTAAAAAAAAAAAAAAGGGCTCTTGGCTCACTGCAACCTACCAAAGTGCTGGGATTACAGGTGTGAGCCACCACGCCCAGCCCATAGTGGTCTTTTTTAACAAAAGAAAAAATTTGAGCTTTAGTGTGTAGGCAATAGGGAGCCATAGAAGGTTTTTTTGTTTGTTTGTTTGTTGAGACACAGTCTCTCTCTGTCACCCAGGCTGGCGTGCAATGGTGCCATCTCGGCTCACTGCAACCTCTGCCTCCCGGGTTCAAGCTATTCTCCTGCCTCAGCCTCCCACGTAGCTGGGACTACAGGCATGTGCCACCACACCTAAAAATACTAAACATTTTTGTATTTTTAGTAGAGATGGAGTTTCACAATGTTGGCCAGGCTGGTCTGGAACTCCTGACATTAAGTGATCTGCCCACCTTGGCCTCCCAAAGTGCTGGCATTATAGGCGTGAGCCACCATGCCTGGCCCATAGAAGGTATTTAAGCAGGGAGAAGGATCATCATTTTGGTTTCAGAAATATCACTTTGATGGGGTTTGTGCAACAGTTTGTAAGAGGGCAGGACTGCAGACAAGAATTTCATTTATAATTCAGCCTTCTGGGCTGGAAATAATAATGCCCTAGAGAAGGACTGGAAATAGGCAGAGCCAATTCCAGGTAGTTTAGGAGGAGGCTGAGCAGGTCGGGTGTGGGGGTGGGGGCAGGGAGGAACCTGAGTGGCTGCCAGGTTTCGGCAGTGGGCTCACCCAATAGGGCAGGGCCTTCATCGGCTCCTGGCACTTGATACTGGGGCGCTGCCCACCCACAGTCTCCCTGTTCCTGGACTAAGTTCACTGAAAGCCTCTTCCCTCCCAACACCTTTATGGCCTGCATTCAACTCAATCCACCTGTTATGTGGAATAGTAAGCACCTATTGTGTGCCATGAATGAGGCTTCTCCCAGCCTCACCTAAGGGAGTTACCTGGTTGATTGAGAGGTTCTGAAGCAGAGATGGGAGGCTGAGGGTGAGCTGGGAAGAAGGGAAAATCTTACAGACCCTAAGCCCGTGTTCATGCCTTCTCCCCTCTGCCAGTGCTGGAGGAACTTGACTCCTGACTTCTTTTTTTTTGAGATGGAGTCTTGCTCTGTCACCCAGGCTGGAGTGCAGTGGTGCGATTTCGGCTCACTGCAACCTCCACCTCCAGGTTCAAGCAATTCTCCTGCCTTAGTCTCCTGAGTAGCTGGGATTAAAAGCACACGCCACCACGCCCAGCTAATTTTTGTATTTTTAGTAGAGACAAGGTTTCACCATATTGGCCAGGCTGGTCTCAAACTCCTGACCTCAGGTGATCCACCCACCCACCTCAGCCTCCCAAAGTGCTGGGATTGCAGGCGTGAGCCACCATGCCCGGCCAGCTCCTGACTTCTTAAACCCATGATAGGAAAGGGACATCACCAGGGCCTTAGACAAAGCCTCTGGGCTCCTACTGAAACAGGCAGCCAACTCAGCCTCTTTCTGCTCAGAAAGTCGAAAAGTTCTGTGTTTCTACTGCTGTAAGATCCAGGAGTAAAGGAGAGACCCACCTGGCTCATCACCCACAGGACTCACTGCCTGCCATCCAATAAATTCACTCTTTGGAATCAAGGTATCTTCCCAGAGGTCTCCTGTTAACAGGGAGAAATTGATCCATTACTGCCTGGGTGACATTAACTTTTTACCATTTCATTATCACGCTAGTGCAGGCAAATTATAGGACTGCTTTTCTTTTCCTTTTTTTTTTTTTTTTGAGACAGAGTCTTGCTCTGTCACCAGGCTGGAGTACAGTGGCGTGATCTCGGCTCACTGCAACGTCCGCCTCCTGGGTTCAAATGATTCTACTGCCTCAGCCTCCCAAGTAGCTGGGACTACAGGCGTGCACCACCACGCCTGGCTAATTTTTTGTATTTTAGTAGAGACGGGGTTTCACCATGTTGGCCAGGATGGTCTCGATCTCCTGACCTCATGATCCGCCTGCTTCGGCCTCCTAAAGTGCTGGGATTACAGGTGTGAGCCACCACGCCCGGCCAGGACTGCTTTTCTTTCTTTCTTTTTCTTTTTTTTTTTTTGATATGGAGTCTTGCTCTGTTGCTCAGGCTGGAGTGCAGTGGCACAATCTCGGCTTACTGCAACCTCTGCCTCCCGGATTCAAGCGATTCTCCTGCCTCAGCCTCCTGAGTAGCTGGGAGTACAGACGTGTGCCACCACGCCCTGCAATTTTTTTTTTTTTTTTGTATTTTTAGTAGAGATGGGGTTTCACCATGTTGGTCAGGCTGGTCTTGAACTCCTGACCTCATGATCCGCCCGCCTTGGCCTCCCAAAGTGCTGGGATTACAGGCATGAGCGACGACGCCTGGCCCGCTTTTCTTTTTCTTTTCTTTTTTTTTTTTTTTTTGAGACAGAGTCTCGCTCTGTCGCTCAGGCTGGAGTACAGTGTCATGATCTCGGCTCACTGCAAGCTCTGCCTCCCGGGTTCACGCCATTCTCCTGCCTCAGCCTCCCGAGTAGCTGGGACTACAGGCGCCCGCCACCACGCCTGGCTAATTTTTTGTATTTTTTAGTAGACAGGGTTTCACCGTGTTAGCCAGGATGCTCTCGATCTCCTCACCTCGCAATCCGCCCGCCTCGGCCTGCCAGAGTGCTGGAATTACAGGCTTGAGCCACGGCGCCCAGCCTCTTTCTTGACAGAGTCTCACTCTGTCGCTCAGGCTGGAGTACAGTGTCACGATCTCGGCTCACTGCAACCTCCACCTCCCGGGTTCAAGCGATTCTCCTGCCTCAGCCTCTTGAGTGGCTGGGACTACATGTGCGTGCCACCATGCCCGGGTAATTTTTGTATTTTTAGTAGAGACAGGGTTTCACTGTTTTGGCCAGGCTGGAGGACTACTTTTCTTGGAGCCCAGAAAAGATGCCTGCTTTTTAGAAAGGTGAGAGGCCCGGAGCCATCCTGGGTGGGGAGGGGTCTGTGTATTAATAAAGAATATAATAACAGTGTTTACTGTTGATCAGGTGCTTTACCTTCCTAATTTCTAAATCTTCATACTTCTGCTAGGTAATTATTGTCCCCATTTTGTGGATGATGAAACTGAAGTTAAGTAATTTTTGCTCATTAAGGTCACATGGCTACTAGGCAGCTGTACCAAAATTTTGACCAACCCAGGCCTGATAGCAATGCTTTCTTCTTCCTTTTTTTTTTTTTTGAGACAGAGTCTCGCTGTGTCACCCAGGCTGAAGTGCAGTGGCGAGATCTTGGCTCACTGCAAGCTCCGCCTCCTGGGTTCACGCCGTTCTCCTGCCTCAGCTCCCACCTAGCTGGGACTACAGGCGCCTGCCACCACGCCTGGCTAATTTTTTGTATTTTTTTAGTAGAGGCAGGGTTTCACCGTGTTAGCAAGGATGGTCTTCATGGTTCTGGTCTAATCAATCTCCTGACCTCATGATCCGCCTGCCTCAGCCTCCCAAAGTGCTGGGATTACAGGCGTGAGCCACGGTGCCCGGCCAATGCTTTCTTCTTAATGGTTACATGGTCATTAAGCCTTGTTCCCCGAATCTCCGGCTCCCTGCAGGCCCCACTACTCCCTGAAACAATCAGGTCCCAGAAGGATGTTTTTCTCTCATGTTTATCTCATGGTTGTTTGGCTGGGCCCAGGAATGGAAGCTCCTGGGAAGGACAGCGAGTTCAGAGCTAAGGCCAGGCTGCTGGGGGGAAGGTCCTGCAGGGGAAGTCTGGACAGGGACAGAGAAACCAACCAAGACCTTGTGAGAGACCGTGGCTCCAGTGGATCTTTTTTTGTCTTCCCCGTCCCCAGCTAGGGGTCTCCTGCACACTGCAGAGTCCTGCTCTTGTCCCCCGCATGTTTCATAATCTGGAGACTCCTGGGGCTTGCTATTCCCCCTCCCAATTTGGCTCTGAGAAGCCTCAGGACTTCCTCTTCCTGCTCTGGGACACTGTTCAGGGCGTCAGCCTACTGGCCTGAGGCTCCCACTCTAGATTTAATTTCCACCAACCCTAATGCCTCCAAATCCCCGGCTGAGACACCAGGCCAGGGTACAGCCTGCAGAGCTTATTCATGTGAAGCAGCTGTCTGATGACCGTGGTGAGAGTGGGGAGAAGCCTCTAGGCTCATGGCAACTGCCCCTCCCACCCCTAAGCCTGGGCTCCCTGCCACTGCCCCCACAAAGCTTTCAGGGGAAAAAAAGTTCTGGTCTAAACTGAGACCAGTGGTATTTCTTGGGTCACAAGACTGCGGCTGTGCCCCCAGGCAAATCTTGGTGACACCAGGTCCTCCTGGCAAGACTGAACAGGCTCCAGGGCTTGGCCACTGCTGTGGGTCCTAACCTTTGCTAGGCAAAGAGGCATCACTGGAAGCCTTGGAGCTTGGCAGGCCCTTTGAGAAGCCCCCAATGTGCAGTCCTGCTGGACCAGGGTAGGAGGAGTTGCCCACCACCACCAGCAGCAAGGCAAAGGTCCATCTCTCCTCTTTCGGGCCTGGGACTGCCTCTGATGGGGAAACAAGACAGGTTTCAGCCCCAGACCTGAAAGAGCACTGAGCTGGATCTTGCTTCAGGTTCCCTCCTTTTAGCAGCAGCTCCAGCTCTCTGGAACCAGGAACAGGCCCTTCCCCGCCACCCCCTCCCACACTCCACTAGAATCCTGGAGAAACTCACACACTTACACCCACACGCTTATATACAGTCACTCCCAACACAGCACGCACAGACTGCACACGCCCTAATCGACAACAAATATCCTTCCTCCTCTGACACAGACAGCCCTGAGTTACAGAGACATGCGTTCTGCAGGGCCTGAAAGCCAGCTGTGTTTCTAGTTGCCAGAGGAATCTCATGCCGACCTTCTTCAAGAAACCTGGAGAGGCTGGGGTGCAGTGGCTTACGTCTGTAATCCCAGCACTTTGGGAGGCCGAGGCCGGTGGATCATCTGAGGTCAGGAGTTTGAGACCAGCCTGACCAACATGGAGAAACCCCGTCTCTACTAAAAGCAGAAAATTAACCAGGCGTGGTGGCGCATGCCTGTAATCCCAGCTACTCGAGAGGCTAAGGCAGGAGAATCACTTGAACCCGGGAGGTGGAGGTTTCAGTGAGCCGAGATCGCGCCATTGCCCTCCAGCCTGGGCAACAAGAGCGAAATACTGTCTCAAAGAAAGAGAGAGAGAGAGAGAGAGGAGAGGAGAGAGGAGAGAGAGAGAGAGAGAGAGAGGAGAGAAGACAGAAGAGAGGACAGAGAGAGGAGAGAAGAGAGAAGAGAGAGAGAAAGAAAGAGAAAGAAAAAGAAAGAAAGAAAGAAAGAAAGAAAGAAAGAAAGAAAGAAAGAAAGAAAGAAAGAAAGAAAGAAAGAAACCTGGAGAGAGGGACCAGTGTATGGGTACACAGGACGGTCACTCCCTAGAAGGCCTCTTTGTGGTCTTCATTCCACCACCCTCAGCCCAGATATGGCAATGTGGGGTGCCCTCTTGTGGCCAGAGCGGCCCTGCAGCCTCTTGGCAGGATCCCGGCTCCCCTTGGGCATCCAGACATCCCTCCTCCAGGCTGCCCACCCCCTGCATGTCAGGGCTCCACTCTCATTACTTCCAACTGGCCTCCCTCAGTAAAGATGAGAGTAACAAGACTTGTTCACATTGTTGTAAGGATTTCCCCAGAGCCCTGACAAAGAAGCCTGCTGCACTTAGCAGATGTTCACTAAACATGGGCTTCCTTTCTTCTTGTCTCCCTCCCCACTCTGAAGCTGCTTCTTTTAGAAAGTGGAAGAAAACAGAAAAAAAGAAAACCCAAGCTCCCAAGCAAATTACAGTTCTGATCTCCATCAGATCCAATAATCAACAGAGCATTAATTCATTGTTTGCCCACAGGTAAACAATGTGGGTAGGGAATGTGAACTACCTTCACGTGTTAAATAAAATTTATAGGAGGCCATTGGTTTGGCCTGAGCTCCTGCAGTAGGCCCAACAGACCAAACCAAAATGGAATTACTCATGTTGAAGTTCCACACCACCAAGTCAACACTAAATTACCTATCTGTCCTTGCAAGAAATCGGGAGAGGTAATAGCCAGATCCCCAAACAGGTCAGTTTCAGCTGGCATCATGAAGAAGTTCCCTTTGCTTTAACCTTCATAAGGAAAGTAAGTCAGGAACAACCAATCTGCTTTTTGTTCTTTGTTTCTACTTTCCTCAGCCCTTTTCATACTATGAAGCCAATCTCCTCTGCTCAGCTCATCAGAACATTCATTCTATTTTGTAGAATGAGGTGTTCCCTGATTCATGAATTGCTAATAAAAGCCAATTCAATCTGTAACTAAATTTGTTGTAATTTTGTCTGACACATGGAAATTAGAAAAAAGAAAAATTTAATTAGAGCCCCTGCATGGTGCGAATGGGAATGAGTTGGTATCTCTTGGAACTTCTTGTTATAATAAAAGTGAGAGCCTCTGACCCAGGATTCCACTCCCCTACTCACCCCCACTGTGTGCCACCCCCAGCCTATGCTCTTGATCAGAAGAGGGCAGAGAAGAAGGGGTGGAGGAGCAGACAACTTTCACCAGGACTCTGGCTACGACCCCTCAGGGCATGGTCAGCTGAGATGACCTCAGCTAGAAGAATAGGGAGCTGCTCATGAGCAGTGATTTCAGAAACAGTAGCCTGGATCCGCTGCCCCAAAACCACCCTCCTCACCTATCATCTAAGATTCCACTAGGGAGACTTGATTTACCTAGCTATTGAAATGCTGTGGGAAATGATTCAAGCTAAGAAATGAACAACTAACAGAAGGCAATTCCCTCCCAGCACAGCACTCCCAGCTTAGCACCTGACCCAGCTAATGTGGTCTCAGCCTGAGCACTGACAGTGACAGGGACTCATCCTCTCAAGCAGCCCTTTTGGTGCCCAGGCAGCTCCAACTGCTAGAAGGCTCTTCTGACACTGGGTCAGCTTCTGCCAGGCAGAGCCACAGAGCAAGGGCTTATGGGTGCCAGGCCTGTGCCAGGCTGTGAGGAAGACAGGGTAGTGCAGACCCTGTCCCTGCCTTCTGAACAGATCAGGTCTAGATTGAGGAGGTGAGCAACCTCAACAGTCCTAGGGGCATGTGTTTGTCCCACATTCGAAGTTCTGCAGCGCTCCGTGAATGATGGAGCCATTGGGACATAGTAGGACAGTCACCCAGTGGCCTGGACACTCCTCTTCTGATTGCAGCCTGGTCATACCAGACATTTCTAGATACTTTCTGAGGCATCTCCAGCCTAATCTTGACCCTGTGGCCTCCCTTCCAGTAGCCCAAGCCCCCAAGCTGGGTTGTGCTACGTTGGAGCTGTGATGCCTCCTGGCTGGAAGGAGAGGCTGCTGATTTGCTTGGGAATTATTCCAGGGGTTCTGAAGCTTCAGGATATGAAAATCAGGAATTGTTGAAACACAGATACAGCCCTTCCTAGAGGTTATAGTTTCCTGCCCTGTCTGGAACTAACAGACTAACAGGGGAGACAGAATTAATAGTAAATTCACACATCTGGGGAATGCCCCAAAGGACCAGGAGAGGATGCAAGGGTGAGGGAGAGGGGATATTGGATAGGCCATCCTGCCCTGCTCTGAGAGGCTGGGTGGGCAGGAGTTAGGGGGTGGCTCTGCACTGAAGGAAGGAAAGTCTGAGTTCACCAGGCAAAGAAGGTGCCCAGGGAAGGGCTCCTGAGAAGGCTGAGAAGCAGGAAGGAGCCCTCCCTTAGCTCTCAGAATAAAGGTCCCACTTCCCTCTATGCCTGGCATAAAGTCTGGGGAGGTGAGTGAGGCGCAGCCCAGTTGTAGGATTGAACCCTGGGTGAGGAATCAAGTCCTGGGGGCCAGTCAGAGGTGTATTATAACCTGTGCGACTTGGCTTTCTAACGGCCAAATGGGGTTTCAGACTCACAAACTCCAACTTCTGCAGCCCTGAGAGATGGTGCCACCCTCTCAACTTGCAGGTAAGGACATGAAGGCCAGCAGAGAGCCACTGCACGACAGCAGAGCTCAGGACCCCTCTCCTGGTCTGTCGGCTGTGTTGGGCTCCTGCATCCCCAGAGGTTTCAGGGACTTCACGGGGTGGCAGGAGAACTGAGAGATAAGTAAATGACGCAGCGGTCATGGGAAGCAGAGAACGTCTCACAGCAGTGCGAGCTTTGTCTCCCTCTGGCGTGGTGGTGGCTGGGAGGTGGTGAGAGGGTCTGGGTCTCAGATCACCAGCTGTGACACAAGCCCTGTGAGCTTGGGCAAGTAAAAGGCTGCATTTGTAGAAAAGAAACTCTTTTGATTCCATTGTGAAAATGGTTTCCCTTTCTTTGGTTAGAACCCAGCCAGATTTAATTTCCAGGAGCCAGAGCCAAAGAGAAAATCATTCAGGGCAGAGATAACTCTTCTCTAAGACGTCTAGCCTTGGGCAGAGACAGGAGAGAAATACAGACTTCCAAGCCAAGGCCCAGGCATATTTAAAATATTAATATTTTAAAAGGTCTGGATTTAGGATAGAAGCAAAGAAGGGCTAAATAATTCAGAAAGCAAATTGAGGAGCAGCTGTTGCTGATGCTAACTGAGGTTCTTGCCTGGCTGGTTTCAGAGCAGCATCCTCAGCCTCCTGGGAGAAAGAGCACAAGTTGTCATGATGGGGGAAGACAAAGGCTGGAGGGAACACAAAGCCAGCCTTAAGTGCAGCCCGACTGGCTTTGTTTCTCAAGACACTCATATTACTAGCAGCTTAAAACAACAAACATTTATTATTTCACACAGTGGCTGATGGTCAGGTATCTGGGTTCTAAGTTGCTGGGTTTTCTGGCTCAGAGTCTCTCATGAGGTTTCAATCAAGATGTCTTTCGGGGCCATTGAAGGTTTGATTGAGCCTAAAGAATCAAAGACAGACATGCTGTTACATAATAAGCCAAAGTTATATTAACTCTATATTGGCCCTATATTTTTTATTGCTTCACAGCAGACTGGTATCATTGCCTCAAAAGTTTACCAGTGCCAAGCTCAAATTTTTTATACACCCAATTGCTTTAAATATAGTCTAAATAAACAGATCGTTAGTCATTGACAGCCTTCCGGTTTTGCATACCCCACAAAACAGAATCCCACATTTACTAGCCACAGATACAATAAACTCTGGTGCTATAAAAGGCCCCAGTTGCCGGGCATGGTGGCTCACAACTGTAATCCCAGCACTTTGGGAGGCTGAGGCTGGTGGATCATGAGGTTAGGAGATCGAGACCATCCTGGCTAACACGGTGAAACCCCGTCTCTACTAAAAATACAAAAAATTAGCCGGATGTGGTGGCACGCACCTGTAGTCCCAGCTACTCAGGAGGCTGAGGCAGGAGAATGGCATGAACCTGGGAGACGGAGCTTGCAGTGAGCAAAGATCACGCCACTGCACTCCAGCCTGGGCCATAGAGGGAAACTCTGTCTCAAAAAAAAAAAAAAAAAAAAGCACCAGCCATAGCTGCCCTTTGGATCTCTCTGACTCTGAGACTCCACACCCTACTACTGAGGGCATCATCTAGACATCTAAGGATCCGCTCCAATCTCCGTGTCCCCCAGAATCTCCCCCACCCTCCTTCTCTTCTAGCTGGTGGCCTCAGTCATTACCTGCGGAAGGTCTCATGCTGTGAAAAGCTTCCTCAGCAGGCAACCCTGTCAAAACACGGCCCAAATAAAGCTTGTTGTATGTTATTACCACCTCATAGCCATATCTTTTTCTTTTTTTTTAATTTTTATTTTAGGTTTGGGGGTACACGTGAAGGTTTGTTACACAGATAAACGAGTGTCACAGGGGTTTGTTGTACATACTATTATTATATATCACCCAGGTATTAACCCCCAGTACTCAATAGTTATCTTTTCTGCTGTTCTTCTCCTTCCCAACCTCCCTCCTCAATAGACACCAGTGACTGTTGTTTCCTTGTGTTCATAAGTTCTCATCATTTAGTTCCCACTTACAGGTGAGAACATGCAGTATTTGGTTTTCTGTTCCTGCATAATTTTGCCAAGAATGATAGCCTCCAGCTCCATTCATATTCTGGCAAAAAAATCTTGTTCTTTTTTATGGCTGCATGGTATTCCATGGTGCACATGTACCACATTTTCTTTATCCAGTCTGTCACTGGTGAGCATTTAGGTTGATTCCATGTCTTTGCTATTGTGAGTAGTGCTGCAATGAACATTCACATGCATGTGTCTTTATGGTAGAACGCTTTATCTCCCTCTTGGTATATACCCAGTAATGAGATTGCTGGGTCGAATGATAGTTTTGCTTTTAGCTCTTTGAGGAATTGCCACACTGCTTTCCACAATGGTTGAACTAATTTACACTCCTACCAACATCATAACATCATATAAGGCTTCCCTATTCTCCATACAATCTCGCCAGCATGTGTTATTTTTTGACTTTTTTCTTTTCTTTTCTTTTCTTTTTTTTTTGAGACAGAGTCTCCCTCTGTTGCCCAGGCTGAGTGCAATGGCGTGATTTCGGCTCACCGCAACCTCTCCTCCCAGGTTTAAGCAATTCTCCTGCCTCAGCCTCCTGAGTAGCTGAGATTCCAGGCGTGTGCCACCACACCCGGCTAATTTTTGTATTTTCAGTAGAGTCGGTGTTTCACCATGTTGGTCAGGCTAATCTCAAACTCTTGACCTCGTGATCCACCCACTCAGCCTCCCAAAGTGCTGGGATTACGGGTGTGAGCCACCGTGCCTGGCCATTTTTTGACTTTTCAATAATAGCCATTATGACTGGTGTGAGGTGGTATTTCATTGTGGTTTTGATTTGCATTTCTCTAGTGATCAGTGATATCGAGCTTTTCTTTTCTTTCTTTTTTTCCTTTTTCTTTCTCTCTTTCTTTTCTTTTTTTTTTTTTTTTTTTTGAGACAGATTCTTGTTCTGTAGCCCAGGCTGGAGTGCAGTGGCGCTATCTCGGCTCACTGCAACCTCTACTTCCCAGGTTCAAGCTATTCTCATGCCTCAGCCTCCTGAGTAGCTGGGACTACAGGTGCCTGCCACCATGCCTGGCTAATTTTTTTGTGTTTTTAGCAGAGACGGGGTTTCACCATGTTGGTCAGGCTGGTCTCGAACTCCTGACCTCATGATCTGCCCACCTTGGCCTCCCAAAGTGCTGGGATTACAGGCATGAGCCCCCGTGCTCCTGGAATTCACTACACATGGCTACTTGCTGGAGGCCTCAATTCCTCACAGAAAGGGCCTCTCCACAGGGCTGCCTGAGTATTCTCAGAGCAGTTGGCTTCTCCCAGAGTAAGAAATCCAAGAGAGTATCACCAAGATGGAAGCCACAGTGCTGTTTTATGACTGTCTCTCTCTCTTTCTCTCTCTCTCTCTCTCTCACACACACACACACACACACACAGAGCATCACTTCCATTTTATTCTATTTGTAAGAAGTGAGTCACTAAATCCAATCAACCCTTGAGGGGAACTAGGCTCTAGGCTCTAAATTTTTTTTTTTTTTTTTTTTGGAGACAGGGTCTTGCTCTGTTGCCCAGGCTAGAGTGCAGTGGCATGATCTCAGCTCACTGCAACCTCTGCCTCCTGGGTTCAAGCTATTCTCCTGGCTCAGCCTCTTGCATAGCTGAGACTATGGGTGCCCGCCACCATGCCCAGCTAATTTTTATATTTTTAGTGGAGAGGGGGTTTCACCATGTTGCCCAGGCTGGTCTCAAACTCCTGATCTCAGGTGATCCACCCACCTCGGCCTCCCATAAGTGCTAGGATTACAGGTGTGAGCCACCGCACCCAGCCTAGGCTCTACCTTTTTGAGCCTCCACCTCTTTTTTTCTTTGTTTTTTTGAGACGGAGTTTCACTCTTGTTGCCCAGGCTGGAGTGCAATGGTGCAATCTCGACTTACTGCAACTTCCACCTCCTGGGTTTAAGTGATTCTCCTGCCTCCGCCTCCTGAGTAGCTGGAATTACAGACATGTGCCAACACGCCCGGATAATTTTGTATTTTTAGTAGAGACAGAGTTTCTCCATGTTGGTCAGGCTGGTCTTTAACTCCCGACCTCAGATGATCTGCCCGCCTTGGCCTCCCAAAGTGCTGGGATTACAGGCATGAGCCACCGTGCCCGGCCAAGGCTCCACCTCTTGAAGGGAGGAATATCAAAGAATTTGTGGGCATATTTTAAAAACCACCACAGCACTTTCACAGGCCTCCTCTCTCACCTCACCCCTCACCCCAGGGCCCTGTGAGGGAAGCAGGGCAGCTAAGGAAACTCAAGAGGCTGACACCCCTAGCCGTGCTCACATCACTGCCTTATGAGGCCTGGAGCCCAGGACCTCATGAGCCACCACAGCCCAGAGAGGAAGCCCTCCCCTCTGCTTGGCGTCATTCACTTTCACACCACTTTCTCTTCTCTCTTCCACCTTCTGGTTCTGAAGACAATCCTGTGAGGTACCTTAGTGATTACTGAACTTAAAGAAGCCAAAGGAGGCCTGGCTTCTTCTAGTCATGCTTTGGGACAGATGAGCTGTGTGATCTCAGGTAAGTCCCACCTCCTCTTGGGGCCTACTTTTCTTCTTCTGTAGAATGTTAAATGAGTAATTTTTTTTTTTTTTGAGAGGGGTCTTGCTCTGTCACCCAGACTGGAGTGCAGTGGCATGATCTTGGCTCACTGCAACCTCCGCGTCCTGGGCTCAGGTGATCCTCTCACCTCAGCCTCCTGAGTAGCTGGGACTAGAGGCTTGTGACACCACGTCTGGCTAATTTTTTTTTTTTTTGTACTTTTTGGTAGAGACAGGGTTTCACCATGTTGCCCAGGCTGGTCTCGAACTCCTGAGCTCGAGCGATCTGCCTGCCTTGGCCCCCCAAAGTGTTGGGATTATAGGCATGAACCACCACACCCGGCCACAAGATTAATATTTTAAAAGGATATACTGTTACACAGATATAAAATGCAAAACATTTAATTCATTAATTAATAAGGAAACCCTCATTAATATAATTTGAATATTATAGTCCATTTTAAAGAAAACTATCAAGTTTAGAGTCAGATAAAGAATGTTGAGATGCATTTACAAGTGGATGCAAAACTCGAAGAACTGAAAAAACTGGTCAATATTTATGTGTGATAAAGTATTATCTTTTCCCTAATCTTTGCAAGGTTCATGGCAGTGACCCCTATAACAAAAGACAGATCAGCAAGATAAAAACATACATCTTTATTTAACCAAAGTTTTATTTAACCAAAGTTTAAATTTTATTTAACACAGGAGCCTTCAGAAACAAAGACCCAAAAGAACTGAAAAATCTGTGTATTTTTATGGGCAGTCATGCAGAAGTATGATCAAAAGCCAAAAGTGTATTGCAGGAAAGTTTACACTTCCCCTCTGAAAGTTTGATAATAGCATCTGCTGAAATAAATGGACAACAGGCAGATTAACAGGAGAAAAGGCTGATGAATTCATTAATATGCAAGTGCAAGAGAGTTACACAAATGAGAGTCACACAAAGTAAACTCAAAGGGCCAGATAGCTGAAGCTTAAATGCCCTCTTCATAGCAGTAAGGGAGGTGGGGGCTCTAGGCAATTTTAGAGAAAGAGTAAACGATTCTTAGGGGGAATGAATGGGCCCAAAGAACAGGCAATATCGTGTCACAAAGTTCGTCTGGGCTCTGGGTTTGGTGTCAACTCCAGTCTCCTTTCCTGTGAGTTAATCTTCTCTGTTTAATGAGATTGTAGGGAGAGGGCCCAAGACAACTGCATTCCTTCTGAAGAAACTTCCCTTGGTCAGATAAGGGAACTTCAGAGAAAGCCTCTCCCTGTGTTCTGGGAAAGGCAGAGGAGTCAGAGACAGGAGCGGGAGGGAACTGGGGGAACTTAGCAAGGCCTGTTTGTTCAGATTCTTCTTGGCATCTCTGTGTCTTTATTCCTTTTCTCCAGATATAGAGAGAACCCCTCTGAAATGAGGGCCTTATGACCTACTTCAGGAGAAGTTCAATTCAGTTTTATGGCCTGCCTCAGGGGAGAACAGTGGGAGAACAGTGGGAGAAGGCCAGAGAAACCTCCCAGCTTCTCTTGTTTTCTCGAATGCCGAGGTGCCACATTTTGGAGTAGTATGTCGTGAACCCTATCATACCAAAGGAATAGAATCAACTGCATTTCACTGTACAATTGATGCAATTTGCATTTCTTTAGAAGGAAACTGTCTTACTACCAGATTTTTACAAGTCAACTGTTATCTCTACAGAGTGGTAAAATATCCTAATCAAAGAAAAGCTAGGGGCCGGGTGTGGTGGCTCACGCCTGTAATCCCAGCACTTTGGGAGGCCAAGGTGGGCAGATCACTCGAGGTCGGGAGTTTGATACCAGCCTAGCCAACATGGTGAAACCCCGTCTCTACTAAAAATACAAAAATTTGCTGGGCATGGTGGCAGGCGCCTGTAATCCCAGCTACTTGGGAGGCTGAGGCAGGAGAATCGCTTGAACTTGGGAGGCAGAGGTTGTGGTGAGCCGAGATCACGCCATTGCACTCCAGCCTGGGCGACAAGAGTGAGACTCCGTCTCAAAAAAAAAAAAAAAAAAAAAAAAAAAAAAGACAAACTAGGAAGAGATAAAGAAAGAGATAATCTAGAAGGATGAACTATTTAGGCCAGGACTCCTACTTAATTTCAAAGTTCCACAATTTTTTCTTACAAGGACAAAAGTGGGCATTCATCTCTAATCCTTTCTCATGCCAATACTCTGGTTCTAAACCCCACATCACAGATGGGAAAGTGGAGGCTCAGCTTGTGGTGGTGGTGTCCTGTGAGCTGTCTCCTTCCAGCAGCGCCCCCACCAGGGTTTGCCTCCTGCTTCTCCCCTTCCCTCAGCTCATCCCAGCACCATAAAAATGAAGCATCCTCTGTCCTTTCTGGACACCAGAGACACCTTTTGAGGAGAAGTGGGTTTTCTGGCTTTTTCTCTGTCCCTGGCCCAGAAGCAGGACACTTATCCATATTGACTTGAGTATCTAATAAGTAGCACGTAAGTCAGAACCAACCTAATTAACAAGGGCACTTGTGTTAATAAGCACCTTTCAATCCATGCAGGGAGCTAACACACTCAGAATACAAAGGGAAGAAAAGACATTATCTTGAAATGCCTGGGCTCCCACCTAGGCTGAGCCTCATGAAGTCATTATGGGTAATTATGGGCTATTACATGCTATCACCTTGGCAAGACAACTACCCTCAATTGCCTAGAGTCACAGGTCCCTCAAGTCCGGGAAGGTAAGGGCAACTTTCTGTTTTCAGTTCTTTTCCATCCTACCTCTTGTGAGCACCCCCACCAGCCCCTCCATGCCATCATTCAGGTTTCACCCTGTTTTGTTATCCTGTTTCCTTTTGCTACTGGGAACTCCAGAAGTCTCAAAGAGCTTTCCCAATTCTCCACTCAACTCACTTTGAGCCGGTTTCTCCTTTCCAGGGAGAGTTGAGGAGGCCTATGGGGCTTGAAATGGGGAGAAGAATGGGTCCCTGAGTTGGGTAGGGCTAGACAGGAAAAGCTACAGCTTGGCTGTAGCTGAATTACAGAGGATGGGGCAGCAGGGAAAGTGGGGTGGGGCTCAGAGAGAGAGAGAGAGAGAGAGAGATGGGAAAAGGAAAAACCAGAGAAACTGAGAGCTCAGGGCAAACATTTAAAGCTTTTGCAGATCTCCTTCTAAAGGGGGTAGACCGCGTGATGGCCTCTTCAAAACTCCAGTTCAGTAAGAGAAAGGACAAAAGTGTGGGCAACCATCTCTGATCCTGGCCAAATTCTTTATGGTAGATTAAACATGGTCACAAATTATTTGCTGCTTCTCAGAGGTGGGGTTCTGTTTCCTCAACCTTTGGATCTGGCCTGCTTTTGTAACTTGCTTTGACTAGTGGCATGTAGCAAAAGGGATGCTTTGACCAGTAGAATGTAGCAGAAGGGATGTGGCATGTGTTCCAGATGGAGTGCAGGATGCACTACCCTAAAATATGGTGCCTTGACATGTGAAATAATTCGGCTGGGCATGGTGGCTCACGCCTATAATCCCAGCACTTTGGGAGGCTGAGGCGGGTGGATCACCTGAGGTCGGGAGTTCAAGACCAGCCTGACCAACATGGAGAAACACCGTCTCTACTAAAAATACAAAATTAGCTGAGCGTGGTGGCGCATGCCGGTAATCCCAGCTACGCAGGAGGCTGAAGCAGGAGAACACTTGAACTCGGTAGACAGAGGTTGCGGTGAGCCAAGATCACACCATTGCACTCCAGCCTGGGCAACAAGAGTGAAACTCCATCTCAAAAAAAAAGAATTCAAGCTGAAGAACTGAATGGACAAACAGCATGTGCAGGGGTGATTGTGCTGGGTGTGTTGCCTGATATGCAGAAAGTCAATGCACCAAGACTCCAGGTTGCAGCAGAGAAAGAGGTTTAATTGTAAGGCCACCAAATGAGATGAGAAGAAACCTCAAAACCACCTCTTCAAAGAGTTTGGGTCTAGAGACCTTAAGGGGTTTGGACGAGTAGTGGGCCAAGGTGTCGATTGTTCAAAGAGTGAAGGGTGATGTCATAGGATGGAGGTGAAGAAACTGCATTTTTTTTTTTTTGAGACAGATTCTTGTTTGTCACCCAGGCTGGAGTGCAGTGACACGATCTTAGCTCACTGCAACCTCTGCCTCCTGGGTTCAAGCCGTTCTCCTGCCTCAGCCTCCCCAGTAGCTGGGATTACAAGTGCACACCACCACGCCCAGCTAATTTTTGTATTTTTAGGGGAGACGGGGTTTCACCATGTTGGCCAGGCTGGTATCGAACTCCTGACCTCATGATCTGCCCGCCTTGGCCTCCCAAAGTGTTGGGATTACAGGCGTGAGCTACCGCGCCCAGCTGAAGAAACTGCATTCTCAGACCGACTTGGTTCCTTGGTGTGGTCTTTGGACTCATTGGCGTTAGTTCTGAAAAACATCTCAAATGAAAAGTTGTAAGGCTCCTAAAGTCAAAGTTCCTATCTACAAGAACAATAAGTAAATTCATGGTTTATGTCCTGGCCTACATGGTCCATAAGAGGCTATAGGGAAATGAGTCATAGGACAACCTGACTAATGCTTAATCTATACTTTTATCTAAAGCCTGGCATGTAATTATTGTTAACACTATGGGGAAGGTTTAACAGGGAAGGTCTCTCTGACCTTCCCCTGACTTTCTCCCATGAAGCAGGCCCTAAAAGAATTCTCTGACCTTCTTACAAAATAAGGTCATAAGACCCTATTTGCAGGGCCTCCTTCCTATACCCAGAAGAAAAGAATGAAGACGCAGAGATGCCAAGAAGCTGTGAATAAACAGGCCTTGTTAAGTTCTCTCCAGTTTGTTACCATTACTGTAGCAGGACAAGTCGCAGACAAAACTCCTAGGACACCGGATTAAAGAAGGAAGAGGTTTTTATTGGGCTGGGAGTGTCAGCAGACTCGCGTCTTAAGAGCTGAGCTCCCCAAAAAAGAAATTCCTAGCCCTTTTAAGGGCTTACAACTCTAAGGGGTCCACGTGAAAAGGTCGTAATAGATCAAGTAAGTGTGAGGAACGTGACTAGGGGCTACATACATCAGCTAACAGAACAAAAAGTTTTACAGTGCTTTCACATACAATGTCTGGAATTTACAGATAACACTAGTAGTTTTGGTCAGGGGTTAATATTATTATTATTATTATTATTCTTTTAACCACCAGGGCCAGGTGGTGGCGCCAAGGTCGTCTAGTTATTTATCTTATTTCTGTTTCTTTCCAACTTTTTGCTTTCTCCCTTTTCTCCTGTCTTATAAACTAGGGAAAAGGGGAGGTTGGGGAGAAGCTGGGAAGGACAACAGGAGAAGTGGTGGTCTCATTCTATTAGATCATACCCACTTTTGTCCAATCATACTGTATGATAGTCCACTCTACACGAACCTAAGCATAAAAATACCGTTTTTTTTCTGTTTCTTTGGGTCTTCATTTCCTTATTAAGTCTCTCATATGATGTAAAACTTATTAAATAAATTTGTATGCTTTTCTCTTGTATTTAATATTTTGTTATAGGGATCTCTGCCACAAACCTAGGGTGATACTAGATAAAGATGCTAATTTTCTCCCCTACAGTGACTTTAGAGATTAGGACCTAAAGGCTTGGTGGCTTCCCTCTCACTGTCTCCTGGATCTCTCATTCTGGTGGGAGTTAGGCGCCATGTCATGAGGACATTCAAGGAGCCCTCTGGGGAGTTCCCATTGTGAGGAGCTGAGGCTTCCTGACAACAACCAACACCAACTCGCCAGGAGAGGAGAAGAGCAGAAGACAAGGGAAGCAGGTAAAAAGAAAGGGGGTGATGAGTGGAGAACATTGAGTAAGGCTTTGTGCAAAATTGTAGCTGTCAGATTTGGAATCCCCCAGGTTCTCCTTTAGAGGCCTCTTTAACTCAAGGTACACAAGGCCTCAAACTCTTTTTAAAAAAAAAAAATTATTTTTTTTTATTTCAGGGCCGGGCAGGGTGGCTCACGCCAGTAATCCCAGCACTTTGGGAGGCTGAGGTGGGCGGATCAGGAGGTCAGGAGTTCAAGACCAGCATGGTCAACATAGTGAAACCCTGTGTCTACTAAAAATACAAAAAAAAATTAGCTGGGCGTGGTGGCGCGTGCCTGTAGTCCCAGCTACTTGGGAGGCTGAGGCAGGAGAATTGCTTGAACCCGGGAAGTGGAGGTTGCAGTGAGCTGAGATGGTGCCACTGCACTCCAGCTTGGACAAGAGAGTGAGACTTTGTCTCAAAAAAAAACCCAACAAAACACACACACACACACACACACACACACACACACACACACACACACAGATTAGGGAAGAAGACCCCAGCTGAGAGAGTGGCCATATTGAAGAAAGTGGATTCATCTATTAGCTCTGAGATCAAAATGCAGCTGCCTAGTGATGACAATAAAGGGAACTTGCAGTGAAAGCACTTGAGTGGTCTAAGCTGATGGAAGGATGGGAAGAGTGGTAAGAGGCCGGGGATGCCAGCAATCTCTAAGGATAAGAATGAGAAGCCACGGCTGGGCGTGGTGGCTCACATCTGTAATCCCAGCACTTTGGGAGGCCGAGACAGGTGGATCACGAGGTCAGGAGATCGAGACCATCCCGGCCAACATGGTGAAACCCTGTCTCTACTAAAAATACAAAAATTAGCCAGGTGGGGTGGCACATACCTGTAATCCCAGCTACTCAAGAGGCTGAGGCAGGAGAATTGCTTGAACCTGGGAGGCAGAGGTTGCAGTGAGCCAAGATCATGACACTGCACTCCAGCCTGGGCGACAGGGCAAGACTCCGTCTCAAAAAAAAAAAAAAAAAGAATGAGAAGCCACTTAGGTATTCAGCTGGGCTTGGACTCAGGGAGTGAAGATAACAGAGCTATGTCTATCTTGGAAATCAGTCTCCCCATATCCACCTCCAGTCTAGGCCACAGAGGATACAGGTAGGCCTTAGTGGAACTAAGTGACACTGCCCTTCCTTTGAAATCTAATCTAAGATTTGCGTCTCATGGTACTGTATTTAGGGTGGGCAGTGAGGGAAATTTCAAGGTGTGGGAAAGGTAAGAGAGTGTGCAGCCGGGCATGGTGGCTCACGCCTGTAATCCTAGCACTTTGGGAGGCTAAGGTGGGAGGATCACTTGAGGTCAGGAGTTCGAGGCCAACCTGGCCATCATGGTGAAACCCCGTCTCTACTAAAAATACAAAAATTAGTCGGGCCTGGTGGCATGCACCTGTAGTCCCACCTACTTGAGAGACTGAGGCAGGAGAATCACTTGAACCCAGGAGGCAGAGGATCCAGTGAGCCCAGGCTGTACTCCAGCCTGGGCAACAGAAGGAGACTCTGTTTAAAAAAAAAAAAAAAAAGAGAGAGAGAATGTGGGTATATGGGTGATGAGAAGCCTCAGCTATTCATTTGTCTGTCTAGAGAGTTCCCCATCAGGGCATAGGAGAGAAAAAAGTATTGTCTTCCTCACCCATTGCTAGGTTCACAGATGACACCCCATAACAAAACGCAGATTAATAAGAGGAAAGCATAACAAATTTAACAAGGTTTTATAAGACATAAGAGCCTTCAGAAATGAAGACCCAAAGACCCAGGGAAAATTGTGTTTTTTTAAATGCTAAGTCTGCTGAAAGAAGTAGATGATTGTGGAGAACATGACTGGACAAAGGGTATGATCTAATGGTAATAAACTGGGGTAGGGGAAGTAGGGGAAATATGACAAGATCTGTTTGTTCAGATTGTTCTTGGCCACTCTGAGTAGCATTCCTTTCTGCTGAGTAGCATTCCTTTTCTCTGAGTATGGGGCTGGGCCAGCCTGGAATGAGGGTCTTATGTCCTGCTTTCAGGTGAGGTAGGTTAAATAATTCCTTTATGAAAGCACTGTGCATGAGAAAGCGGGGGGAGGTCAACGTGATCTTGCTTCTTTAGTTTTCTTAATTGCCAAGGTGCCATATTTTGGGGTGTCATGTTCTGAGTCCCATAAGGGGCAGGATTACCTTCAGGTGAGGAAACATAAAATTTTAGGAGGCACACACTCTCAAGATCATATAAGCGCAAGATGGGTCCTTGAGAATGAAAGCCTCACTTGCCTCACCCTTGTCCAAACCTTGATCTCTACACCAACTCTTCTTTGGCTCTAATCATGTCTTAAAAATTAACAAAAAAAATGGCCGGGCGCAGTGGCTGACACCTGTAATCCCAGCACTTTGGGAGGCCGAGGCGGGAAGATAACCTGAGGTCAGGAGTTCAAGACCAGCCTGGCCAACATGGTGAAACCCTGTCTCTACTAAAAAATACAAAAATTAGCTGGGTGTGGTGGAAGGTGACTTAATCCCAGCTACTTGGGGGGCAGATACAGGAGAATCGTTTGAACCCGGGAGGTGGAGGTTGCAGTGAGCCGAGCTCAAGTCATTGCACTCAAACCTGGGAGATAAGAGCGAGACTTCTCTCAAAAAAAAAAAAAAAAAAAAAAATTAACAAAAAAGTTTAACAAGGCCGAGTGCGGTGGCTCATGCCTGTAATCCCAGCACTTTGGGAGGCCAAGGCGGGCGGATCACCTGAGGTCGGGAGTTTGAGACCAGCCTGACCAAAATGGAGAAACCCCGTCCCTACTAAAGATTCTAAATTAGATGGGCGTGGTGGTGCATGCCTGTAATCTCAGCTACTCGGGAGGCTGAGGCAGGAGAATTGCTTGAGCCTGTGAGGTGGAGGTTGCAGTGAGCCGAGATTGCGCCATTGCACTCCAGCCTGGGCAACAAGAGCAAAACTCTGTCTCAAAAAAAAAATAAAAAAATAAAAAAAAGGCTGGGCGCGGTGGCTGGCCAGGCGCGGTGGCTGGCCAGGCACGGTGGCTTACACCTGTAATCCCAGCACTTTGGGAGGCCGAGGAGGGTGGATCACCTGAGGTCAGGAGTTTGAGACCAGCCTGGCCAACATGGCGAAACCCTGTCTCTACTAAAAATACAAAAATTAGCCGGGCTTGGTGGTGCATGCCTATAATCCCAGCTCCTTGGGGGCTGAGGCAGGAGGATCGCTTGAACCTGGGAGGCGGAGGTTGGAGTGAGCCAAGATTGTGCCACGGCACTCCAACCTGGGCAACAGAGCAGGACTGCATCTCAAAAGAAAAAAAAATTAACAAAAACCAAGCTCCAGTCTTTCTTGCTGGACAGCTGTTTTCATCATGTTGAGCCTCTGGTACTGCTTCCCTTGGCCTATGCCCTCAAACCTACTGTCAGGATATGGGCAGCAAACGAACCACTTCTCCAATATTTTTTTTTTTTTGAGGCAGAGTATCACTCTGTCTCGCCCCGGCTAGAGTGCAGTGGTACTATGTTGGCTCATTGCAGCCTCCGCTCCCAAGTTCAAGTGATTATCCTGCCTCAGCCTCCCAGGTGGCTAGGATTACAGGCACTCACCACCATGCCTGGCTAATTTTTTTTTTTTTTTTTTTTGTATTTTTAGTAGAGACGGGGTTTTACTATGTTGGACAGGCTAGTCTTGAACTCCTGACCTCAAGTGATCTGCCTGTCTCAGCCTCCTAAAGTTCTGGGATTACAGGCGTTAGCCACCACTCATGGACTCCAACTTTCTTCATAGTCTTCAAGTTGTTTTGTCTACTCTAAGTTTGGGTTGTTGTTTTTTTTATTTTTCCCTTTCATATGAACTTTAGAAGCAGCTTGTCAATTTTTTCTGTAAAATATTTTTTAAAAAAGATTTTGATTGGGATTACACTGACTCTTGGGATAGTAGAAAAACTCAAACCATGTTCTTCCACTGTTCTCACACCACAACAATCAACCCAGGATTCTTCTGGGACCAAATGTGTGTTGGTTTCTCCTCATACACCAAGCAATCAATTCTGCAGCAGATATCTGCTGCGTGTCCTCCAATTCAATTGAATTCTGACATTATCTACCTGGAAATAGCTTCAGAAACCACAGGTTGAGGGCTCAGTCCCACAAGAACACCTCTTCCTTCCCACTAGTCACAAGACCACACCTCTGTACGTTTGATCAGCTGACTTCAAGATGGAGTTCCCATGATCCTCTTTACTAGAGTGGCTCACAGAACTCAGGGGGACACTTACTTACATTTACTGGTTTATTACAAAGGATATATATGTGTGTGTGTGTGTGTGTGTGTGTGTGTGTGTGTGTAGTTATATACTTTTTTTTTTTTTGAGATGGAGACTTGCTCTGTTGCCCAGGCTAGAGTGCAATGGTACGATCTCAGCTCAGTGCAAACTCTTCCTCCTAGGTTCAAGTGATTCTTCTGCCTCAGCCTCTCAAGTAGCTGGGATTACAGGCACCCGCTATCACACCCAGCTAATTTTTGTATTTTTTTTTTTTTTTTTTTTTGAGATGGAGTCTTGCTCTGTCACCAGGGCTGGAGTGCAGTGGCACCATCTCGGCTCACTGCAATCTCCGCCCCCCAGGTTCAAGCGATTCTCCTGCATCAGCCTCCCGAGTAGCTGGGATTACAGGCATGCTGTAATTTTTGTACTTTTTAGTAGAGATGGGGTTTCACCATCTTGGCCAGGCTGGTCTTGAACTCCTGACCTCATGATCCACCTGCCTCGGCCTCCCAAAGTGCGGGATTACAGGCGTGAGCCACCGTGTCCCGCCTAATTTTTGTATTTGTTAGTAGAGACGGGGTTCACCATGTTGGTCAGGCTGGTCTCAAACTCCTGACCTCAGGTGATTCACCCACCTCAGCCTCCCAGAGTGCTGGGATTACAGGCGTGAGCCACTGCATTCAGCCAGGATACTTTAAAGGATATAAATAGATAGCCAGATGAAGAGAGACACAGGGCAAGGTCTGGAAGAGTCTGATCACAGGAGCTTCTGTCCCTTTGGAGTTGCGGTACACTGCCCTCCTGGCATGTGGTTGAGTTCTTGCTCACTTTCCTGTAAGACTCTCCTTGTTCAACTATCTGGAAGCTCTCTATAACGTTGTATTCTTGGGCCTTTTATGAAGACTTCATTGGATAGGTATGATTGACAACCATGTAGAAATGTGATTAGATAAAAAGGGTAGGATCTAAAATAGACTGAATGGGGATACCCAGCAAGGCCTGTTTGTTCAGATTCTTCTTGGCCTCTGTGTGCAGCATTCCTTCCTTCAGGGTATGGAGCAGGACCCTTTCTAAAATAGGGGTTTTATGACCTACAATCAGACAAGGTAGGTCAGGGAATTTCTTTATGGAAAGGCAGGGGAAGATGACAGTCCTGCCTTGGGGGAGAAAAGGGAGCCCGTGAAAGGACAGCAGTAGAAGATCAGAGAGAGATTCTATTTCCTGAGGCCTGCTTCTGAGGCCTAAAGCACCCCAACATTATAACAAGAGCTACAGGAGTTATGAGTCAGGAACCATGGATGAAAATCAATGTATAGATAACATAATATCACAACTCCATAGATAATTTGGAGAGAATTGAGTTCTTAACAATATTGAATCTTCCAATTCATGAACATGATATTATCTCTCCATCTATTTAGGTCTCTTATTTCTCTCAGAAATGTTCTATAGCTTTCAGTGTACAGGCCTTACAAATCTTTTGTCGTAATTATTCCTAAATTTTAACTGTTTTGCTCCTATTGAAAATAGTACTGATTTAGGCCGGGTGCGGTGGCTCACACCTGTAATCCCAGCACTTTGGGAGGCCGAGGTGGGCAGATCACAAGGTCAGGAGATGGAGACCATTCTGGCTAACACGGTGAAACCCCGTCTCTACTAAAAATAATAATAATAAAAAAAGAAAGAAAGAAAATAGCACTGATTTTATTATCTACTTAAAAATGTCTGCTAATTCTATATAAAAATACAGTTGATTTTTATTGTTTCTTACAAACTTGCTAAGTTTTATTAGCCTTTTTGTAGATTCCAAATGATTTTTTGTAAAGATGACCATGTTGTTTGTGATTAGAATTTTACTTCTTCCTTTCCAATCTATTTTTTTTTTTTTTTTTGAGACAGAATTTCTACCCACCTAGGTCTCCCAAAGTGCTGGGATTACAGGCGTGAGCTACCGTGTCCGGCCTCCAATCTCGATGTCTTTAATTTTTTTTTTTTTTTTTTGAGACGGAGTTTCGCTCTTGTTGCCCAGGCTGGAGTGCAGTGGTGCGATCTCGGCTCACTGCAACCTCCGCCTCCCGGGTTCAAGCAATTCTCCTGCCTCAGCCTCCCGAGTAGCTGGAATTACAGGCATGCACCACCACACCCGGCTAATTTTGTATTTTTAGTAGAGACGGGGGGTTTCTCCATGTTGAGGCTGGTCTGGAACTCCTGACCTCACGTGATCCGCCCGCCTTGGCCTCCCGAAGTGCTGGGATTACAGGCGTGAGCCACTGCGACCGGCTAAATAATAATAATAATTATTATTATTTTTGCCTTATCGAACTCACGAGAACCTCCATTAAAATTCTGGGTGAAAGTGCTGAGAGTGTATGTGCTTGCTTGTTTTCATTCTTAAGAGACAGGAAGCTGATCATAATCCTAAAAGGCATAACCTCAAGTGTTGAAATCCTGAAAGCTCAACATTCCAAAACTATCATTCTGGAAAACTAATTTTAAAAATTATTTAAAAGGTATTTATTTACATTTTTTTACTTTTTTTTTTTTTTGAGAGGGAGTCTTGCTCTGTCACCCAGGCTGGAGTGCAGTGGCCTAATCTCGGCTCACTGCAAGCTCCGCCTCCCGGGTTCACGCCATTCTCCTGCTTCAGCCTCCCGAGTAGCTGGGACTATAGGCGCCGGCCACCACGCCCGGCTAATTTTTTGTATTTTTAGTAGAGGCGGGGTTTCACTGTGTTAGCCAGGATGGTCTCAATCTCCTGACCTCGTGATCCACCCGCCTCAGCCTCCCAAAGTGCTGGGATTACAGGCATGAGCCACCCCACCCGGCCTTATTTACATTTTTAAAAGGGGATTTATTTGAGACACATAAAGTCATGACAGAACGCTTCATAGGTCACTTTACACAACAAAATACTCAGTATAACATACCTATTTTTGCAAGCATAAACACGTACACTAATTACAGTTACATGGCTATAACAGTTACAACCAGATGAACCATATTTTTTTTGAGACGGAGTTTTTCCCATTTTAAAATCAGATTATTAGATTTACTTATTTATTTTTATCGACTTTTTTTTTGAGACGGAGTTTCACTGTTGTTGCCCAGGCTGGAGTGCAATGGTGCGATCTCAGCTCACCGCAACCTCCACCTCCGGGGTTCAAGCGATTCTCCTGCCACAGCCTCCCGAGTAGCTGGGATTACAGGCATGCACCACCACACCCAGCTAATTTTGTATTTTTAGTAGGGATGGGGTTTCTCCATGTTGCTCAGGTTCGTCTCGAACTCCTGACTTCGATCAGGTGATCACACCATTGCACTCCAGCCTGGGCAAGAAGAGCGAAACTGTCTCAAAAAGAAAAAAGAAAAAAGAAATAGGTCGAAAGGGGAAATGTATAAACACATATCACTATGGTTGATAATTATGTGACCCAACTTTATAACTGTGGTCATCTAAAGTACCATAATGGGCTAGGAGCGGTGGCTCACGCTTGTAATCCCAGCACTTTGGGAGGCCGAGGCGGGCAGATCATGAGGTCAGGAGTTCGAGACCAGCCTGGCCAACATGGTGAAACCCTGTCTCTACTAAAAATACAAAAATTAGCTGAGCATGGTGGCACATGCTTGTAATCCCAGCTACTTGGGAGGCTGAGGCAGGAGAACTGTATGAACCCAGGAGGAAGAGGTTGCAGTGAGCCAAGATCACGCCACTGCACTCCAGCCTGGGCAACACAGTGAGACTCCGTCTCAAAAAAAAAAAAAAATTTAAAATTAAATAAAAAGAGTGGGAAATGCTATTCCAAAAATAAAACTAAACAAACAAATTACATGAGAAATCACTTTACACCCATTAGGTTGACTATAGTAACAATATTTTCAAAAAGAGAAAACAACAAGTGTTGAAAAGAATGTGGAAAAATTGGAACCCTCATATATTGCTGGTGGAAAGTACAGCTGCTATGGAAAACAGTTTAGCAGTTTCTCAAAAAGATAAACACAGAGTTATCATATGAACCAGGAATTCCACTTCTTGAGCATATACTCAAGAGAAATGAGAATATATGTTTACACAAAAACTTGTAAATGAATGTTCATAGCAGCTTTATTCATAATGGCCAAAAAGTGAAAACAATCCAAATGTCCATCAGCTAACTAAAGGATAAACAAAATGTAATACATCCATACAATGGATTATTATTCAGCCATAAAAGGAATGAAGTACTGATGCATGCTACAATATGAATGAACTTTGAAAATATTATGCTAATAATTCAATTTACAGTATATAAAATATCCAGAATAAGCAAATCCATAGACAGATTAGTAGTTGCTAAGGGATGGGAGAAGGGGGAAATTGGGACTAACTGCTAATAGTATGGTTTTTTTCGGTGGGGGGGCGCAGTTGATGGAAATGTTTTGAGAGTAATGGTGATGGTTACACAACATAGGGAATTTTCTAAAAACCACTGAAGTGTGCGCTTTAGAATAGTGAATTTTATGTTAGGTGAATTACATCTCAATAAAACAAAAACAAAAAGAACACTTTTTGTTTTATTATTGGTGAAATAGGGTTAAGAGCATCTTTCTCACCAGGCGCGGTGGCTCACGCCTGTAATCCCAGTGCTTTGAGAGGCCGAGCCGGACGGATCACCTGAGGTCGGGAGTGCTAGGCCAGCCTAACCAACATGGTGAAACCCCGTCTCTATTAAAAATACAAAAAAATTAGCTGGGTATGGTGGCGCATGCCGGTAATCCCAGCTACTCGGGAGGCTGAGACAGGAGAATCGCTTGAACCTGGGAGGCGGAGGTGGCAGTGAGCCGAGATCGCGCCATTGCACTCCAGCCTGGGCAACAAGAGTGAAACTCCGTCTCAAAAAAAAAAAAAAAAAAGAAAAAAAACAACAACAAAAAGAACATCTTTCTTTTTTCTTTTCTTTTTTTTTTTTTTGAGACAGAGTTTCACTCGTTGCCCAAGCTGGAGTGCAGTGTCACGATCTTGGCTCACTGCAACCTCCGCCTCCAGGGTTCATGCCATTCTCCTGCCTCAGCCTCCCAAGTAGCTGGGACTACAGGGGCCTGCCACCACGCCCGGCTAATTTTTTTGTAATTTTAGTAGAGACGGGGTTTCACTGTGTGAGCCGGGATGGTCTTGATCTCCTGACCTCGTGAACCGCCCACCTCGGCCTCCCAGAGTGCTGGGATTACAGGCGTGAGCCACTGCGGCCGGCCTGGCTATGTGATTTTCAAGCTCCTTTCAGCTCTAAAATTCCTATCTTGCACTGGCTTAAAATCAGGAAGACAGGCCGCGTGATGGCTCACGCCTGTAATCCAGCACTTTGGGAGGCCAAGGCGGACAGATCACCTGAGGTGGGGAGTTCGAGACCAGCCTGACCAATATGGAGAAACCTCATCTCTACTAAAAATACAAAATTAGCCGGGCCTGGTGGCACATGCCTGTAGTCCCAGCTACTTGCGAGGCTGAGGCAGGAGAATCACTTGAACCTGAGAGAATTGCTTGAACCTGGGAGGCAGAAGTTGCGGTGAGCTGTGATCATGCCATTGCACTTCAGCCTGGGCAACAAGGGCGAAACTCCATCTCAAAAAAAAAAAAAAAGAAAAAAAATCAGGAAGATATCTGGAAAAACAGTAGGAATTGTATCTGCTTTATTTTAATCAACTTGGCTAGTTCATCAAAACTGGTTTCCTTTTCTTACCCTCCAACTGTTTTTCCTTTTTTCATTTTTTAGGGACAGATCTCCCCATGTTACCCAGGCTGGACTCAAGCAATTCTCCCCACCTCAGTCTCCCAAGTAACTGGGACTACAGGCATGTCCCAGAGAATCGGCTCTCCTACTTCTATTTTTCCAGCTAATAAGCTTGGAGTCACTTAGTCACTCTAATACTCTTTATTAACAACTTAAAATGACACATGAACATTTTTAGAGCACTTTCCAAGTTTTATTAATCACTTTCTCTTTTGATCTGCACAATAGATCAGGTTTGTAGGTATTATCTCCAATGTACCTGTGAAGAAACTAAGGCCTGGAAGAGTTCAGCGATTTGCCTACAGTAACACAGCAAGTAAGTTACGAGACCAGGTTTTCCAACTTCAAAGCCTGTACTCTTTATATTCCCTGTCAGCGGAAGATAAAAGTTTTGCGGGGCCTGAAGTATGCACATCTAAGGTGGCTGTATTAGTTTTCTATCACTGCTATAACAAATTACCACAAACTTTGTAGCTTTAGACAACACAAATTTCTCTTACAGCTCTGTAGTTAAAAGGTCCAGACAGGACTCACTGGGCTAAATAAAACTCAAGCGTCAAGAGGGCTGTGTTCCCTTCTGGAGGCTCTGGGAAAAAATCAGTTTCCTTGTCTTTTCCAGCTTTAGAGACCATCTGCATTCCTTGAGTTGTGGCTTCTTCCTCCATCTTCAAAACCAGCAACAACAGATAAGTCCTTCTTAGATTGCTTCACTCTGACCTCCTCTCTGTCACCTTCTTCCATTTTAAGGACTCTTGATTATACTCGGTTCACCCAGACAATCCAGGATAATCTCCCTATTTTAAGGCCAGCTGATTAGCAACATTAATTCTATCTGTCACCTTAATTATCCTTTGTCATATTACATAACATATTCACAGGTTTCAAGGATTAAAACATGGACATCTTTGGGAGGGGGTGCTTATAGTGTCCACCACAGCGGCCCTCTTCAAGAAAAGAATAAAAAGTTAAAATTATAAAATTAGATACGATCCAGCCGGGCGCGGTGGCTCATGCCTGTAATCCCAGAACTTTGGGAGGCTGAAGTGGACAGATCACTTGAGGCCAGGAGTTCAAGACCAGCCTGGCCAACATGGCGAAACCCCATCTCTACTTAAAAAAATAATAATAATAACAAAAATTAGCCGGACATGGTGGTGTGCACCTGTAATCCCAGCTACTCAGGAGGCTGAGGCGCAGGAGAATTGCTTGAACCTCGGAGGTGGAGGTTGTAGTGAGCTGAGATCACGCCACTGGACTCAAGCCTGGGTGACAGGGCAAGACTCCATCTTAAAAAAAAAAAAAATTAGATATGATCCTATGAATATACTGTTAGAGCACCTCCCAAAAGCTTCACGAGATTCATGGAAAATGTGTTTCTTTGTATTTATTTGTTTGTTTTTTAAGTCCGGTGAATTCATGTCACAAAATCAACCATCTTAAAGTGTACATTTCTTTTCTTTTTTTTTTTTTTCTGAGACGGAGTTTCACGCTTGTTGCCCAGGCTGGAGTGTAATGGCGCCATCTTGGCTCACCGCAACCTCCGCCTCCCGGGTTCAAGCGATTCTCCTGTCACAGCCTCCCGAGTTGCTGGGATTACAGGAATGTGCCACTACACCTGGCTAATTTTTGTATTTTTAATAGAGATGGGGTTTCTCCATGTTGGTCAGGCTGGTCTCGAACTCCTGACCTCAGGTGATCTGCCCACCTCGGCCTTCCAAAGTGCTGGGATTACAGGCGTAAGCCACTATGCCCAGCTAAAGTGTACATTTCTTTTTTTTTTTTTGAGACGGAATATTGCCCTGTTATGCAGGCTGGAGTGCAGTGGCGCGATCTCAGCTCACTGCAACCTCTGCCTCCTGGATTCAAGCAATTCTCCTGCCTCAGCCTCCCAAGCAGCTGGGATTACAGTCATGTGCCACCATGCCCGGCTAATTTTTTTGTATTTTTAGTAGAGACGAGGTTTCACCATATTGGCCAGGCTGGTCTTGAACTCCTGACCTTGTGATCCACCCACCTCGACCTCCCAAAGTGCTGGGATTACAGGCAGGAGCCACCGCGCCCGGCCTAAAGTGTACATTTCAATGGTTTTTAGTATATTCACCATTCTGTGACTCTTGGTAACCAAAATGTGTGTGGGAATTTCTCCCCAACAGTAACCAATCCATTCTTCAGTGGACACCAGTTGGGTGTCCTCTGATTCAACTCAACTGTCACACTATCCACCTGGCGATAGTGTCAGATCCCACAGGTGAGGGCTCAGTCCCACAAGCTTGCCCCTAGTTCCAATGCCAATCATAAGCCCCAGGTTGTTTTACTTGTGCTTCTAACTGACTGGCTGTAAATCAAGATTCCCACTACCCTCTCTTTGGGTTCAACTAATTTGCTAAAGTGGCTCACAGAACTCAGGAAAACACTTTACTTACATTTACTGGTTTATTATAAAGGATATTACAAATGAGACTGTTGAACACCAGATGAAAGAAATGCTTATGTGGGAAAGAGCATGAAGCTTCCATGCCCTGGCAGGGCATGACACCCTCCAGGTGCCTCCACGTGTTCCACTAACTCGAAGCTCTCTGGACCCAGTCCTTTTGCGTTTTTATGAAAGCTTCCTTATGTAGTCATGAGTCATTAAATCATTGGTCATTGGTAATCAGCATAACTTTCAGCCTTCCTCCCCTTCGTGGAGGTTGAGGGGTGTGCCTGCAAGTCCCAACTCTCTCATCAAGGTTTGGTCTTTCCTGTGACCAGCCCTCAATCCTGAAGCTATCCAGGAGTCCCCAACCATCAGTCAACTCATTAACATATAAAAAGACACATCTCTTTGGAGGTTCTAAGGATTTTAGAAGTTGTATGCCACCAGGAAATGGAGAAGAAGACCAAATATATATTTCACAATAGCACATGCAACTGTCAGAGACGTTTGAACCAGAAATAACCATAAAAATGGACAACCAGCACCTTTGGGGCTGCTCTGTCAATGGAGTAGCTATTCTCTTATTCCTTTACTTTCCTAAAAACTGGCTTTCAGTTTACTCTGGAGGGGTCTGGAATCGGACACCTCTCTGGTAACACAGTCACCACTTATATCAAGTTCCAAATCATTTTCATCACCCCAAAAGAAAACTCCATATCCATTAAGCAGTCACTCTGAGAGGTGACAGCGTGCTGGCAGGGCAGTCCTCACAGCCCTCGCTCGCTCTCGGCGCCTCCTCTGCCTGGGCTCCCACTTTGGCGGCACTTGAGGAGCCCTTCAGCCCACTGCTGCACAGTGGGAGCCCCTTTTCTGGGCTGGCCAAGGCCAGAGCCGGCTCCCTCAGCTTGCAGGGAGGTGTGGAGGGAGAGGCGCGAGCGGGAACCGGGGCTGCGCGCGGCGCTTGCGGGCCAGCTGGAGTTCCGGGTAGGCGTGCGCTTGGCGGGCCCGGCACTCGGAGCAGCCGGCCGGCCCTGCCGGCCCCGGGCAATGACGGGCTTAGCACCCGGGCCAGTGGCTGTGGAGGGTGTACTGGGTCCCCCAGCAGTGCCAGCCCACCGGCGCTGCGCTTGATTTCTCACCGGGCCTTAGCTGCCTGCCCGCGGGGCAGGACTCGGGACCTGCAGCCCGCCATGCCTGAGCCTCCCACCCACTCCATGGGCTCCTATGCGGCCGGAGCCTCCCCGATGAGCGCCGCCCCCTGCTCCACGGTGCTCAGTCCCATCGACCACCTAAGGGCTGAGGAGTGCGGGCGCACGGCGCGGAACTGGCAGGCAGCTCCACCTGCAGCCCCGTGCGGGATCCACTGGGTGAAGCCAGTTGGGCTCCTGAGTCTGGTGGGGACGTGGAGAACCTTTATGCCTAGTTCAGGGATTGTAAATACACCAATCAGCACTCTGTATCTAGCTCAAGGTTTGTAAACACACCAATCAGCACTCTGTGTCTAGCTCAGGGTTTGTGAATGCACCAATCGACACTCTGTATCTAGCTGCTCTGGTGGGGCCTTGGAGAACCTTTGTGTCTATACTCTGTATCTAACTAATCTGATGGGGACGTGGAGAACCTTTGTATCTAGCTCAGGGATTGTAAACGCACCAATCAGCGCCCTGTCAAAACAGACCACTTGGCTCTACCAATCAGCAGGACGTGGGTGGGGCCAGGTAAGAGAATAAAAGCAGGCTGCCCCAGCCAGCAGTGGCAACTTGCTCCGGTCCCCTTCCACTGTGGAAGTTTTGTTCTTTCACTCTTTGCAATAAACCTTGCTGCTGCTCACTGTTTGGGTCCACACTGCTTTTATGAGCTGTAACACTCACCGCGAAAATCTGCAGCTTCACTCCTGAAGCCAGCGGGACCACGAGACCACTGGGAGGAACGAACAACTCCAGATGCGCCGCCTTAAGAGCTGTAACACTCAACGCAAAGGTCTGCAGCTTCACTCCTGAGCCAGCGAGACCACGAACCCACCAGAAGGAAGAAACTTCAGACGCGCCACCTTAAGAGCTGTAACACCGCGAGGGTCCGCGGCTTCATTCTTGAAGTCAGCGAGACCAAGAACCCACCAAATCCGGACACAACTCCCTTTCTCCCTATCCCTAGCCCCTGGCAACCACTAATCTGCTTTCTGTCTCTATGGATTTACCTATCTTGGGTATTTCATGCAATGAAATTGTTAATGGAAAGGAGTCCTGACCCAGAGCCCAAGAGAGGGTTCTTGGATCTCGTGCAAAAAAGAATTCAGGGCAAGTCCATAAAGTGAAAGCAAGTTTATTTAAAAAGTAAAGGAATAAAAGAATGGCTACTCTATAGACAGCACCCTCAGGGCTGCTGGTTGCCCATTTTTATGGTTATTTCTTGATTATATGCTAAAAAAGAGGTGGATTATTCATGCCTCCCTTTTTTGGATCATATAGGGTAACTTCCTGAGGTTGCCATGGCATTTGTAAACTCTCATGGCACTGGTGGGAGTGTAGTAGTGATGACCAGAGGTCACTCTCTGGGCCATCTTGGTTTTAGTGGGTTTTGGCTGGCTTCTTTACTCCAAGCTATTTTATCAGGAAGGTCTTTATGACCTGTATCTTATGCTGACCTCCTATCTCATCCTATGACTTAGAATGCTTAACCATCTCAGGAATGTAGCCTAGTAGGTTTCAGCCTTATTTTACCCAGTCCCTATTCAAGATGGAGTTGCTCTGGTTCAAATGCCTCGAAATTATCGCACATACAATTTTGAACCTTTAGTTTCTGGCTTCTTTCACTTATATATTTTTAAGGTTTATCCACATTGTGGGATTTATTAGTACTTCATTCCCTTTTATAGCTGCATAATATATTTGTTTATCTATGCATCCATTGATGGACATGTGAATTGTTTGCAACTTTTGGCTACTGTGAATAGTGCTGCTGTACAAGTGTTTGTTTGAATACCGGTTTTATTTTGGTAATATACCTAGTAGTGATATAGGCATTAAGAATAAATTATTTAGGCAGGTAAGCTACAGGAGTCCTTGGTAAGGTTTTCCTTTTAATGAAAAACAGCCCCCAGATAATTTTCTTTTGTAACAAAGAACATCCTGTAAAATCAAGCTGCAAACATAGACAAGCAAGCTGGAAGCTTGCAGGGGTGAACGCCAGCAGTTGTGGCAATAGGAAAAGGCTACACCTGGGACTACGCATGTTCAAAATGGCGGCTCCATCTTCCCTTCTCTTTGCTAGCCGCGTGTGTAGTAAGGAGCAGGCAACATGGTGCCAGCCAGGCAAAGATTCTATTTGCATAATAAGATTAGGGTGGAGAAGCCAGCTTACCTGGCGTGTTATGTAAACGTCACACCTGGTCCAACCAATCTTTGGACCCTATGTAAATCAGACACTGCCTTCTTAAGCCTGCCTATAAAATCGGGTGCACTCTGCCCCAGGCTGGAATTCCCATTCGAGCGCCCCACTCTCTCATGAGAGACCTTTTCTCCCTTTTTTGCCTATGAAATCTCCTCTCCTAAACTCGCTCCTTGCGTGTATCCATGTCCTTAATCTTCTTGGCACTAGACGAGGAACCTCAGGTATTTACCCCAGAAAACGACGCTGCTTCAGTAGCAGAATTGCTGCATCATATGGTAATTCTTTCTTTTTGAGGAACCACAAAACTGTTTTCCACAGTAGCTGCCCTATTTTACATCCCCATCAGCAAAGTATGAAGTTTGAATTTCTCCACATTCTCACCAATACTTTTTTCCTTAAAAAAAATTTTTTTGTAGCCATACTAGTGTAACCGAAATGTGGGTAAGTTGCTCCCACATGCTAAAAAAAAAAAAAAGCCGGGCGTGGTGGCGGGCGCCTGTCGTCCCAGCTACTCGGGAAGCTGAGACAGGAGAATGGCATGAACCCGGGGGCTGAACTTGCAGTGAGCCGAGATTGCGACACTGCACTCCAGCCTGGGCGACGGAATGAGACTCCATCTCAAAAAAAAAAAAAAAAAAAAAAAAAAAAAGATTATCTGTATATTCTCTTCTAAGAGTTTTACAGTTTAGCTCTTTGTTATTGATGAATTTTAAGTCAATTTCATGCAAATTCATTCTTCTGCATATGGATACCCAATTGTCCCACCACCATTTTTTATTTTTATCTGTTTAATTATTTTATTTATTTTGAGATAGAGTCGCCCAGGCTGGAGAGCAATGGCATGATCTTGGCTCACTGCAACGTCTGCCTCCCAAGTTCAAGCAATTCTTCCTGCCTCAGTCTCCTGAGTAGCTGAGATTACAGGTGTCTACCACCACGCCAGGCTAATTTTTGTATTTTTAGTAGAGACGGGATTTCACCATGTTGGCCAGGCTGGTCTCGAACTCCTGACCTCATGATCCGCCCACCTCGGACTCCTAAAGTACTGGGATTACAGGCGTGAGCCACTGCGCTCGGCCTATTTTTTTATTTTTTGAGACAGAGTCTCGCTCTGTCACCCAGGCTGGAGTGCAGTGGCATGATCTCAGCTCCCTGCAACCTCTGCCTCCCAGGTTCAAGTGATTCTCCCTCCTCAGGCTCTTGAGTAGCTGGTACCATAGGCGAGTGCCACCACACCCTTCTAATTTTTGTATTTTTAGTAGAGGGGGGTTTCGCTATGTTGGCCAGGCTGGTCTTGAATTCCTGACCTCAGGTGATCCACCTGCCTCGGCCTCCCAAAGTGCTGGGATTACAGACATGGGACACCGCGCCCAGCCTCATCCTCCAGTCTCTACCCTTCTTCAATCTCTTGTGAGAATTGAGGGGAAGGGTAAGTGAGGGGGTGAGTCCTGGAAGGGAGGAAGACAGTGAGAGAAGGGCAGGGTCCTGGCAAGCAGTAAGTGCTCAACAGATGTTGGTTAATTTGCGCCTGACTCAGTCTCTCCCATAAACTTGAAAGCTCTTTGAAGGCAGGGGCCTTGCCTCATACTTTTTCAGTATTTCTCAAAAGTCCTGGACATCAGAGACCACCCCATGGTTATTTGATCACTTCAACACACACGTTGGTTATGCGGTCACAGCGGCTATTATGATAAAAACAGGCTCTGGAGTGTGACTTCAAATGCTGGCCGCTGACGAGCTGGGCTGTCTGGAAAATTACTTCACCTCTCTGAGCCTCGGGTGCCTTATTTACAAAATGTTCATGGCAGGGCCCACTTCACAGGGCTGTGAGGATTACAGAGGATAATCTGGGTGAGGCGCATCAGCCCCAGCGCCGCCTGCCACAATTCTATCCGGCCCCACATATGCATCGTCCATAAGCGTCCGGCCCCTGCATTCTCGCTTTTCCACGTGGCCGAGGTGCACACCCCAACCCACTGGGCCAGTCTCCCCGCCCTCTTACCTGCTCTTCTTTCCCGACTCGTCTTTAATACCCACCAGGAGCCAGTCGCCGCGGGCCTGGCTCTGTGGTGGCAAGTTGCATGGGTTCTCCCATCAGGACCTCCCGATGAGCCTACGAGGTCGGTTCTATTACTGTCGCCACTTCAGAGGGAGGAAACAGGCCCGCAGGGTTGGGGAACTTCCCGAGGTCACTGAACTGGTGTCAGGCCCAGATTGGAATCCAAACACATCCCAGCCCATGCCCGGCTCCCCAGCGCCGGCTCCCAGGCGTCTTCCCGGGTGCCAGCGGCACCCGCATCCATTCAAATGCTGCCCAGTCCCCGCTCCTCAGTCGCTTCCCTCTACTACGCGCCCGCATCTCCCCCCGACCCCTCAGGGTCAGGCCTCTCGGTGGCTTTTCCTTTTTCTCTTCCAGAAACTAAGGGGTGAGACCGACGTTTGTGTGCCGGACGCGTGCAGGTGGCGGCGACGCTCCCGGGAGACGCGGGGGGAGAACCAGTCTGTGCGCGCGGCTGTGAGAAGCCCCGACCAAGCTTTCCACGCGCTTGTTTCGGGCAGCAGAGGACGCGAGGGCCGACTGCGTCCCCAGTGCGCAGGCTCGGCCGGGGGCGCGTAATCAGGCAGCCCAGCGGTCCCTTCAAACCGAGGCAGGGAAGCTCTACGTCTTGGGGGCCGCATGGTGCCGAGAGCGCAGACCAGACCCGCCCCGCCTCTCCGTGCCACGCACGCGCTCGGCTCCGCGCTTAATGGTTAGTTGGGTAACAGCCCGCGGTGCCCTAGTTGCCCGGGTGGGGTCGGAGGGACCCTCGCGGGAGGGGAGACCACGTCTCCAGGGGGTGGGAGGCGGCCTCACTGAGGGCTTCGCAGGCAGCTGCGTGACCTCGGAGCGCGGCGCTAGTGGAGGGGCGGCCAGGTGGTGTGGCCACCAGCTCCCGGAGAGGAATGTGGCCAGGTGACCTGGGGTAATCACTTCATCCTCACAGGAAATGCTTTTTTTGTCTGGAAGAATAGTGACTGGGCTGTAAAAACAAATGCCCCTGCCTTCAGGCTCTCTGGGCAAGATATACCCCCTTGGGAGGTGACTGGGGCTGAGCCGAGGTGGGGTTTGTTTTGGGGATTGTGGGGTGCCACCTGTAACCTTCTAATCTTTAAACTCTATTTGTTCCTCTTCCTTTAATTAAACCTGACAAATAATTTTCCCCAGTTCGTGATTCCCGTGACCCATGACTTTGCTCTGCCCATAGAAATTCTCTTCTAATTCCTTCCCCTCCCTGTTCTCTGCTTTGTAGTACGTGAACCTTATTATTATTATTATTATTATTATTATTATTATTATTATTATTATTATTATTGAGACGAGTCTCGCTCTGTCGCCCAGGCTGGAGTGCAGTGGCGCGATCTCGGCTCATCGCAACCTCCATCTCCCGGGTTCAAGCAATTCTCTGCCTCAGCCTCCCGAGTGGCTGGGATTACAGGTGACCACCACCATGCCCGGCTAATTTTTTTGTATTTTTAGTAGAGACGGGGTTTCACCATCTTGGCCAGGCTGGTCTTGAACTCCTGACCTCAGATCCACCCGCCTCGGCCTCCCAAAGTGCTGGGATTACAGGCGTGAGCCACCGCGCCCAGCCGAACCTTGTATTATTTTTGTTTGCTGTCTCCTGTAACAGATTGTAAGTTTCTGTTTTTCTTTCTTTTTTTTTTTTTTTAGACAGAGTTTCGCTCTTATTGCCCAGGCTGCAGTGCAGTGGCGCGATCTTGGCTCACCTCAACCTCCGCCTCCCGGGTTCAAGTGATTCTCCTGCCTCAGGCTCCCGAGTAGCTGGGATTACAAGTGCCTGCCACCACACGCAGCTAATTTTTTGTAGTTTTAGTAGAGATGGGGTTTCACCATGTTAGCCAGGCTGGTCTCGAGCTCCTGACCTCAGGTGATTCAGCCTCCTCGGCCTCCCAAAGTGCTAGGATTATAGTTGTGAAGTGCGGCACCTGGCCCAAGATTGTAAGTTTCTCTAAGGTAGTGAACGTCATTGTAGTTCCCATAACTACATGGTTAACACATGGTTAAACAGAAGTAACAGTGGGCATCTTCAGTTAATTTTGGGATAATTATTGTGACCTGTGGGGTACCCTTCCGTTGTGGTCGCAATCAGTCGCATCAGTCACATTATTTAAATTAGCGCCAAACTTTGTCTTCAGTAACTCACTTCAAGATGCAGGCCTGGCTGGGTGCGGTAGCTCACGTCTGTAATCCCAGCACTTTCGGAGGCTGAGGCGGGCGGATCACGAGGTCAGGAGATCGAGACCATCCTGGCTAACATGGTGAAATCCCGTCTCCACTAAAAATACAAAACATTAGCTGGGTGCGGTGGTGGGCGCCTGTAGTCCCAGCTACTCAGGAGGCTGAGGCAGGAGAATGGCGTGAACCCGGGAGGCAGAGCTTGCAGTGAGCCGAGATCATGCCACTGCACTCCAACCTGGGCCACAGAGCAAGACTCCATCTCAAAAAAAAAAAAAAAAAAAAAAAAGATGCAGGCCTTTGGCCAGGCGCGGTGGCTCACGCCTGTAATCCCAGCACTTTGGGAGGCGGAGGTGGGCAGATCACGAGGTCAAGAGATAGAGATCATCCTGGCTAACACGGTGAAACCCCGTCTCTACTAAAAATACAAAAAAATAGCCAGGCGTGGTGGCGGGCGCCTGTAGTCCCAGCTACTTGGGAGGCTGAGGCAGGAGAATGGCGTGAACCCAGGAGGCGGAGGTTGCGGTGAGCCGAGATCACGCCACTGCATTCCAGCCTGGGCGACAGAGCCAGACTCCCTCTCAAAAAAAAAAAAAAAAAAAAAAAAAAAAAAAAAAAAAAAAAAGATGCAGGCTTTTGTCGCATCAATTTCAGCAACCCGTGTAGAGGTCGATGAATTTCAGATTTGGAACACCCGCTCTGCAAATTAGAAATTTAAAAGCTTACCTTCCTCTTTTGTGATTGCACTGTGTTGCTACTTGTGGTTTGTCCTGTAGAAAACTCAATAGGCCCGGCGTGGTGGCTCATGCCTGTAATCCCAGCACTTTGGGAGGCCGAGGCAGGTGGATTACTTCAGGTCAGGAGTTTGAGACCAGCTTGGCCAACATGGCGAAACTCCGTCTCTACTAAAAATACAAAAATTAGCCCGGCGTGGTGGTGCACGCCTTTAATCCCAGCTATCCCAGCTACTCGGGAGGCTGAGGCAGGTGAATTACTTGAACCCGGCGGGGTGGAGGTTGCAGTGAGCCAAGATGGCGCCACGGACTCCAGCCTGGGCGACTCCGTCTCAAAAAATAAATAAAATAAGAAAGAAAACAGAGAACAGGGCCAGGCATGGTGGCTCACGCCTGTAATCCCAGCACTTTGGGAGGCTGAGGCAGGTGGATCACTTGAGGTCAGGAGTTCGAGACCAGCCTGGCCAACATGGTGAAACCACGTCTCTACTAAAAATACAAAAATTAGCGAGTCATGGTGGCATGCACCTGTAGTCCCAGCTACCCAGGAGGCTGAGGCAGAAGAATCACTGGAACCCGTGAGACAGAGGCTGCAGTGAGCTGAGATCACGCCACTGCACTCCAGCCTGGGTGACAGAGCAAGACTCTGTCTCAAAAAAACAAAACAAAACAAAACAAAAAACAGAGAACAGAGAAGTAGATTAACAACTTACTGACAATCTTTGGAAAGAGAAATTGATCGTTGCAGTTATTGTAAGTGTACTGTAAAGGAAGTGATTTTTATTTTAATGACTATATTCTAGGGTTTATATTGTCAGCATTTAAGCATTCATGTAAATAGTCTAAGATGAATAAACTTTAATTTTTTTTTTACTCTTAATTTAGAGAAAAATGTAACATGCATGCCCTGGGGATTTCTATTTAATTCTAGAACTCAGATTGTTTCCTTTAAACTGATATTATGCTTCTATAATTCAAATGGAACATTTAGAAATGCTAGCATAAGTAACTTTTAGTTTCAAACGTTGCTATCGTTTTCAAAAGTTATTTTGCAAATCCTCAGTTTCATATGTAACCTGAATTTAAAATGATCTCTCCTGAAATAAGAGCGCCGGGCCGGGCGCGGTGGCTCACGCCTGTAATCCCAGCACTTTGGGAGGCCGAGGTGGGCAGATCACGAAGTCAAGAGATCGAGACCATCCTGGCCAACATGGTGAAACCTGGTCTCTACTAAAAATACAAAATTAGCTGGCCGTGGTGGCACTTGCCTGTAGTCTCAGCTACTCAGAAGGCTGAGGCAGGAGAATTGCTTGAACCCGGGAGGCGGAGGTTGCAGTGAGCCGAGACTGCAGCACTGCACTCCAACCTGGTGACAGAGTGAGACTCGTCTCAAACAACAACAACAACAACAAAAAAAAAAAAAAAAAAAAAAAAACAATGGGTGCTTCAGGACTTCTTTCCCAACTCTATTACACAAATCTTATCTCTCGGTACAAAAGAAAGGCTAACTCACTCATTCCAGTTCAAAACCTTTGGGGAGAAAATAGATAGCTCTGGAGAGAAAAATATTGAAGGAGACAAACTAATTTCACCTAAGCATCAAACTTCTGCCTTTTATGTATGTGACTGCCTTCTATCATGCTTAGAATTTGAAAGAGTGATGGTTATAACAAATGTTTATCAACTCACTGCTTTGAATGCAAATGAGTTCAGACCTTTTGAAGACTGGCCAGTAAGTGGCACTTTTCCATAAATCAAGTGAGCAAAGCACCAAGGTTTTGATGAAGATATATTTAAAGCACTTATAACACAACATACAATATGCCAGAAATTATATCTTTGCAACTGTTAAACAGCACATTTAGTAAGCAATGTGTAAGGGGATATATATATATTCCAAAGTTCTTTTGGGACAAAACAGTTTAAGACCACAGACTTGGGAGTCACTTTAACACACATTTAGTTCTCTTGAATGTAAATCTGAGATGTTATGTTAAAAGACAATAGAATACTATGGCTAGGTGTGGTGACTCATACCTGTAATCTCAGCACTTTGGGAGGCCGAGGTGGGTGGATAGCCTGAGGTAAGGAGTTTGAGACCAGCCTGGCCAACATCGTGAAACCCCATCTTTACTAAAAATACAAAAAATTAGTTGGGCATAGTGGCCAGTGCCTGCAATCCCAGCTACTCGGGAACCTGAGGCAGGAGAATCACTTGAACCTGGGATGCAAAGGTTGCAGTGAGCCGAGATCACACCACTGCACTCCAGCTGGGCAACAGAGTCAGACTCCATCTCAAAAAAAAAAAAAAAAAAAAGAGTAGTATAAATTAGGACTTTATGTAATCCACTTTTTGATTCCTGAAAAATAAGTTGATTTTTAATCTTTAGTTATAAATGTCTCTCTAGATATTCAGGATACATTATAAATTTGGTTTTAAAATAGATTTAAATCTGCCGGGCGCGGTGGCTCACGCCTGTAATCCCAGCACTTTGGGAGGCTGAGGCAGGCAGATCACGAGGTCAGGCGATCGAGACCATCCTGGCTAACATGGTGAAACCCTGTCTCTACTAAAAATAAAAAACATCAGCCAGGTGTGATGGCACGCGCCTGTGGTCCCAGCTACTCGGGAGGGCGAGACAGGAGAATCGCTTGAACCCGGGAGGCAGAGGTTGCAGTGAGCGGAGATCAGGCCACTGCACTGCAGCTTGGGCGACAGAGCGAGACTTGGTCTCAAAAAATAATAATAATAATAAAATAGATTTAAATCTATAATAGTTTTTTTTTTTTTTTTTTTTTTTTTGAGACGGAGTCTTTCTTGCTTTGTCACCCAGGCTGGAGTGCAGTGGCCTGATCTCGGCTCACTGCAAGCTCCGCCTCCCGGGTTCACGCCATTCTCCTGCCTCAGCCCTCAGCCTCCCGAGTAGCTGGTACTACAGGCGCCCACCACCAACACCCGGCTAATTTTTTGTATTTTTAGTAGAGATGGGGTTTCACCGTGTTAGCCAGAATGGTCTGGATCTCCTCACCTCATGATCCACCCACCTGGGCCTCCCAAAGTGCTGGGATTACAGGCGTGAGCCACAGCGCCCAGCAACGGGTTTTAAAATTATTTCAATAAATCAGGCACTCTAGAACACAGTGAGGAGGCGCAACAATTACGTAATAATTTTTTTTGGGCGGGGGATGGAGTTTCACTCTTTTATTTTTTTTTGGAGACAAAGTCTCGCTCTGTTGCCCAGGCTGTAGTGCAGTGGCGCGATCTTGGCTCACTGCAAGCTCCGCCCTCCCGGGTTCACGCCATTCTCCTGCCTCAGCCTCCGGAGTAGCTGGGACTACAGGGGACCGCCACCACGCCTGGCTAATTTTTTGTATTTTTAGTAAAGACGAGGTTTCACCGTGTTAGCCAGGATAGTCTCAATCTCCTGACCTTGTGATCCACCTGCCTCGGCCTCCCAAAGTGCTGGGATTACAGCTGCCCGCCACCATACCCCGCTAATTTTTGTATTTTTAGTAGAGACAGGGTTTCACCATGTTGGCCAGGCTGGTCTCCAATTCCTGACCTCAGGTAATCTGCCCGTCTCGGTCTCTCAAAGTGCTGGAATTACAGGTGTGAGCCACTGTACCCAGCTACTGTCAGTTTCATATGCTTTTATTTTTTTTAATTTTTTTTGGTTTTTTTTTTTGAGACAGTGTCTCACTCTGTTGCTCAGGTTGAAGTATAACAGCATGATCTCGGCTCACTAAAACCTCCGCCTCCCGGGTTCAAGGGATTCTCCTGCTTCAGCCTCCCAAGTAGCCAGGATTACAGGCGCATGCCACCACACCCAGCTACTTTTTTGTATTTGTAGTAGAGACGGGGTTTTGCTATGTTGGCCAGACGGGTCTCAACTCCTGGCCTCAAGTGACTCGCCTGCCTCGGTCTCCCAAAGTGCTAGGATTACAGGTGTGAGCTACCGCGCCCGGCCCCAGATTGGGGAAACTTTGAAATGGCTTCTACACGGATCATAACTCTTGCAGGGGAAATGGAAGATGCTTATTCTCTCAAGGACTTTTGATTACCTCTGTTTGTCTGCTCCATCAATGAGTGAGTGGCAATGGGTGGAAAATTGTATTTCTAAGAACTTCATGGCGTAATCTTACTCATTCTGATGAATAATCAAAATAATCAGGGGAAGACAGAAAGGTGGAAGACAGGGAAATGAACTAGGAAGCTGTTACATTAAACTATAGGAAATGGCGACCTGATCTCAGGTGTAGTGGTTGTGAGAGTGGAGAGGAGGATAGGTTCAAGAGCTATTCATGTTGGTCAGATATGGGGCATGAAGGCAAATGAGAGAAGGATGGCTCCCAGCTTCTTGTTTGGCCAGTGATTTGAGCTGGTGATCGAATCATCACATAAATGGTAATGATGCCACTGAAACAGATGTGATCTGGGTGTAGAGTATTGATTTAGAAGGTCATGTGTGAGATGCATGTTTTTGTTTTTGTTTTGAGACGGAGTCTCACTCTGTCACCAGGCTGGGGTGCAATGGCACGATCTGGGCTCACTGCAATCTCCACCTCCTGGGTTCAAGTGATTCTCCTGCCTCAGCTTCCTGAGTAGCTGGGACTACAGACATGCGCCACCACGCCCGGCTAATTTTTGTATTTTTAGTAGAGACGGGGTTTCCCCATGTTGGCTAGGCTGGTCTCAAACTCCTGACCTCAGGTGATTTACCCACCTCAGCCTTCCTAAGTGCTGGGGGGAAAAAAAAAAAGGGCCGGACACGGTGACTCATGCCTGTAATCCCAGCACTTTGGGAAGCTGAGGTGGGCAGATCACGAGGTCAGGAGATCGAGACCATCCTGGCTAACACGGTGAAACCCCATCTCTACTAAAAATATAAAAAATAAGCCAGGTGTGGTGGCGGGCACCTGTAGTCCCAGCTACCTAGGAGGCTGAGGCAGGAGAATGGTGTGAAACCGGGAGGCAGAGCTTGCAGTGAGCCGAGATTGTGCCACTGCACTCCAGCCTGGGCAACAGAGACTCCGTCTCAAACAAACAAAAAAAAAAGGTTTCTGCTTTAGGCCAGGCACAGTGGTTCACGCCTGTAATCCCAGCACTTTGGGAGGCTGAGGCAGGTGGATCACCTGAGGTCAGGAGTTCAAGACCAGCCTAGCTAACATGGTGAAAACCCGTTTCTACTAAAAATACAAAAAATTAGCCTGGAATGGTGGCACACACCTGTAATCCCAGCTACTCGGGGGGCTGAGGCAGAGGTTGCAGTGAGCTGAGTTCGCACCGTTGTACTCCAGCTTAGGCAACAAGAGCGAAACTCCATCTCAAAAAAAAAAAGTTCCTCCTTTAATGCACCATATTTTTTTTTGTGGAGGGAGACTGAGAATAAGAGGAAACATAGCCTAGTGCTAAAGAGCACAGACTTGGGAGACATTCTGATTAGGTTTGAATTTCTGCTCCACCACATCCTGAGCAAGCTGCTTAGCCTTTCTGTTCCTCAATTTCCCCTACCCCTTTTTTTTTTTTTTTTGAGACGACGTCTCGTCCTCTCCCCCAGGCTGGAGTGCAGTGGCGTGATCTCAGCTCACTGCAACCTCCGCCTCCTGGGTTCAAGCGATTCTCCTGCCTCAGCCTCCCGAGTAGCTGGGATTACAGGCGCCTGCCACCACGCCCAGCTAATTTTTGTAGTTTTAGTAGAGACAGGGTTTTACCATGTTGGCCAGGCTGGTCTCAAACTCCTGACCTTATGATCTGCCCGCCTCAGCCTCCCAAAGTGCTGAGATTACAGGCGTGAGCCACCGCGCCCAGCCTCCCCTACTCTTAAAAAAAATAATAGTACTTTTTTTATACGGTTGTTGAAAGTATTAAATTCGTTAATCAACTAAAGTGCTTAATCTAATTCCTGCCTCATAGAAAGCACTATATGAGTGTTTACTCTTATTTAGATAATCTTTTAGATAGGCGCTAGGGAGAAAGATAAAGCAAGGTAAGGAGTGCGAAGTCAGAGGTTGACATTTGATCCAGGATGGCCCTGAAAAGCCTCCCTGATAATGTAAACATTTGATTTGAAGTGATACCTGAGTAAACAAACACTCCAGGCACACCTAACTCCTTTAGGGTTGAGAAACCCTAAAGAACACACTTGACATCCTCTAACAATAGTAAGAAGGCCATTGTAGTTGGAATAGTATGATCCAGGAGGGATAAATGTAGGAGATGAAGTCAGGGCAAATTATGTAGACCCTTTGTAGCACTTTAAAACGTTGGCTTTACATTCTATCCACTAGACCCCAGGCTTCAGGAGTAAGCATGCAAATTAGATCCCGCCAATCAAAGCTTACACAGTGATTAGCCTTGAGTGAACCAAGTACTTACTCAAAGCTAATTATATTCCCAGCATGTTCATTCTTGGAATTCTGTTGCCTGGAAAGAAGCTAGAATTGTTATAGGAGAGTGTGTAAAGTTGAAGTTACTAGCAATTCTTGCACCAGTGAATTGAGGGCATGTCTGAAAGCGGAACCAACACAGAAGAAAGTAGAACCAATATTATTTGGTTCTTGCATTCAACTGTGCCTAAAACCAGAACCCCACTTTAGATTTCTCAGTCACATGAGCCAAAAGCATTTTCTTTTTCCTTTTGAGACAAGGTCTCACTCTGTTGCCCAGGCTGGAATGCTGTGGCATGATCACAGCTTACTGCAGCCACAACTTCCTGAGCTCAAGCCACCCTCCCACCTCAACTTCCTGAGCTCAAGCCACCCTCCCACCTCAACTTCCTAAGCTTAAGCCACCCTCCCATCTCAGCCTCCTGAGCAGCTGGCACTGCAGGCATGCCACCATACCTGGCTAATTTTTTGATTTTTTTTTTTTTTTGTAGAAGCAGTATCTGACTGTGTTGCCCAGGCTGGTCTTGAACTCCTGGTCTCAAATGATTCTCCTGCTTTGGCCTCCTAAAGTGCTGGGATTACAGGTATGAGCCACTGTACCTGGCCTACATTTTCTTTTTATTCAAGTCAGGTCAAGTTATGTTTTTGGTCACTTGCCAACCTTTGTTAAGACAGAGGAGGCAGAAGAAATGGAGTCACTGAATCAAAATAGAAAGGAGTAATTGGCCTGCATGACAGGAAGAAAATCCAGAAAAAAGTCAAGGACAGAAAGCATTCAATAATGCATTTTCAATAATTTGAACACTGAATGAATGATGAAGGAATGTTAAAGTAAGGACACAAGAAGCTTATGGAAGTATTCAGCACAAAACAGATCAAAAATCGTATCTAGTGATATGTATACACAGTGGAATACTATTTTGCCTTAAAAAATGGAAATCCTGCACTTTGGGAGGCCAAGGCGGGTGGATCACCAGGTCAGGAGATCTAGACCATCCTGGCTAACACGATGAAACCCCATCTCTACTAAAAATACAAAAATTAGACAGGTATGGTGGCATAGACAGGCACCTGCAATCCCAGCTACTCGGGAAGCTGAGGTAGGAGAATGGCGTGAACCTGGGAGGCGGAGGTTGCAGTAAGCTGAGATCACCCCACTGCACTCCAGCCTGGGCGACAGACTGAGACTGTGCCTCAAAAAAAAAAAAAAAAGGAAATCCTGTCATTTGTGACAACGTGGATGAACCTGGAGGACATTGTGTGAAGTAAAATAAGCCAGGCAAAGAAACACAAATACTACATGATCTCACTTATATGTAGAATCTACAAAAGTACAACTCATAGAAATAGAGAATAGTGATGATCAAGCACTGAGGGTGAAGAAGGGGAGAATGGGGAGATGTTGGTCAAAGGATACATTTCATTTTTTTTTTTTTTTTGAGTTGGATTCTCACTCTGTTGCTCTGGAGTGCAGTGGCGTGATCTCAGCTCACTGCAACCTCTGCCACCTGGGTTCAAGTGATTCTCCTGCCTCAGCCTCCTGAGTAGCTGGGATTACATGCACCTGCCACCACACCTGGCTAATTTTTGTAGTTTTAGTAGAGATGGGGTTTTACCATCTTGGCCAGGCTGGTCTTGAACTCCTGACCTCGTGATCCACCCGCCTCGGCCTCATAAAGTGCTGGGATTACAGGCGTGAGCCACCGCGCCCAGCCAGGATACATTTCGGCTAGGAAGAATAAGTTTAAGTGATCTGTTGTATAACATGGCGACTATAGTTAATAAAAACATATACTTGAGAATTGCCAAGAGAATAGATTATAAATGTTCTCACCCCAAAGTAATAAAAGTATGTGAGGTAATGCATATGTTTATTAGCTTGATTTAGCCATTCCACCATGTATACGTATATCAAAACATACCCCATAAATACGTACAGTTTTTTTTTGTTTTTATTTTTGAGATGGAGTCTCACTCTGTCACCCAGGCTGGAGTGCAGTGGTATGATTTCGGCTCACCGCAACCTCCGTCTCCCAGGTTCAAGCGATTCTCCTGCTGCAGCCTCCCAAGTAGCTGGGACTACAGGCACGCGCCACCATGCCTGGCTAATTTTTGTATTTTTAGTAGAGACAGGGTTCACTTTGTTGGCCAGGCTGGTCTCAAACTCCTGACCTCGTGATCCGCCTGCCTCGGCCTCCCAAAGTGCTGGGATTATAAATGTGAGCCACTGCGCCTGGCCAATATATACAATTTTTATTTGCCAATTAAAAAAACAAAAAATTGGCTGGGCGCAGTGGCTCACACCTGTAATCCCAGCACTTTGGGAGGCTGAAGTGCGTGGATCACCTGAGGTCAAGGAGTTTGAGACCAGCCTGGCCAACACAGTGAAACCTCATCTCTACTAAAAATACAAGAGTTAGCCAGGCACAGTGGCGGGTGCCTGTAATCCCAGCTACTCGGGAGACTGAGGCAGGAGAATCGCTTGAACCCAGGAAGCGGAGGGTGCAGTGAGCCGAGATTGCACCACTGCACTCCAGCCTGGGAGACAAGAGTGAAACTCCATCTCAACAAAAAAAAAAAAAAAAAAAAAAAAAAAAAAAAGGCTAGGCGTGGTGGCTCATGCCTGTAATCCCAGCACTTTGGGAGGCTGAGGCAGGTGAATCACCTCAGGTCAGGAATTTGAGACATCCTGGCCAACATGGCGAAACCCCGTCTCTACTAAAAATACAAAAATTAGCCGGACGTGGTGTCAGGCGCTTGTAATCCCAGCTACTTGGGAGGGTGAGGCAGGAGAATCTCTTGAACCCAGGAGGCAGAGGGGGCTGGTTTCCAGAAAGACCCAGGAGTGGAATGGGAATGTTCAGCTTCACCTCCTGAACCCTGGGGAGGGGAAAGGGGCTGGATGTTGAGGTCAATCACCAAGGCCAATGTTTTAATCAATTTTGCCCATGTAATAAAACCTCCATTAAAACCCCTGAACAGGGGCCAGGCGCAGTGCCTGTAATCCCAGCACTTTGGGAGGGCGAGGCGGGCGGATCACCTGAGCCCAGGAGTTCGAGACCAGCCTGGCTAACATGACGAAACCCTGTTTCTACTAAAAATAAAAAAATAGCCCAGCATCGTGGTGCGTGCCTGTAGTCCCAGCTGCTTGGGAGACTGAGGCAGGAGAACCACTTGAACCCGGGAGGCGGAGGTTGCAGTGACCTGAAATCATGCCACTGCACTCCAGCCTGGGCAATAGAGTGAAACTCTGCCTCAAAAAGCAAACAAACAAAAACCCCTGAAAAGTCTGGGTACAGTAGCTCACACCTGTAATCCCAGCACTTGGGAGGCCGAGGCAGGCAGGTCACTTGACGCCAGGAGTTTGAGACCAGCCTGGCCAACATGGTGAAACCCCATCTGTACTAAAAATACAAAAATTAGCCAGGCATGTTGGCCCACGCCTGTAATCCCAGCTGCTCAGGGGACTGAGGCAGGAGAATTGCTTGAACCCAGGAGGTGGAAGTTGCAATCAGCCAAGATGGGGGGACCACTGCATTCTAGTCTGGGCAACAGAACAAGACTCCGTCTCAAAAACGAACAAACAAACCAACCCCTGAACAATAAGAATTGGAGAGCTTCTGGGTTGGTGAACACATCGAGGTACCAGGAGGGTAGTATGCCCAGAGAGAGCACGGATGCTCCTTCCCCATACCTTGCCCTATGCATCTCTTCATCTGGCTGTTCCTGAGTTGTATGCTGTATAATAAACGAGTACATGTCCCTTCTCTACAAAAAAATGTTTGTAATAAATTAGCCAGCCTACTGAGGGGGCTGAGGCAAGATCTCTTGAGCCCAGGCATTCAAGGTTACAGTGAGCTGTGATCATGCCACTGCACTCCGGCTTGGGAGACAGGGCAAGACTCTGTCTCAAACAACAACAACAACAACAACAACAACAACAACAAACCCACCAGTAAATGTAAAGTGTTTTTCTGAGTTTTATGAGCTGTTTTAGCAAATTATTGAACTTGACAAGTAGCACAATCACTGGATCAGGGTCACAGGAACCCCCAATTTATAGCCAGTTGACCTTAGAAGCACAAGTGGCAGCCTGGTACTTGAAAATACCATCTACAGTGAAAGTAGTCTTGTGGGACTGAGCCTTTAAGGCTTTGCAGTCTGACACGAACTCTGGGTCGTTAGTGGCAGAACTGAACTGAATTGTAGTGACACCCACTTGGTGTTTGGAGAGCTGGAGAACCGGTTGTCAGAAGTGTTGTGAGTAAAAACAGTTCAGAGTAGCCCTCTGTGTCTGGCTGCTTTCACATAGCATCATGTTTTAGGATTCATCTGTGTGGTTGCATTTATCAGCAGTTCATTGCTTTTTATTACTGAATTGTATTCCTTTGTATGGATGAATTGTAATTTGTATATCCAGTCACCTGTTGATGAACATTTGAGTTATCTCATCTTTTGTTTATCATGAATAAAGCTGCTATAAACATTCACATAGAGATCTTTTTATAGACATATGGTTTCATTTCTCTTGTGTAAATGGCTAGGATCGGGATTGCTGGTCATATGGCAAATGCATGTTTAACTTTATATGAAACTACCAAACTATTCTTTAAGTGGCTATAATTTTGTAATTCCATTAGCAATGTGTGAGAATTCTAGGTATTCTGCATCCTTGTCAGCAGTTTATATTGTCAGTCATTTTTTTTTTTTTTTTTTTTTTTAGATGGAGTTTCGCTGTTTGTTGCCCAGGCTGGAGTGCAATGGCGTGATCTCGGCTCACTGCAACCTCCACCTCCCGGGTTCATGTGATTCTCCTGCCTCAGCCTCCCAAGTAGCTGGGATTACAGGCGCGCACCACCATGCCCAGCTGATTTTTGTATTTTTAGTAGAGACGGGGTTTCACCATGTTGGTCAGGCTGGTCATGAACTCCGGACCTTGGGTGATCCACCCGCTCGGCCTCCCAAAGTCCTGGGATTACAGGCATGAGCCACTGTGCCCGGCCTGATATTGTCAGTCTTTTTAACTTTATCATTTTAGTCAGTTGGCAGTGTGGTTTTAATTTACATTTCCCTGATGACTAATGATGTTGATCATTTTTTCATGTACTTGTCATCTGTATAATTTTGTGAACTTTCGTTTTTCAAACCTGATATTTAACAAGGTCTTAAAGATATTAAGTACCTTGAGTTTTTGTCTTTCAAACTCTTTGAGTGACTTTTTCGGGCTTATCTGACAGTGAAATGAATAATATAGTTGAAAATCGTAGGTCAGGCGCAGTGGCTCACACCTGTAATCCCAGCAGTTTCGGAGGCCAAGGGAGCCCAGGAGTTTGAGACCAGCCTGGGCAATGTGGCAAAACCCCATCTCTACAAAAAATACAAAAATTAGTCGGGTGAGGTGGCACAGACCTATAGGCACAACTACATGGGAGGCTAAGGCAGGAGGATAGCTTGAGCCCAGGAGATCGAGGCTTCAGTGAGCCAAGATTGTGCCACTGCACTCCAGCCTGGGTGACAGAGCGAGACCCTGTCTCAAAAAAATAAAAAATAGGCCAGGTGCGGTGGCTCACACCTGTAATCCCAGGACTTGGGAGGTCGAGGCAGGTGGATTACCTGAGGTCAGGGGTTCAAGACCAGCCTGACCAACATGGAGAAACCCCGCCTCTACTAAAAATACAAAATTAGCCGGGCGTGGTGGTGCATGCCAGCTACTCGGGAGGCTAAGGCAGGAGAATCACTTGAACTCCGGAGGTGAAGGTTGTGGTGAGCTGAGATTGCACCATTGCACTCCAGCCTGGGCAGCAAGAGCGAAACTCCGTTTCAAAGAAAAAGAAAAAAAAAAAATCAAATCCTTAAATGCATGGCAGTGCATTTAAATAAGTGGTTATGAAGTCTAATTGCATGGAAAGATACTTTTTTTTTTCTTTTTTTGAGACAGAGTCTCGCCCTGTCATCCAGGCTGGGGTGCAGTGAGTGGTGCGATCTCAGCTCACTGCAACCTCCACCTCCTGGGTTCAAGCGATTCTCCTGCCTCAGCCTCTCAAGTAGCTGGGATTACAGGTGTGCACCACCATGCCCTGCTAATTTTTGTATTTTTAATAGAGACGGAGTTTTGCCATGTTGGCCAGGCTGGTCTCAAATGCCTGACCTCAGGTGATCTGCCGGCCTTGGCCTCCCAAAGTGTTGGGATTACAGGTGTGAGCCACCATGCCCAGCTGGAAAGATACTTGTAAGCATAAAACAATGTTAAATGAAAAAAGCAGAACATCTGCCAGGCACGGTGGCTCACGCCTGTAATCCCAGCACTTTGGGAGGCCGAGATGGGTGGATCATGATATTAGGAGATCGAGACCATCCTGGCTAACATGGTGAAACCCCGTCTCTACTAAAAATACAAAAAATTAGCTGGGCATGGTGGCACGTGCCTGTAATCCCAGCTACTCGAGAGGCTGAGGCAGGAGAATCGATTGAACCTGGGAGGCGGAGGTTGCAGTGAAGCGAGATCACACCACTGCTCTCCAGCCTGGGCGGCAGAGCGAGACTCCATCTGAAAAAAAAAAAAAAAAAAAGAAAAAAGAAAAAAAAATGCAGAACACAAACTACAAACTAGGTGAATTCTGTATATATAATATACTTTCAGAAATAAAGGGCGATGGAAATACACACAAAATTCTAAACATACTTGAGATGATTTTTTTCCATATTCTAGTTTTCCTTGATGTGAATATGATTGTTACCTTGTCACTAATAATAAAAGAAGAAAAGTGAATAGATGTGAAATAAAAGGGTTCTAGCTAGAGACACTTGACTCCTATAAAGACGTGAATGGTTATTACAAGCACATTACTTTTTCTGCTTCTCCAAGAGTTGCATTCTGGTGAAAGAGAGGTGAGTATAACACGGAACTCAAGAACACAATGGTCTTGCCTCACTATTTTGCTGGTGCTGGACCAAAGCTGTGAAGTGTAGCATCCACAGGCCACCTGTGCCGGCCACCAGTGCCTCCTTCTTGCAGGCAGTGCTCTTGGAGACAGCATTCCTGTGGTTCCCTTCTGATCACCATTCAGCTGCAAGTGAGTATTTACCTCAGGGAGCCAGAGTGTTCAGCTGTCAGCCACTCACAGTATTGTGGTTATTCTCAACCATTATCTTACTGAGCTAAACATCTGAAATACATTGATGTCACAAAAAAGATGCTGATGTTGGCCAAAAGAGAAAGCCTACCTTTCCACATAGTCATTCAGTGGATATTATGACAGCATGTGCCAGTGCTAAGCACTGTTCTAGGCATTGAGGATTCAGCAAGGAGCAAAACCCAGCTGTCTGTATTTCATAGATTTTACCTTCTAGTAAGGAAAGACACAACAGTAAATTATAAGGAAATAAGTTTTCTGATTGAAGCAATAGATATAGGATTAACCTTTTATTCATTCATTCATCCAAACTATTTTTTGGAACAAGTTCTATATGCCTCACTTCTGGATAGGAGAGAAGTAACAGTGAACAAACAAGTTCCTAACACCTGCAGCTTCTCAGGAGTTCGAGACCAGCCTGGCCAACATGGCGAAACCCTGTCTCTATTAAAAATACAAAAATTAGCCGGGCGTGGTGGTGGGTGCCTGTAATCCCAGCTACTCGGGAGGCTGAGGCAGGAAAATCGCATGAACCCGGAGGCAGAGGTTGCAGTGAGCCAAGATCGTGCCATTGCACTCCAGTCTGGGCGACAAGAGCAAGACTCCATCTCAAAAAAGAAAAAGAAAAGAAATGCCATATTAGGCCAGGCACAGTGGCTCATGCCTGTAATCCCAACACTTTGGGAGGCCGAGGCGGGTGCATCACCTGAGGTCAGGAGTTTGAAACCAGCCTGGCTAACATGGTGAAACCCTGTCTCCACTAAAAGTACAAAAATTAGCCTGGCGTGGTGGCACATGCCTGTAATCCTGGCTTCTTGGGAGGCTGAGGCAGGAGAATCACTTGAACCTGGGAGTTGCAGATTGCAGTGGGCCAAGATCATGTCACTGCACTGTCCGGTCTGGGCAACAGAGGGAGACTCCGTCTCAAAAATTAATAAATAAAGATAATAATATAGGTTCTTGTGGAAGACAGTAGTTATACAAAGTAGTTACACAATCCTTTGTCAAAAGCCTGCGTAGTAGAGCACATCTCCCCCATGATTATTTGCTTTGTTATTTCATATATAAACAAGCATTGGACCTAAGGTGGGCACCTTCCTCCTCTTGCTTCTGGGAACTCCCTGCTCTGCCCATTGAGTAGCCATTCTTTCATTCCTTTGCTTTCTTAATAAACTTGCTTTCACTATACTCTGTGGACTACCCCCAGATTCTTTTGTAGCAGGATGAGCCGCAGACAAAACTCCTCAGACACTGGGTTAAAGAAGGAAGGAGCTTTATTCAGCTGGGAACTTTGGCAGACTTGTGTCTCAAAAGCCGAGCTCCCCAAGTGAGGAATTCCTGTCCTTTTTAAGGGCTTACAACTTTAAGGGGGAAGGTCCATGTGAGAGGGTTGTGATTGATTGAGCAAGCAGTGGGTACGGGACTGGGGGTTGCATGCACCGATAATTAGAATGGAACAGAACAGGACAGGGATTTTCACAATGCTTTTCCATACAATGTCTGGAATCTATAGATAACATAACCGGTTAGGTCAGGGGTCGATCTTTAACCAGGCCCAGGGTGCGGCAACGGGCTGTCTGCCTGTGGATTTCGTTTCTGCCTTTTAGTTTTTACTTCTCCTTTCTTTGGAGGCAGAAATTGGGCATAAGACAATGTGAGGTGTGGTCTCCTCCCTTATTCCCCCGCTTTGAGAACCTCACTCATTAATGGGAGTTTTCACTTTCATCCTCACTACCCATGTCTTCTTGCAAGATAGATTAATAGTGATTCATATAGTACAATTGTGCTGAAGTATTTTGATGGACTAAGGTAGTGACAAAACTTTTCATTACTTGAAGGAGCAAAGGCAGCACACAGGGAAGCAACAAGCAGGTTCCTGTTACTATTATAATTCCTATATAGGAGTTTTAAATCCTCCTAGTGCTGGAAACCATTTTCCAAACATGGACCTAGGATTAAACCCATGCCACACCTGCACAGGCACATGTGCCAGCTTTGTTATATCTTTAACTATATCTTCAACTACTTGCCCTTGGTCATCTATGTGCAGACAGCAATTGGTCAGGTTAAACTTTCCACAGACCCCTCCTTCAGCTGCTAGCAAGTAGTCTAGGGCTAGTCTATTTTTATGAATAGCATTTCTCTTCTGGGTTTCTTGCCAGGCTAAAACAGTTGGAGCTCTGCCAGTTTTATTAGTGATTATTTGTAAGGCAGTTTGTAACTGTATGATTTGGTTGAGCATATAAATGGAGGTTTGGTATCCCCACAAGCCATCCTGTGCCCAAGTGGCAGGTCCATGATACTGTATGATTCTTTCAGGGGGCCACTTGTCATCTTTCCAGTTGCCTATAGCTATGCTTTTTTTTTTCTCGGGAAGCATAGACAGGGAAGCCCAGGAGCTCACCTGTTTTTATGGGCAGTAGGAAAAAGGATGGTTTAATGGTGTCAATAACACAACTACCTGCCCATTGGTCAGGTAACTTGGCATAGGCTCTATGCCCACATATCCGGTATAATCCAGTGGGGGCTGTCCAGTCCCGGTGGGATGCCAGGTGGGTCCACATGGTTTGCAACTTTGGAAATTTACTAAACAGATTTTTTTCAGTGTGGTTTGAACTCCACTAAGTGGCTGTTTTTGTAGTACTATTATACAGTTTTTGCCCAAGGCAGCTGAGTCTTCCCATAGGAAGGGTGAAGTCCGTCCTCACCCTTGCTATACAGTATTGTCTAATAATTGAGGTTTTTCAGAACCCAGAAGTTGCCAGTCTTTAACTTATTTTAAAAATGGTAGTCATAGGGAGCTCAGATGGATTATAGCACACATCAGGCTGGTCAGTTCCTGGGCTACATACCTTGTATAGCATTATATAAATCAGTTCCTTTTAGAGTCCCCGTACACTTATAATAACCATAAAATAATGGGACTATAGCAACCTTTTGTCCTACCTCAGTGACTTGATGTATATACTGGGAACAGTGCTCAGTCTGAGGAAGGCCAGTCGAAGTCCTTACTGTACAAGTCCAAATTTTAAGGAAAATGAGTCCTGCGATGAGTTTCCTCATGCTTCGGCCATGCGTGGACCAGTCAGCTTCTGGGTGTGACTGGAGCAGGGCTTGTGGTCTTCTTCAGAGTCACTTTGCGAGGGTTGGCGAAGCTGCTCCTGTCCACATACAGCTCCCAGTCTACTGATGTTCAAGGATGGTCTCGGAGGTTGGGCCTGCAGAAATAAACTGAGTCCAACACCTTTTACACAGTTATGTTCAACTGGGCTCTCTGATACCGGGAGCAAGGTGGCGGGGTTCAGGGTGTTGCAAACTTCAATGATTATGCGGGAATTTTCACAGAGCAAGCTTTGGTATCTAGTTAGTCTAGCATTCGTTAGCCAATGATGTCTTTTGGTATTTATTAAAGCATGGGGGAGACTTTATGTTTAGGTTTTGCCTAAGAGTTAGCTTATCCACTTCTTGTGCTAGCAGGGGTGTTGCTGCCAAGGCCCTCAAACATGGGGGCCAACTCTTAGAAACCCCTTCTAGTTGTTTAGAGATGTAGGCCACCGGTCTCGGCCAGGGCCCCACAGTCTGGGTCAAAACTCTAACCGCCATTTTTTTTCCTCTCTCTCTAATACATATTGTGTAAAAGGTTTTGTCAGGTCAGGTAGCCCCAGGGCTGGGGCCGACATGCGTTTTTCTTTTAACTCATGAAAATATCGTCGCTGTTGGTTATAATAGATGTAGTTTATCTAATCTACATTTTTATTAACTGTCACTCACCAAAATATTGACTCAAATCCTGCAGCTATTTGATTTTGGGCTTTAAATTGTTCTGGTATTCCCCATGGGACTCCAATTGAGTCTTAATAGATGTGAGAGTAGAAAGACCCATAAGGGGCTTCTCTCACTTTATGATGTCTTATTTTTCCTCCCTCTGGTTGATGAAATGCCAGGGTGAAAGGGATAGCCAACTGGACTAAAGCATAAGTGCCACTCCAGTTATTTGGCAGAGTGCCTAGTAAAGGTCCACCACAATACCACCACACATCCGCTTGGGGATGAACAAGGGCTGATTGATACATAAGCTCTTGAAAATTCTTAAGCTCACTGCATCCCTTCAGGTCTCCAAGGAACACTAAGTTTCCTCCCTGTCATGAGAGACATGAAGCGAACTTAGTTTTGGGAGAGGGAAGCTGGATGGCCCTTGGTGGCTGACCCACAGGGTGCCGGACTTCAGGATATAGCAGAGAGAGCTTGGCATGACTTATTACTCCAGGCTGTAGAATCCTGGAAAAGAGCTACCATGCAGCCCATGCCTGGTCTACTGGAGGACCACCTTAGTGGAAAGCGGACAATCAGGGCCTCTGGCCTGCCACATGCACAAGCATAACAATCACTTTTGTTTAATGTGTGGACAGAATATTTGATCCATTCCAACCAGGCATTTGCATCTTGATATCCTGTCTTAATTGCCAAAGTTCATTTTAAGTCTTTAACTTCTATGATCCTCTAGTAAAATGAATGTATGGTTTTAGGAAATTACAAAAACTGGTTGGGGCAGTCCATCCTTGCTGTTTAGTGGTCCACAGAACGTTGGACCAACTACGGCATAAAAGCTCTAAATTGGGGGGCAAGACTCCTGGTTGTCACTGGGGTCTTTATCGAAATCTCCCTGGATTAAATGGTCCCAATTTATTAATGCCCAGTCTGAGGAGAGTCAGGAGGGACAGAGGTACTTTTCTGAAGTAGAGAGCTGTCTTTGACTTGGCAAGTCCCCACAGGGTGTAACAAGGCAAGCATTAAATGCAATAGTTTGAGATGAAATTGACTTGGTTATGTTAATAACTAGATGGTCAGCAATAGAGAGAGGAAAGAAGAAAGAGTAATAGAATAGATGAAGAAGTTAAATTTTTCTTAGCTTTAGTTTGGTAGGGTTTTCCCCTGGGACTCTGGCCCATGACTCTGGAGGGGTGGCACTTTCTTGACTCAGGTGTGATGAGTCCATCCCCTTTCCGCTGTATGAACAGTAGTCTTGGTGGTTAACAGCACAAGATAGGGTCATTCCCAGGCTGACTCGAGTTTTCCTTCTTTCCACCCTTTGGTAAGAACATGATCTTCAGGCTGGTGCTGTTTTACTGGAAATTCTAGGGGTGGTACATGTGCTAAACCAAGTATATAATTTTTAAGAAATTGACCTTTTGTTTTAAATGTGGGGACATCAGCAGTGGACTTTATAGTCCTTGGTGCCTTTTTACTGAGAAATTTCCTTTAGCACCTATTTTTATTTGTTTTCACCTATTTTTATTTGTTTTTAGACCAAAGAAAGCTAAACACCATTTTATATTTGACAACGCTTCCTGTATGTTTATACCAGATAAGCTAAATGTCACCTTTATTTGAGTGTGTTATTAATGTTAAACTTTGTTTTCTTTGTAGACATATTTATTCAATTTTTAATGTCAGACCATAAGGTAAGATTTTTATAGACTCTTTTTAACCTTTTATAATTTTTGTTAAAGAGCAGGTTAGCACTTTAAGAAAAACCCGTTGTGTTTTTTTTTAATGTTCAGTTCACAGAAAAAAAATGATACCCCTTTAACTTTAGCCAATATGTTTACACACAGAATTTCCTTTACAATTAACATTTTAAAACTTGCTTAAACCTTCAAAGCAAATTTTTTTAAACCTTTTAATGTAGGTAAAAATCCACATCCTTATGCTTCCTTTTAATCCTTTTACCAGAGGTATAGTTTACTTTTCTTATACACCTTGCACATAAACTTTTTCTCCAATAGTTTTACATTCAGGAGGCCTAATTACTTTTAAATTGTACAACATTTCTTGCATAAATTCTTTTTTTATAACTTTTTTTCATGACTTTTGCAGACAATTCTTCGACATGCCTCAACTTTCTGACTTATTACAAACATTTCTTTCTTTAAACAACCAGTTAATTTATTTTAGGACAAGAATTTACCATATAACATTTTTTTTTTTAGATAAATTCTGCCCCTTCTTTTTTCCCCCCTTTTTTTTGAAGACGATAACCATTCTTTTCCAAAGCAAGCTTCCTTTATATCTGTGGACTAGACTGTCTAAGGACACAAGATTAGAAGTTAGTATAATACATGTTACACTGTTTACATTTAGCAAACTTTACTTTTGTTGAAAACCTTGTAAGTTTGGGATTTCAATTATTCTTTGCTATTAATAAGACCTTGTTTAGTCCAAATTAACTTATAATTGGTATAGATGGCTTTTTTCTTTTTTTTTCCTTCAATTACCTGGGAGGAACCATCTATTGTCCTATCCTACAGGGAGTTCCTACTAGGTCTGGTCAACCTTGGTATGGTAATTAAGATTTAGATCCCGTTAGGAAACCTGCTGGGTTAAGGGAATTTTCAGTGGTTAATGTCTCTGTCTCTTTCCTTTCTCTCTCTCTGCTGGTCTTTCCTTGCCTCTGCCAGCTGCTTATGCTGCTGTTCTCTCAACCACTGTGGGGGGCATCTAAAACCAGCTGTAACCAAGTGTCTATGTACAGGAACTGGTCTGGGTGCCCTGGCTTACCTTGTGCCATACCTTTGAAACAAAGGACCTGTCCAGGCTTCCTTCTGATGGCCAACCCACCTCTAATGCTGGCCAGTCTATTTCACACAAAGTTCTAAGTTTTCCTGGTGTCATAGTAACACTGTAATCTCCCTTAAATCCTTTCTTGAAATTGTTCAGCATAGTTCCTAGTGGGGTGGGCTTAGTTTGTGCCTGATCCATGCTTCCTCGAGACAAAACACCACACTCACACCACTCGCACCCCACAAAACAAAGAACAAGTAAAAAGGGCACACACACACTTTTACAGTTTACACCAAACCAGAATCAAAACCAAAATCAGAGTATCAGGAAATCCAAGCCAGGCCAAAACCAAAACCAAAGTATCAAGTAATCCAAGTCAAGTAAAAAACAAAAACCAAAGTGCTGGTAGAGGCACGCCATGGGTGATCAGGCCACGCTTCCACTCAAATGGAGTGCACAAGTTCCAAAGACCAGTCTTAGCAAGTTTCAGATGTCCAGACTCCAAGTGCCAGTTCCTTCCCGGTGTTCATCCACTGTGTTGATCCTCTGCAGGGGCCTGCCACACGCTGCTCTGGCGAGGCATCCCACTGGGGCAATTGCCTACCCGGGAGTGCTGTTTGGATCTGCGTCACTCAGGCTGGTCGGAGTACCCCGTAGGGATGCTCCACAAGACAGGCCTAAGTCACCTAAGGGGCTGCCTCGACCGTCTGCCAATCACCTTGCTTCCCCATCAGGGAACCAAGAAATGTAGCAGGACAAGCCACAGACAAAACTCCTCAGACACCAGGTTAAAGAAGGAAAGAGCTTTATTCAGCCAGGAACTTCAGCAGGCTTGCTTCTCAAAAGTTGAACTTCCTGAGAGAGCAATTCCTGTCCCTTCTAAGGGCTTACACATCTAAGGGGGTCTGCATGAGAGGGTTGTGATCAATCAAGCAAGCAGTGGGTACGTGACTGGGGGTGCAGCACCGATAATCAGAATGGAACAGGACAGGGATTTTCACAATGCTTTTCCATACAATGTCTGGAATCTGTAGATAAGATAACCGGTTAAGTCAGGGGTCGATCTTTAACTACCAGGCCTAGGGCACGGCACCGGGCTGTCTGCCTGTGGATTTCATTTCTGCCTTTTAGTTTTTACTTCTTTCTTTGGAGGCAGAAATTGGGCATAAAACAATATGAGGGATGGTCTCCTCCCTTACTGTCTTTCAGGAGATCCAAGAACTCTCTTGGGGTCTGGATTGGGACCTCTTTCAGTAACAGTATTCTAGGATTGATTCTGGAACTTAAAAAGGATGTTAGGGGAAAAGCTGATCCATGGTTTAGTGTCAGGCCTCTGAGCCCAAGCCATCATATCCCCTGTGACCTGCATGTATGCATCCAGGTGGCCTGAAGTAACTGAAGAATCACAAAAGAAGTGAAAATGGCCTGTTCCTGCCTTAACTGATGACATTACCTTGTGAAATTCCTTCTCCTAGCTCATCCTGGCTCAAAAGCTCCCCCACTGAGCACCTTGTGACCCCCGCCCCTGCCTACCAGAGAACAACCTCCTTTGACTGTAATTTCCCACTACCTACCCAAATCCTATAAAACGGCCCCACCCCTATCTCCCTTTGCTGACTCTCCTTTCGGACTCAGCCCACCTGCACCCAGGTGAAATAAGCAGCCTTGTTGCTCACACAAAACCTGTTTGGTGGTCTCTTCACAGCAACGCGAATGAAATTTGGTGCCATCACTCGGATCAGGGGACCTCCCTTGGGAGATCAATCCCCTGTCCTCCTGCTCTTTGCTCCATGAGAAAGATCCACCTACGATCTCTGCTCCTCAGACCAACCAGCCCAAGGAACATCTCACCAATTTTAAATCGGGTAAGCGGCCCCTCTTTACTCTCTTCTCCAACCTCTCTCACTATCCCTCAACCTCTTTCTCCTTTCAATCTTGGTGCCATCTTTCAATCTCTCCCTTCTCTTAATTTCAGTTCCTTTCCTTTTCTGGTAGAGACAAAGGAGACATGTTTTATCCATGGACCCAAAACTCCGGTGCCAGTCACGGACTCAGGAAGACAGTCTTCCTTTGATGTTTAATCACGTGGGGATACCTGCCTGATTATTCACCCACATTTCATCAGTGTCTGATCACCGCAGGGACGCCTGCCTTGGTCATTCACCCACATTCCCTTGCTGGCAAGTCAATTGCAGGGATGCCTGCTTTGGCTGCTCACCCACATTGCAGCCCAGGGCTGCTCACCCAACCCCTTCCCGCCATGTCTCTACCCTCTCTTCTCTCCACTTTCCTGGGGGGCAAGCACCCCCCCACCCCTTCTCTCCATGTCTCTACCCTGTCTTTTCTCTGGACTTGCCTCCTTCACTATAGGCAACCTTCCACCCTCCATTCCTCCTTCTTCTCCCTTAGCCTGTGTTCTCAAGAACTTAAAACCTCTTCAACTCACACCTGACCTAAAACCTAAATGCATTATTTTCTTCTGCCATGCCACTTGACCCCAGTACAAACTCCACAGTGGTTCCAAATAGCCAGCAAATGGCACTTTTGATTTTTCCATCCTACAAGATCTAAATAATTCTTGTTGTAAAATGGGCAAATGGTCTGAGGTGCCTGACGTCCAGGCATTCTTTTACATATCGGTCCCTCCCTAGTCTCTGTTCTCAATGCAACTTGTCCCAAATCTTGCTTCTTTCCCTCCCGCCTTGTCCCCTCAGTCCCAACCCCAAGCATCGCTGAGTCTTTCCAATCTTCCTTTTCTACAGACCCATCTGACCTCTCCCCTCCTCCCCAGGCTGCTCCTCACCAGGCCGAGCTAGGTCCCAATTTTTCCTCAGCCTCCGGTCCCCCACCCTATAATCCTTTTATCACCTCCCCTCCTTACACCTGGTCTGGCTTACAGTTTCCAGTTTCGTTCTGTGACTAGCCCTCCCCAACCTGCCCAGCAATTTCCTCTTAAAAAGGTGGCTGTAGCTAAAGGCATAGTGAAGGTTAATCCTCCTTTTTCTTTATCCGATCTCTCCCAAATCAGTTAATGTTTAGGCTCTTTTTCATCAAATATAAAAACCCAGCCTAGTTCGTGGCCCGTTTGGCAGCAACCCTGAGATGCTTTACAGCCCTAGACCCTGAAAAGTCAGAAGGCCATCTTATTCTCAATATGCATTTTATTTTATCACCCAATCTGCTCCCGACATTAAATAAAGCTCCAAAAATTAAATTCTGGCCCTCAAGCCCCACAACAGGACTTAGTTAACCTTGCCTTCAAGGTGTACAATAATAGAGTAGAGGCAGCCAAGTAGCAATGTATTTCTGAGTTGCAATTCTTTGCCTCCACTGTGAGACAAACCCCAGCCACATCTCCAGCACACAAGAAATCCAAACACCTGGATGAGGTTCTGGATGAACCGCAGCTGCCAGGGGTTCATCCAGAACCTCCTTCCCCAGGAGCTTGCTATGAGTGCTAGAAATCTGGCCACTGGGCCAAGGAATTCCTGCAGCCTGGGATTCCTCCTAAGCCATGTCCCATCTGTGCAGGATCCCACTGAAAATTGGACTGTTCAATTTACCTGGCAGCCACTCTCAGAGCCCCTGGAACTCTGGCTCAAGGCTCTCTTACTCCTTCCCAGATCTTCTCAGCTTAGCGGCTGAAGACTGATGCTGCCAGATGACTTTGGAAGCCCCCTGGACCATCACAGATGCCCAGCTTTGGATAACTCTTACAGTGGAGGGTAAGTCCGTCCTCTTCTTAATCAATACAGAGGCTACCCAACTCCACATTACCTTCTTTCAAGGGCCTGTTTCCCTTGACTCCATAACTGTTGTGGGTATTGATGGCCAGGTTTCTTTTTTTTTTTTTTTTTTTTTTTTGAGATGGAGTCTGGCTCTGTCGCCCAGGCTGGAATGCAGTGGTGCAATCTCGGCTCGCTGCAAGCTCCACCTCCGGGGTTCACGCCATTCTCCTGCCTCAGCCTCCCGAGTAGCTGGGACTACAGGCCCCCGCCACTACGCCCAGCTAATTTTTTATATTTTTAGTAGAGACGGGGTTTCACCGTGTTAGCCAGGATGGTCTCAATCTCCTGACCTCGTGATCCACCCGCCTCGGCCTCCCAAAGTGCTGGGATTACAGGCATGAGCCACCGTGCCCGGCCGATGGCCAGGTTTCTAAACCTCTTAAAACTCCCCAACTCTGGTGCCAACTTGGACAATATTCTTTTATGCACTCCTTTTTAGTTATCCTCACCTGCCCAGCTCCCTTATTAGGTCGAGACATTTTAACTAAATTATCTGCTTCCCTGACTATTCCTAGGCCACAGCCACACCTCATTGCTGCCCTTTTCCCCAGTTCAAAGCCTCCTTCACATCCTCCCCTTGTATCTCCCCACCTCAATCCACAGGTATGGGACACCTCTACTCCCTCCTTGGCAACTGATCATGCACCCCTTACCATCCCATTGAAACCTAATCACCCTTACCCCACTCAATGCCAATATCCCATCCCACAGCACGTGTTAAAAGGATTAAAGCCTGTTATCACTCACCTGTTACAGCACGGCCTTTTAAAGCCTGTAAACTCTCCTTACAATTTCCCCATTTTACCTGTCCTAAAACTGGACAAGCCTTACAGTTTAGTTCAGGATCTGAGTCTTATCAACCAAAACCAAATTGTTTTGCCTATCCACCCCGTGGTGCCAAACCCATATACTCTCCTATCCTCAATACCTCCCTCTACAACCCATTATTCTGTTCTAGATAAACCTAGCTGACCCCATAGATCCTATATCCTTTCCCTACTTTCCTTTCCATTCCTTAAAAAACAGCTCCCACACTAGCTCTCCCTAACTCATCACTCCCTTTTCATTACACACAACCGAAGTGCAGGGCTGTGTGGTTGAAATTCTTACACAAGAGCCAGACCGTGCCCTGTAGCCTTTCTGTCCAGACAACTTGACCTTACTGTTTTAGGCTGGCCATCGTGTCTGCATGCAGCGGCTGCCACTGCTTTAATACTTTTAGAGGCCCTAAAAATCACAAACTATGCTCAATTCACTCTCTACAGTTCTCATAACTTCCAAAATCGATTTTCTTCCTCACACCTGATGCATATACTTTCTGCCCCCACCCCACTACCTCTCAGCAAGCCAAACTCATTACCTTAACTCGAGCCCTCACTCTTGCAAAAGGACTACGCGTCAATATTTATACTGACTCTAAATATGCCTTCCATATACTGCACCACCATGCTGTTATATGGGTTGAAAGAAATTTCCTCACTACACAAGGGTCCTCCATCATTAATGCCTCTTTAATAAAAACTCTTCTCAAAGCTGCTCTACTTCCAAAGGAAGCTGGAGTCATTCACTGCAAGGGCCATCAAAAGGCATCAGATCCCCTCACTGAGGACAATTCTTATGCTGATAAGGTAGCTAAAAAAACAGCTAGTGTTCCAACTTCTATCCCTCAGGGCAGTTTTTCTCCTTCTCATCTGGCCACTCCCACCTACTCCCCCACTAAAACTTCCACCTGTCAATCTCTTCCCACACAAGGCAAATGGTTCTCAGACCAAGGGAAATATCTCCTTCCAGCCTCACAGGCCCATTCTATTCTGTCATCATTTCATAACCTCTTCCATGTAGGTTACAAGCCACTAGCCCACCCCTTAGAACCTCTCATTTCCTTTCCATTGTGGAAATCTATCTTCAAGGAAATCACTTCTCAGTGTTCCAGCTGCTATTCTACTACTCCTCAGGGATTGTTCAGGCCCCCTCCCTTCCCTACACATGAAGCTCGGGCCCCCGTCCAGAACTGGCAAATTGACTTTACTCATATGCCCCGAGTCAGGAAACTAAAATACCTCTTGGTCTGGGTAGACACTTTCACTGGATGGGTGGAGGCCTTTCCCACAGGGTATGAGAAAGCCACTGTGGTCATTTCTTCCCTTCTGTCAGACATAATTCCTCGTTTGGCTTTTCCACCTCTATACAGTCCGATAACGGACAGGCCTTTATTAGTCAAATCACCCAAGCAGTTTCTCAGGCTCTTGGTGTTCAGTGAACTAACGGTCTTTTTAAAACACACTTCACCAAGCTCAGCCACCAACTTAAAAAGGACTGGATACTTTTACCACTTTCCCTTCTCAGAATTCGGGCTTGTCCTCAAAATGTTACAGGGTACAGCCCATTTGAGCTCCTGTATAGATGCTCCTTTTATTAGGCCCCAGTCTCATTCCAGACATCAGACCAACTTGGACTGCACCCCAAAAACTTGTCATCCCTACTGTCTTCTGTCTAGTCATACTCCTATTCACCATTATCAACTACTCATAAATGCCCTGCTCTTCTTTACACTGCCGGTTTACACTGTTTCTCCAAGCCATCACAGCTGATATCTCCTGGTGCTATCCCCAAACCGCCACTCTTAACTCTTAAAGTAAATAAATAATCTTTGCTGGCAGGGCTATGCTGAACCCCCTTGAGCACTCTCTAATTGGATGTCCTAGGTCCTCCCAATTCTTAGTCATTTAATACCTGTTTTTCTCCTTCTCTTATTTGGACCTTGTGTCTTCTGTTTAGTTTCTCAATTCATAACAAAACTGTATCCAGGCCATCACCAATCATTCTATATGACAACTGTTTCTTCTCACAACCCCACAATATCACCCCTTACCACAAAATCTTCCTTCAGCTTAATCTCTCCCACTCTAGGTTCCCATGCCACCCCTAATCCCGCTAGAAGCAACCCTGAGAAACATCATCCATTATCTTTCCATACCACCCCCCGAAAAATTTTTACCATCCCAACACTTTACCACTATTTTGTTTTATTTTTCTTATTAATATAAGAAGACAGGAATATCAGGTCTCTGAGCCCAAGCTAAGCCATCATATCCCCTGTGACCTGCATGTATGCATCCAGATGGCCTGAAGTAACTGAAGAATCACAAAAGAAGTGAAAATGGCGCGTGCCTGCCTTAACTGATGACATTACCTTGTGAAATTCCTTCTCCTGGCTCATCCTGGCTCAAAAGCTCCCCCACTGAGCACCTTGTGACCCCCACTCCTGCCTAACAGAGAACAATCCCCTTTGACTGTAATTTCCCACTACCTACCCAAATCCTATAAAACGGCCCCACCCCTATCTCCATTCACTGACTCTTTTTGGACTCAGCCCACCTGCACCCAGGTGAAATAAACAGCCTTGTTGCTCACACAGAACCTGTTTGGTGGTCTCTTCACACGGCGAGTGAAATTTAGTATTGTACCAATGGTAAATTGACAAATGTACCACGTTTATATAAGATTAACAGCAGAGGAGGCCGGGGGCGGTGGCTCATGCCTGTAATCCCAGCACTTTGGGAGGCCGAGATGGGCGGATCACGAGGTCAGGAGATCAAGACCATCCTGGCTAACACAGTGAAACCCTGTCTCTACTAAAAATACGAAAAAAAATTAGCTGGGCGTGGTGGTGGGCACCTGTAGTCCCAGCTACTCGGGAGGCTGAGGCAGGAGAATGGTGTGAACCCGGGAGGCGGAGCTTGCGGTGAGCCGAGATCGCAGCACTGCACTGCAGCCTGGGCGACTGAGTGAGACTCCGTCTCAAAAAAAAAAAAAAAAAAAAAAAAAAGATTAACTGCAGAGGAAGCTGGGTGAAAAGTATACAGGAACTCTCTATACTATCAAACTTTTTTTTAAAATCTGAAATTCCAAGATAAAAAGTAAGAAAATACCCATAACCCTGACTCCTTAGCTGAGCCGTCATCCTGCCAGGGCATCTTCCCCACTGTCAGAAAAGACAGTGCCAGACAGTGTCTTGTAAAGCAATTGCATTACAGCTTAGTGGCTACAGCTGAAGGCTGTACTGGATGGAAGTTCAGGAAACAGAAGAGGCTGAGTCCTGGGTGATCCTGAGGGTAAATAATGGCCAAACCTATCACTGGCTCCCGCAGTTCTGCAGTTTTGTCCCTCGGCTTTGAAATTCACAATGTGATTTTTCTCACTTGTGTATTTCCTTCCTTAATATGCTTTGCTGTCTCAAGAATTAAAAGAGCTTGCATTTTACTCACTTGCTCACTCCAGCTGGGTCCCAGGAGGAAGTGGCCATAAGTCATGAAGAAGTTAGGATTACGTCACATGATAAGCACAAGATAAGCACAACAGGGGAAGACTTGGATGTGCAGGGGGTGGTTTTCCAAGCCAGAAGCTTTATCCAGCTCCTACACTCCTTCCACCCACACAAAAGAGTCATTGTTTTTATTTATATCCACTTCCCCAAGGTTTGTGTGGATTAGATGATAAATTGTATGTAAAAGGGCTTCATACACTGTAAATATGACCAGCATTCATTCATATTCTGGTGCACTGACTATATGTATATACATCATTTTTTGTGTTTTTTTTTTTGAGATGGAGTCTCGCTCTGTCACCCAGGCTGGAGTGTAGTGGCACAATCTCGGCTCACTGCAACCTCCGCCTCCCGGGTTCAAGCAATTCTGCCTCAGCCTCCCGAGTAGCTGGGATTACAAGCATGTGCCACCACGCCTGGTTAATTTTTTTGTACTTTTAGTAGAGACAGGGTTTCACCATGTTGGCCATGCTGGTCTTGTGCTCCTGACCTTGTGATCCACCCGCCTCGACCTCCCAAAGTGCTGGGATTACAGGCGTGAGCCACCGCGCCCGGCCCGACTATATGTATATACATAATATGAGAAAGTTCAGCCGGGCACGGTGACTCATGCTTATAATCCTAGCACTTTGGGAGGCTGAGGCAGGTGGATTGCCTGAGCTCAGGAGTTCGAGACCAGCCTGGGCAACATGGTGAAACCCCATCTTTACTAAAATGCAAAAAAAATAAAAAATAAAAAAATAAAATTAGCTGGGCATGGTGGCGTGCTCCTGTAATCTCAGCTACTCGAGAGGCTGAGACAGGGGAATCGCTTGAACTTGGGAGGCAGAGGTTGTATTGAGCCAAGATTGCACCACTGCACTCCAGCCTGAGCGATAGAGCCGAGACTCCAACTCAAAAAAAAAAAAAAAAAAGATGAAGTTTGCCCTAGGGCGTTTTTCTCTTGCTGTTTTTTATTCTCTGTGCCCTCCTATCCCTCATGCTTTTGTTTGTTTTAAATGAGAAGGGCCTGAGTGCCTTTCTATCTGATTGTAATTCTGAATGCGATTCACACTGGAAGCTATGGAGACATTTGGTAACAACTGTAGACCCAGCCCTAGAAGGTGAATTTTAAGCATTGTCCAGCTTCTCAAATGCTAACGAGGAGCACAGCTGGGAAGACCTGGGCTTGCAGGGGGTAGATTTCTGAGCCAGGAGCTTCAGGGGGTTCCTGCACTCCCTCCACCCCCACACCGGCCCCACCCCATTCCTCCTGCATAGTTCTCAAGTACCAATCCCTGTAGGTCGCCCTGCTTCAGTGTCTCCCCATCAACACCCCCACCTTGCCTTTTTCCTTGCTATAGCTGTGGGTCAGGCCCTCACAGGGCCTCATCAGAATTCCTGAAATCTCCTTCGAAAAGCCTCCCAGCCTCACTTCTCATTTGCCACTTCCAAACCATCAATGCTACTATCACAGTATTGTAGGGAAAAGAAAGAAAGATCAGACTGTCACTGTGTCTATGTAGAAAGGAAAGACATAAGAGACTCCATTTTGAAAAAGACCTGTACTTTAAACAATTGCTTTGCTGAGATGTTGTTAATTTGTAGCTTTGCCCCTGCCACTTTGACCCAACCACTTTGACCGAACTTGGAGCTCACAAAAACATGTGTTGTATAAAATCAAGGTTTAAGGGATCTAGGGCTGTGCAGGACATGCCTTGTTAACAAAATGTTTACAAGCAATATACTTGATAAAGGTCATTGCCATTCTCTAGTCTCAATAAACCAGGGGCACAATGCACTGTGGAAAGCCGCAGGGACCTCTGCCCTTGAAAGCGGGGTATTGTCCAAGGTTTCTCCCCATGTGATAGTCTGAAATATGGCCTCGTGGGATGAGAAAGACCTGACTGTCCCCCAGCCTGACACCCATAAAGGGTCTGTGCTGAGGTGGATTAGTAAAAGAGGAAAGCCTCTTGCAGCTGAGATAGAGGAAGGCCACTGTCTCCTGCCTGCCCCTGGGAACTAAATGTCTTGGTGTAAAACCCGATTGTACATTTGTTCAATTCTGAGATAGGAGAAAAACCGCCCTATGGCGGGAGGTGAGACATGTTTGCAGTAATGCTGCCTTGTTATTCTTTACTCCACTGAGATGTTTGGGTGGAGAGAAACATAAATCTGGCCTACGTGCACGTCCAGGCATAGTACCTTCCCTTGAACTTAATTATGATATAGATTCTTTTGCTCACATGTTTTTTGTTGACCTTCTCCTTATTATCACCCTGCTCTCCTACTACATTCCTTTTTGCTAAAATAATGAAAATAATAATAAAAACTGAGGGAACTCAGAGGCCGGTGCCGATGCAGGTCCTTGGTGTGCTGAACGCCAGTCCCCTGGGCCCACTATTGTTTCTCTATACTTTGTCTCTGTGTCTTATTTCTTTTCTCAGTCTCTCATCCCACCCGACTAAAAATACCCACAGGTGTGGAGGGGCAGGCCACCCCTTCAAGTATAATCATCAAAAGGTTAAAAATGAGCCTCACTTGGCTGGGCGAGGTGGCTCATGCCTGTAATCCCAGCACTTTGGGAGGCCAAGGCGGGTGGATCACCTGAGATCAGGAGTTTGAGACCACCCTGGCCAACATGGTTAAACCTTGTCTCTACTAAAAATACAAAAAATTAGCCCGGGCACGGTGGCTCACACCTGTAATCTCAGCACTTTGGGAGGCTGAGGCAGGCGGATCACCTGAGTTCAGGAGTTCCGAGACCAGCCTGACCAACATGGAGAGACCCCGTCTCTACTAAAAATACAAAATTAGTTGGGCGTAGTGGCACATGCCTGTAATCCCAGCTTCTCGCGAGGCTGAGGGAGGAGAATCACTGCTGTGAGCTGAAATTGCGCCATTGTACTCCAGCCTGGGCAACAGGACCGAAACTCCGCCTAAAAAAGAAAAAGAAAAAGAAAAAAAAATTAGCCAGGCGTGGTGGCACGTGCCTGTAGTCTCAGCTACTAGGGAGGCTGAGGCAGGAGAATTGCTTGAACCCGGGAGGTGGAGGTTGCAGTGAGCCGAGATCACGCCATTGATTGCACTCCAACCTGGGCAACAAAGAGTGAGACTCTGTCTCAAACAACAGTTTATATTACCGTTTTTTTTTTTTGAGATGGATTCTCACTCTGTTGCCCAGGCTGAAGTACAGTGGCTCAATCTCGGCTCACTGCAAACTCTGCCTCCCGGGTTCACGCCATTCTCCTGACTCAGCCTCCCAAGTAGCTGGGACTACAAGCACCTGCCACCACAAGCGGCTAATTTTTTTGTATTTTTAGTGGAGATGGGGTTTCACCGTGTTAGCCAGGATGGTCTCGATCTCCTGACCTCGTGATCTGCCCACCTCGGCCTTCCAAAGTGTTAGGATTACAGGCGTGAGCCACCGCGCCTGGCCTATAATACCATATTTTGACTGTACTTTTCCTATGTTTAGGTATGTTTGGATACACACATATTTATCATTGTGTTAGAGTTACCTACAGTATTCAACATAGTAACATACTGTACATGTTTGTAGCCTAGGTGCAATAAGCCATACCATATAGCCTAGATGTATAGTGGGCTATGCTGTCTAGATTTGTGTTAAATACACTGTGATGTTTGCACGATGACAAAATCGCCTAATGAAGCATTTCTCAGAAGTCTACGCATGCCACAGCACCATACTTTGGTGTATTATGTTGTGAGCCCCGACACCTCCCATCAACCTTAAGGCCTGACTGCAATTGAATTCCTCAATAATGATTAAGCTCTGCAGCTGCAAAAGTGAAGGTGAGGAGGGGAGAAGGGAAAGGCTACTGACAATTTCTCTGCACCCTGGACTTTTCTCCTCTCCCGAGAAGGAAGCCATGGGGAAGCCCATCATGCGCAATGGAGAGAGACTCCCCAGGCACCTGGTTACTTTCACTTGCGTCCACCAAACAGGCTTTGTGTGAGCAACAAGGCTGTTTATTTCACCTGGGTGCAGGCGGGCTGAGTCCAAAAAGAGAGTCAGCGAAGGGAGATAGGGGTGGGGCTATTTTATAGAATTTGGGTAGGTAAAGGAAAATTACAGTCAAAGGGGGTTGTTCTCTGGTGTGCAGGAGTGGGGGGTCACAAGGTAATGTCATCAGTTAAGGCAGGGACTGGCCATTTTCACTTCTTTTGTGGTGGAATGTCATCAGTTAAGGCAGGAACCGGCCATCTGGATGTGTACGTGCAGGTCATAGGGGATATGATGGCTTAGCCTGGGCTCAGAGGCCTGACATTCCTGTCTTCTTATATTAATAAGAAAAATAACATAAAATAGTGTTGAAGTGTTGGGGCAGCAAAAATTTTGGTGGGCGTGGTATGGAGAGATAATCGTCGATGTTTCTCAGGGCTGCTTTGAGCGGGAGTGGGGGTGGCGTGGGAACCTAGAGTGGGAGAGATTAAGCTGAAGGAAGATTTTGTGGTAAGGGGTGATATTGTGGGGTTGTGAGAAGAAACATTGTCATATAGAATGATTGGTGATGGCCTGGATGTGGTTTTGTATGAATTGAAAAACTAAATGGAAGACACAAGGTCCGAATAAGAGAAGGAGAAAAACCGGTATTAAAGGGCTAAGAATTGGGAGGACCCAGGACATCCAATTAGAGAGTGCCCAAGGAGGTTTAGCATAGCCCTGCCAGCAAAGATTATTTATTTACTTTAAGTGGGAGTGGCCTGTAATCCCAGCACTTTGGGAGGCTGAGGCAGGCGGATCACGAGGTCAGGAGATCGAGACCATCCTGGCTAATGCAGTGAAACCCCATCTCTACTAAAAATACAAAAAATTAGCCGGGCGTGGTGGCATGTGCCTGTAGTCCCAGCTACTCGGGAGGCTGAGGCAGGAGAATGGCATGAACCCGGGAGGCAGAGCTTGCAGTGAGCTGAGATCGCGCCACTGCACTCCAGCCTGGGTGACAGAGCGAGACTCTATCTCAAAAAAAAAAAAAAGAGTGGCGCTTTGGGGATAGCACCAGGAGATATCAGCTGTGATGGCTTGGAGAAACAGTGTAAACAGGCACTGTAAACAAGAGCAGGGCATTTATGAGTAGTTGATAATGGTGAATAGGAGTATGACTAGACAGAAGACAGTAGGGATGACAAGTTTTTTGGGGCGCAGTTCAAGTTGGTCTGGTGTCTGGAATGAGACTGGGGCCTAATAAAACGAGAGTCTATTACAGAAGCTCAAATGGGCTGTAACTTGTAGCATTCCGAGGACAGGCCCGAATTCTGAGAAGGGAAAGTGGTAAAAGTATTGTCAAGTCCTTTTTAAGTTTGTAGCTGAGCTTTGTGAGATGTGTTTTAAAAAGACCATCAGTTCACTGAATACCAAGAGCCTGAGAAACTGCTTGGGTGATTTGACTAATAAAGGCCTGTCCATTATCAGACTGTATAGAGGTGGGAAGGCTAAACCGAGGAATTATGTCTGACAGAAGAGAAGAAATGACTGTGGTGACCTTCTCAGACCCTGTGGGAAAGGCCTCTACCCATCCAGTGAAAGTGTCTACCCAGACCAAGAGGTATTTTAGTTTCCTGACTCGGAGCATGTGAGTAAAGTCAATTTGCCAGTCCTGGGAGAGGGCAAATCCCCAAGCTTGATGTGTAGGGAAGCGGGGGGCAGGGGCGGGGGTCCTGAATAATCCCTGAGGAGTAGTAGAATAGCAGCTGGAACACTGAGAAGTGATTTCCTTGAGGATAGATTTCCATGATGGAAAGGAAATGAGAGGTTCTGAGAGGCGGGCTAGCGGCTTGTACTACAGCATAGCCTGCCTTTGCTGGTGAGTGGCGATTAGGCCTGGTGGAACTGCCATCAATAAACCAAGCGTGATCAGGGTGAGGAACAGGAAAGAAGGAAATATGGGGAAATGGGGTGAATGTCAGGTGGATCAGAGTGATACAGTCATGGGGGTCAGGCGTAATATCAGGAATAATGTGGGAAGCCAGATTAAGTCCGGGCCAGGAACAATGGTAATTGTGGGAGACTCAACAAAGAGTGAGTACAGCTGAAGAAGCCAGGGAGCAGAAAGTATACCCATCAGGTGTGAGGAAGAAAATAGATTTTGGAAGTTATGAGAACTGTAGAGAGTGAATTGAGCATAGTATGTGATTTTTACGGCCTCTAAAAGTATTAAAGCAGTGGCAGCCGCTGCACGCAGACATGAGGGCTAGGGTAAAACAGTAAGGTCAAGTTGTTTGGACAGAAAGCTACAGGGCACGGTCCCGGCTCTTGTGTAAGAATTCTGACTGCACTAACCATGCCTAGCAAGGAAAGGAGTTGTTTTGTAGAAGGGATTGAGATTTGGGAGATTAGTCGGACACGATCAGCAGGGAGAACACATGTGTTTTTGTGAGAATTATGCCGAGATAGGTAACAGATGGGGAAGAAATTTGGGCTTGACTGAAGTAATGGGGGGGGGGTGCTCTCTGTGAAGCCTTGAGGCAGTACAGCCCAGGTAATTTGCTGAGTCTGATGGGTGTCAGGGTCAGTCCAAGTGAAAGCAAAGAGAGGCTGGGATGAAGGGTGCAAAGGAATAGTAAAGAAAGCATGTTTGAGATCTGGAACAGAATAATGGGTTGTGGAGGGAGGTATTGAGGATAGGAGAGTATATGGGTTTGGCACCACGGGGTGGATAGGCAAAACAATTTGGTTGATAAGGCGTAGACCCTGAACTAACCTGTAAGACTTGTCCAGTTTTTGGACAGGTAAAATGGGGTAATTGTAAGGAGAGTTTAAAAGGCCGTGCCGTAACAGGCAAGTGATAACAGGCTTTAATCTTTTTAAAGTGGGCTGTGGGATCGGATATTGGCATTGAGTGGGGTAAGGGTGATTAGGTTTTAATGGGATGGTAAGGGGTGCGTAATCGGTCACCAAGGAGGGAGTAAAGGTGTCTTATACCTATGGATTGAGGTGGGGAGATACAAGGGGAGGATGTGAAGGAGGCTTTGAACTGGGGGAAAAGGCGGCAATGAGGTGTGGCTGTAGCCCAGGAATAGTCAGGGAAGCAGGTAATTTAGTTAAAATGTCTCAACCTAATAAGGGAACTGGGCAGGTGAGGATAACTAAAAAGAAGTGCTTAAAATAATATTGTCTAAGTTGGCACCAGAGTTGGGGAGTTTTAAGATGTTTAGAAGCCTGGCATTCAATACCCACAACAGTTATGGAGTCAAGGGAAACAGGCCCTTGAAAAGAAGGTAATATGGAGTGGGTAGCCTCCGTATTGATTAAGAAGGGGACGGACTTCTTAAGTCCATCCTCCACTATGAGAGTTACCTAAAGCTTCTGTGATCATCCTGTAGGCTTCTGAGGTGATCGGTCAGCGTCAGTCTTCAGCCGCTAAGCCGAGAAGATCTGGGAAGGAGTCAGAGAGCCTTGGGCCAGAGTTCCAGGGGCTCTGGGAGTGGCTGCCGGGCAAGTTGGACAGTCCAATTTCCAGTGGGGTCCCGCACAGATGGGACACAGCTTAGGAGGAATTCCGGGCTGTGGGCTTTCCTTGGCCGAGTGGCCAGATTTCCGGCACTTGTAGCAAGCTCCTGGGGGAGGAGGTTCTGGAGGAACCCCTGGCAGCTGCCGTTCGGGCGTTTGGAGTTCTTGTGTGCTGGAGATGTGGCTGGGGTTTGTCTCACAGTGGAGGCAAGGAATTGCAACTCAGAAATACATTGCTACTTAGCTGCCTTTACTCTATTATTACACACCTTGAAGGCGAGGTTAATTAAGTCCTGTCGTGGGGTTTGAGGGCTGGAATTTAATTTTTGGAGTTTTATTTAATGCCGGGAGTGGATTGGGTAATAAAATGTATTTTGAGAATAAGACGGCCTTTTGACCTTTCAGGGTCTAGGGCTGTAAAGCATCTCAGGGTTGCTGCCAAGCGAGCCATGAACTGAGCTGGGTTTTTATATTCGATGAAAAAGAGCCTAAACGCTAACTGATTTGGGATAGATCGGATAAAGAAAAAGGAGCATTATTAACCTTGACTATGCCTTTAGCTCCAGCCAACTTTTTATGAGGAAATTGCTGGGCAGGTGGGGGAGGTCTAGTCGAGGAACGAAACTGTAAGCCGGACCGGGTGTGAGGAGGGGAGGTGATAAAAGGATTATAGGGTGGGGGAGCAGAGGCTAAAGAAGAATTGGGACCTAGCTCAGCCTGGTGAGGAGCAGCCTGGGGAGGAGGGGAGAGGTCAGATGGGTCTGTAGAAAAGAAAGAAAGACTCGGCGACGCTTGGAGTTGGGACTGAGAGCACAGGCGAGAGGGAAAGAAGGAGGATTTCGGATGAGTCGCATTGGGAACAGAGACTAGGGAGAGAACAATGTGTAAAAGAATGCCTGGACGTCAGGCACTTCAGACCATTTGCCCATTTTTTGACAAAAATTATCTAGGTCTCGTAGGATGGAGAAATCAAAAGTGCCATTTTCTGGACATTTAGAACCATTTTCGAGTTTGTATTGGGGCCAAGCAGTGTTGCAGAAGAAAATAAGGCGTTTAAGTTTTAGGTCAGGCGAGAGTTGAAGAGGTTTTAAGTTCTTGAGAACACAGGCTAAGGGAGAAGAAGGGGGAATGGAGGGCGGAAGGTTGCCCATGGTGAAGGAGGTAAGTTTAAAGAGAAGGGTAAAGACACAGAGAAGGGAGGTGGGGAGCAGCCCTGGGCTGCAACATGGGGGAGCAGCCAAAGCAGGAGTCCCCGCAACTGACTTGCCACCAAGGGAATGTGGGTGAATGACCAAGGCAGGCGTCCCCACGGTGATCAGACACCAGTGAAATGTGGGTGAATAATCAGAGAGGTGTCCCTGCAGTGATTAAACACCAAGGGAAGGCTGCCTTCCCGAGTCCGTGACCGGCGCCAGAGTTTTGGGTCCACAGATAAAATGTGTCTCCTTTGTCTCTATCAGAAAATGAAAGGAATTGAAATTAAGAGAAGGGAGAGATTGAAGGGTGGCGCCAAGATTGAAAGGAGAAAGAGATTGAGGGACAGTGAGAGGTTGGAGAAGAGAGTAAAGAGAGGCCGCTTACCCAATTTAAAATTGGTGAGATGTTCCTTGGGTTGATCGGTCTGAGGACCCGAGGTCGTAGGTGGATCTTTCTCACGGAGCAAAGAGCAGGAGGACAGGGGATTGATCTCCCAAGGGAGGTCCCCCAATCCGAGTCACGGCACCAAAATTTCACTCACGTCCGTGTGAAGAGACCACCAAACAGGATTTGTGTGAGCAACAAGGCTGTTTATTTCACCTGGGTGCAGGTGGGCTGAGTCCGAAAGGAGAGTCAGCGAAGGGAGATAGGGGTGGGGCTGTTTTATAGGATTTGGGTAGGTAAAGGAAAATTACAGTCAAAGGGGGTTGTTCTCTGGTGGGCAGGGGCGGGGGGGTCACAAGGTGCTCAGCAGGGGAGCTTTTGAGCCAGGATGAGCCAGGAGAAGGAATTTCACAAGGTAATGTCATCAGCAAAGGCAGGAACAGGCCATTTTCACTTCTTTTGTGGTGGAATGTGATCAGTTAAGGCAGGAACTGGCCATCTGGAAGTGTAAGTGCAGGTCACAGGGGATATGATGGCTTAGCTTGGGCTCAGAGGCCTGACAGTTACCCACTCACACCCTCACTGCCACCACTCACAATCAACCATAACACATGCTACCCTGCAGAGGAGACAGCCTTGACTTGCAGAGGCATGCATTCTCAGGGCTTGAAAACCGGCTCTGTCTCCAGTTGCCAGAGGGACCTCACGCTGACCTTCAAGAAACCTGGAGAGAGGGGCCAGTGTGTGGGCACACAGGACATTCCCTCCCCAGAAGGCCTTTTCTTGGTCTTCATTTCCCATCCCCTAGCCCAGATACGGCAATGTGGGGCGCCCTCGTGTGGGCAGAGAGGCCCTGCAGTCTCTTGGCAGGATCCCGGCTCCCTTTGGGCACCCACTCATCCCTCCTCCAGGCTGCCCACTCCCTGCATGTCAGGGCACCACTCATATTACTTCCAGCTGGCCTCCCTCAAACCTAGATTCTCTTTTTTCTTTTACCTCTCACTGTTTTCATTATTGATTGATTGATTGAGACATAGTCTCTCTGTGACCCAGGCTGGAATACAGTGGTACAATCATAGCTCTCTGTAGCCTGGAACTCCTGGGCTCAAGCAATCCTCCACTTCAGTCTCCTGAGTAGCTGGGACTACAGGTGTGCACCAGCATGCCAGGCTAATATCTTAAAATTTTTAAATTTTTTTTGTAGAGTTAGAGTCTCGCTATGTTGCCCAGGCTGGTCTCAAGTTCCTAGCCTCAAGCAATCTTCTCACCTCGGCCTCCCAAAGTGCTGGGATTACAGGTGTTAAGCCACCACACCCTAGACCCCCACTCATATTTTAAAGTTCAATATTCTATGCATATCAAATAATTATGTATTAATTATTTAATCTTATGTATCAAATTATCCCCAAAATGTCTTGACTTAAAATAGCAAACATCTATTACCTCACACAGTTTCCTAGGGTCAGAAATCCAGGAACAGCTTAGTTGGAAGGTTGTGGCTCAGTGTCTCGTGAGTTTCAGTCAAGATGTTGGTCAGGGCCGGGCGTGGTGGCTCACACCTGTAATCCCAGCACTTTGGAGTCTGAGGCGGGCGGATCACCTGAGGTTGGGAGTTCAAGACCAGCCTGACCAACATGGAGAAACCCCGTCTCTACTAAAAATACAAAATTAGTCAGGCGTGGTGGTGCATGCCTGTAATCCCAGCTACTCGGGAGGCTGAGGCAGGAGAATCACTTGAACCCAGGAGGCAGAGTTTGCAGTGAGCCGAGATCACGCCATTGCACTCCAGCCTGGGCAACAACAGCGAAACTCCATCTCAAAACAAACAAACAAACAAACAAACAAACAAACAAACAAACAAAAAGATGTTGGTCAGGACTGCAGTCATCTGAAGGCTGGGAAGGATTCACTTCCAAGATCACTCACACAGCTGTCCTTGGCAGACTTAATTTCTTGCCACTGGGCCCTCCCGGTAGGCTGCTAGGAACATAGCAGCTGGCTTGCCCCAGAGCGAATATGCCAAGAGACAGCAGGCAAGAGAAACCAAAATAGAAGCCATGGTGTCTTTTAGAACCTAATTTTGGAAGTGACATACTATCACCTCTGCCATATTCTATTGCTGACACAGGCCAACCCTGGTACGATGTGAGAGGGAATATGAATTCTAGGAGGGAGGAAACATTGGGGTCCTTTTCAGAAAGGAGATACCACAAAACATATTTTTAAATGTTACTTATAAAACAAAATACGATCAACACCCATGAGCCCATCACTCACGAGAACTAGAAATCATATAACTTGCATCGTCCTATATGTGCCTTTTCCTCCACCCCTCTGCCTCCCTGTGGAAGAGGTAATTGCCATTTAAATTTGTGTTTATCGTTCCCTTGCTTTTTAAAAATTTTGCCACATCGGTACATATGTCGAAACAACATTTGTTGTTAGTTTTGCATTTGGATCTTTATAGAATTGATTGGCTCCATGAGTCAGGGGTCTGAGCCCCACTTGCTCAGGGCACCCTCATTCACTCTCCAAGCTTCTATAAAATGCTTCCCTCTTATTCCCCAACTCTGGTAGCTGCTTCTTGCCTTTCTTCTTTCTGGGTGACCTCAGCATTCTTTATTTATCCATTCTCTTGTCTCTCAATCCTTTTCTCCCCAAGGCTAGCCATAGAATCCCTCTTCCCCACCAAGTCATTGAAACCAGCACCTTTTCCCCAAAGCCAGCCATAAAACCAAAAATCATTAATCTAACTTTGCCTCTGCCTTTCTGTGTAAAAACTGGTCATAAAGAAATTACCTGACCTGCCTTGTTTGACTATGGGTTATAAGACCCCCATTCCAGAGAGGGTCCTGCCCCACATTCAGAAGGAAGGAATGCAGGAATGCGTGCTCTGAGAGGCCAAGAAGAATCTAGACAGACCGGCCCTGCTGGGATTCCCCACTCAGTCTGTTAGCGTTAGATCGTACTCTTTTTGTCCAATCATACTTTTTTTTTTTTTTTTTCCTGAGACAGAGTTTCACTCATTGCCCAGGCTGGAGTGCAATAGTGCAGTCTCGGCTCACTGCAACCTCCGCCTCCTGGGTTCAAGCAAGTCTCCTGTCTCAGCCTCCTGAGTAGCTGGGATTACAGGCATGTACCACCACACCCGGCTAATGTTGTATTTTCAGTAGAGATGGGGTTTCTCCATGTTGGTCAGGCTGGTCTCGAACTCCTGACCTCAGGTGATCCGCCTGCCTTGGCCTCCCAAAGTGCTGGGCTTACAGGAATGAGCTACCATGCCTGGCTTTTTTTTTTTTTTTTTTTTTTTTGAGATGGAGTTTAGCTCTTGTTTCCCAGGCTGGAGTGCAATGGCGCAATCTCGGCTCACTGCCACCTCCGCCTCCCGGGTTCAAGGGATTCTCCTGCCTCAGCCTCTGGAGTAGCTGGGATTGCAGGCATGTGCCACCATGCCCAGCTAATTTTGTATTTTTAGTAGAGACGGGGTTTCTCCATGTTGGTCAGGCCCAGTCTTGAACTCCCGACCTCAGGTGATCCACCAACCTGGCCTCCCAAAGTGCTGGGATTACAGGTGTGAGCCACCGTGCCCAGCCTGTCCAGTCACATTTCTACATAGCTGTCCATACTTTGTTGAACCTCAGCATAAAAATGGACAATTTCCTCTGTATCTTTTGGGTCTTTATTCTGAAGTCTGCCATGTACACATTAAATCTGTTTGTCTACTTTTTCTCTCACTAATCTGCCTCTTGTCAGTGATTTTCAGCAAAACTTCAAAGGACGAAGGGGAAATGTTCCCTTGTCCCTGCAATTTGTACAAACACTGTTAATCCGTATCCTCTCCCTGAGGCTTGTGTGGCCAGGAGGTGAACCCAGGGGCCTGGGAGAGGAAGGCACAGAGGCTGGCAGTGGGAGGGCCCTCACACCCATGATGCCAGTGCAGTTCAGCCACAGGTGCTTTTGTTCCCCAGGGAAGTATTCAGCTGGCCCCTCCTGAGGAAGGCTCACTTAGACAGGAACACTTTTGCACCCGGCTGCTTCTGTTGGTCCAGGGAAGACCCTGTATGCCCTCCTCATGGTAAGGATTTCATGTTGTAAGGACTTTGTCAGCACCCTGCTGCACACAACAGATGTTGGCAGAGCTTCTTTCCTTTCTCTGCCCCCACTTTCACCAAGCCAGTTCTTTTGGAAGGTGGAAATAAATGAAAGAAACAAACTCCCAGGCAAGTCGCAGTGCTCTGATCGCCGTCCTTATGAACAGAGCATTAATTAGTTGCTCACTCGCAGAAAGGAAAAGTTAATTACCTACCATGGAAACTTTAAAAAGAAAAAAAGGAAACATGAGTTTAAATTTTAATTAGGGCCCTTGCATGGTGGGAATAGAAAGGAGCTGGTTCTAATTGTGGGCATTTAAGGCAAGAGCCTTTTGTCCCTTTGTGCACCTCCTGTGCTCACCACCTCCCCACCAGACCTCCAGCCTGAACCTCCTCTCAGAATAGGCAGAGAAAATGAATGTGGAGGGGCCAGAGCACCCCCACTAGGACTCTGGTCATTGCCCCTTAGGGAGCTGTTCAAGGGCAGGGATTGAGAAACACAGGACAGGGTTCACTGCCCCAAATGACCTTCCTTACTGCTCACTGCTGCTTAAAATGTCAGCACCGGAAGAGTGGCAGATGCTGCTGTGTGCGGACCCCCTCCAGAAATGCAGGACACATTCCCCACCCTCAGGGAGCACAGCCAGCCCCTTCCAGGACTGCCCTAGATCACACCACCTGCCCAGGCCAGCCTGCACCCAATGACAGATCAATATATACTATGAACACCCAGCCTGCTCTCCCCAGTTTGAGACAACTCTGAAGGTCATTCCAGCTCCCAAGCTCCCTGCAGGGTCAGCTGGGACTGTTGTTCAGACTGCAGTGCAGCTCAACTTCTCCCTCTGTCCAATCTCACTGCTGTTGCCCCTCTCTTCCACAAGGGATCATCCCAAGAGAACTCCCTAACAAATGTCCTGAACACTTATCTCCGTCTCAGAGTTTGCTTCTTGAGGATCCTAGCTTGTGGCACAGATTTACAGTGAACAGTGTTAAAGTGCTATGGGAGGGATATGCATTGAGCAGTTTACATTTTATACAATCGTCAAGTTAAGGGACTATCAGAAGGCATGTAATCCAGTCCAATAGAGCACTCCCAGCTTAGCATTTGACCCAGCTAAGGCTGCCTTGATCTGAGCACTGACAGTGACAAGGACTCATCCTCTCACAGAACAGCCCTTTTGGTGCCTACACAGCTCCAACTGCTAGAAGGCTCTTCTCACACCGGTCGGCTTCTGCCAGGCAGAGCCACAGAGCAAGGGTCTATGTGTCTGCCAGGCCCATGCCAGGCTGTGAGGAAGACAGGATGCTGTAGACCCTGTCTCTGCCCCCTGGACAGATGAGGTCCAGAGTGAGGAAGTGAACAGGGGCCTGGCTCCCAGCACCCTCAACAGTCCTGGGGACATGCATTTGTTCCGCATTCAGAGTTCCGTACTGCCCCCTGTATGATGGGGCCATCAAGCATACAGTAGGACAATACCCAGTGACCTGGACACCGCCTCTGTAAGTAGCCTGGTCACATGCAGGGTCATTTCCAGGTGCTTTTGATAAGTTTGGTATCCACCGGGGGCTCCTTCAAAGGCATCTCCAGCCTGACCCTGGGCTCCCCTTATAGCAGCCTAGGCCTCAAGTTGGAGACCAATTAAGCTGAGGTTGTGTCAACCCCTTAGCTGCTTGCTTGCTAAGGAATTAGCAGTGCCCAGGGACTCCCTGTATGACATCGCTTTGACCAAGCCAACTCGCGGGCCCTGTTGTTGCTCTGGCCTAGCCGCAGCTAGATGGCACTGTCCCATCACGCCAGGCACCTGCCCTGCCTGGCCAGCCAGGCTCACTAAGCACCCAACCTTGTGACTACAGGAATGCAGAGGGGCCACACAAGGTTTCTGGACCCCAGCCCCAGATTTTTACTAAGGTAACTGTCACAGTCCATTGGAGACACTGCCCACCCTTCCTCCAGGGCTCAGAGAATTATTTGTTCATTCAACAAATATTTACTGAGCTCCTACTACTTGTTACGACTACTGGACTCCAGAGCAGGTACAGGAGATAAGGCCATGAGCACTGAAGACACTTTCCTGCCCTGCCTGGAGATAACAGACCAACTAGGGAGTCAGAAACACATGTAAATTCACATACCTGGGAAGTATTTCAAAGGACAGGATAGGATGCAGGGTGGGGGAGAGGGGGTGTTGGACAGGCCATCCTGTTCTGCTCTGAGAGGCTAGGGGATGTGGGGGGTTCTGAGAGAGTGGCCTCTGCACTAAAGTTTGAAGGAGAGTCCAAGTTCACCAGACAGAGGAGGTGTCCTGGGAAGGGCTTCTGCACCCAGAAGGGTGCAGATTTAAACTTTGTCAGCCAGACGTGGTGGCTCATGCCTGTAATCCTAGCACTTTGGGAGGCTGAGGTAGGCGGATCACTTGATGTCAGGAGTTTGAGACCATCCTGGCCGATATGATGAAACTCCACCTGTACTAAAAATACAAAAATTAGCTGGGCATGGTGGCACGTGCCTGTAGTCCCAGCTACTCGGGAGGCTGAGGCAGGAGAATTGCTTGAACCCAGGAGCAGAGGTTGCAGTGAGCTGACATTGCGCCACTGCCCTCCAGCTTGGGGGACAAGAGCGAAACTCTGTCTCAAAAAAAAAAAAATTGTCAGAAGAGATTCGAGTCAGATTCATGGAAGAACATATAGGCTGAGGGTGGTGAGAGTGAAAGGGGATGGGGGTGTCTGCCAACTCCATAGGGTCACTTCCAGCTCTGAGGATGGGAAAGGAAGGGCAAGCCCAGGTGGGCACCAGCCACATTAGACATGCTCTGTGACACCAGCTGAGGTTGGCCATTGCCATTTAGAGAGAGAGAGCACTAGCGAACTGCAGGCAGGAAACCCAGATTGTGAGGGGCCAGAAGGGCTGGGAGACGCCCAGAAGATCCAGACGAGTGGGCACCAGGAGGGGGAAGGAGTGCTCCCTTCTGGGGGCTCCATGGAGCCAGGTTGTAGCTTTCTCCAAGCAGGGCCCACAGGACAGGCAGGGAGTGGAGAGGAGGGCAGGACTGTGGGCTGGTTCAGGCTATAGGACCCACAGACAGACAAATGAGTACAAATGAGACACAAAGAAGCAGGCAGGGGCAGGGCACCGTGGCTCACACCTGTAATCCCAGCACTTTGGGAGGCCAAAGCGGGCGGATCACCTGAGGTCAGGAGTTAGAGATGAGCCTGGCCAACATGGTGAAACCCCATCTCTACTAAAAATACAAAAAATTAGCCAGGCTCAGTGGTGAGCACCTATAATCCCAGCTACTTGGGAGGCTGAGGCATGAGAATTGCTTGAACCCGGAGGCAGAGGTTGCAGTGAGCTGAGATGGTGCCACTGCACTCCAGCCTGGGTGACAAAGCAAGACTCTGTTTCAAAAAAAAAAGAAGCCAGCAGGACTTCCTTAGTCTCAGGTGGACTCTCCTGAGCCCCACACAGCAGAACGCTTCATCCGCTTGTCGTGGCACCCAAAGACTTTTCCTCCCCTGACACCTCCATCCCTACCCCATAAGAGCCCCCCCCCGCCCCTCCCTGGGCTGTTCCTCTGGGGCATCTACAACAACCAGAGCCTTCCAGGTAGTCCACACAAAAGTCTCTCCAGGTCTTATGTGGGCCGGAGCTAGGGGCGAGGGCAGGAAAGCCTCAGCCCCAGGGAAGAGGCCGCCATCTGTCAACCCTGGATGAGATGTGCACCAGCCTGAAAGCAGAGGAAGGGACAAAATGACCTCGGGAGCCTTCCAGCCCCAGAGCTGCCATTGGCTTGCTGGATGAAGGACATTAAATATTTGGCAAGTGCTCAGCAAGAATAGATGGGAGAACCCATAGCCAGGACCTCAAACCAGGGACTAGGAGAGGGCAGGGCCCTCTGCCTCACCCTGGCTGGGCCTGTTCCCTCATTAGGACCCAGGCACTGTCAATTACCACCAGGCATGGTGAAGAGGAAAACCAATCTATAGGGAGATGTGCCCTCTCCAAAACGTTATGGCAGGGACAGTAAGGAAATGTTGTTTCCCAAGCCAAGGTTCAGGCCTATTTGAAGGTTTAATGTGGTAAAAGGTCTGGGGTGGGCTGGGAAGAGGAGGGCTAAATAATTCAGAAAGCAAATGGAGAAGTGGCTGTTGATGATGCTGACCGAGGCTTGTGTAACTGGCTGGGCTCAGCAGCATCCTCAGGCTCCTGGGAGAAAGGGCACAAGTGGGGATTTGGGGAGACAGAGGCAGGAGTGAGCACACAGCCGGCCGGTAGAATAGCTTGACAGGTTTTGCTTCTCAAGGCACTTTCACAAGCCCCCTCCTCCCCAGGGCCCTATGAGGCAAGCAGGGCAGGTAAGGAGACTCTGGAGGCTGACCCCCCAGGCCTGCAGCCCAGGACCTCATGAGCAGCACAGCCCAGACAGGAAGTCCTCCCACTGCGTGGGGTCCTTACTTTCACACCACTTTCCTCTCTTCCACCTCCTGATCCCTGGGACAGTCCTGTGAGATACGTCAAGGATCGCTGAGCCTGGAGTAGCCAAAAGACCTGGGTTTTGAGCATGGTTTTGGCACAGCTAAGGTGTGTGATCTCGAGCAAGTTCTGTTCCCTCTCTGGACCTGCATAGACTTCTCACTTCTTTTTTTTTTTTTTTTTTTTTTAGACAGAGTTTCGCTCCCATTGCCCAGGCTGGAGTGCAATGGCTCAATCTCGGCTCACCACAACCTCTGCCTCTTGGGTTCAAGTGATTCTCCTGCCTCAGCCTCCTTAGTAGCTGGGATTACAGGCGCCCGCCACCACGCCTAGCTAATTTTGTATTTTTAGTAGATACAGGGTTTCTCCATGTTGGTCAGGCTGGTCTTGAACTCCTGACCTCAGGTGATCTGCTTGCCTCAGCCTCCCAAAGTGCTGGGATTACAGGTGTGAGCCACCATGTCCGGCCCTCACCTCTTTTTTATGATAAAAATGTGAAGATTGATATCTGAGGTCTCTTCTAGCTTTCATAGTCTCTGGTTCTAAGCCCAATGAGCAGATAAGAACATCAAGGTTTAGCCCGTAGGTGGGATAAATAGGGAAAAGGCCTCTTCCAGTTGCTTTTACTCCTATCTCTTGCCTCCCTTTTCACTCAGCTCAACCCAGGAACATGAGAAGAAAGTGCCACCTTGCCCTATCTGCACCCCGGAGACCTATGGGGAGGAGAATCCTGTCTTCTGGCTCCTTCTCTTGTCTGGACCCAAAAGCAGGAAGCCCATCAGTGTTTAATGAAGCCAGGACCAACCTAATTATCAGGGGCGCTTGTGTTAATAAGCACCTTTCAATCCATGCAGGGAGCTAATACAGACAGAATAAAAAGGGAAGAAAAGTCATTAGCTTGAAATGTCTGGGCCCCTACCTGGGCTGAGCCCCATGAAGTCATTATGGGTAGTTACGGGCTCTAACCACCACACGCAGTCCCAGGCAGGTACAGATAATGATAGGGGAGCATGTGGCCCCTCTGGGGTAGATAAGTCATCAAAAAGGACAGCTTTTTGTTTTTCGTTCTCTTCCATCCTGTTTCTTTGAGGGCCCCCACCAGCCCCTCCCCTGCACAGTCTGGTTTCATCCCTTTATTTAGAAACATCTGGTTTCTAAATAAAAGGAAAGAGTCCAACTTTCCTTTTATTTAGAAACAGGAGTCATCGTACTCTGAGATTCTGTAACTGAGTATTCTGGAAGCATTAAGAGCTTTCCTGATTCTCCCCTCCACTCACTCTGAGCCAGGGGTTGCTTGACTGGGGAGAAGCAGTGAAGATGGTGGAAAGTCAGTTAGACTTTGCTGATGGACTGGATGGGGGCAGGGAAATTGGTGGCACACGTCTGTAATCCCACCTACTTGGGAGACTGAGGCAGGAGAATCACTTAAACCAGGGAGGTAGAGGCTGCAGTGAGCCGAGATCATGACATTGCACTCCAGCGTGGGCAACATGAGCAAAACTGTGTCTCAAAAAAAAGATGTTGAGGCCAGTCATGGTGGTTCACACCCGTAACCCCAGTATTTTTGGAGGCTGAGGCAGGAGGATCACTTGAGTCCCAGAGTTCAAGACCAGCCTGGGCAATATAGTGAGACACCATCTCTTCAAAAAATAAAAATATTAGCTGCATATGGTGGCACAAACCTGTGGTCCCAGCTACTCAAGAGGCTGAGGTGGGAGAATCACTTGAGTCAGGGTGGTTGAGGCTGCAGTGGCCATGACTGCACCACTGCACTCCAGCCTGGGAGATGCAGTGAGACCCTGTCTCAAAAAAAAAAAAATAGAAGTTGAACAGTGGAGAGACAATTACAAATTGAAGCCAACTACTGCTACTAGAATGGACTGTGTAGAATACACTCTGCCCTGTGTAGAAGCAAGGCTGGACAACGTTGATAGGAACAGGAAGCAAAGAGGAAAAAGGCATCCTGTCTTCCTCCTCTAGCCTTCCAATCTCCCTGGTTACCCTATATTGACAGAAGCCAACAGGGTGCCAGTTAGCAAAGCAGAAATGTGGTTTTCAAATTTCTTGCCCCAGCTTCACAAGGCCCAGTAGAGAAGAGTGGGTTTGAAGCTTAGAGATACTAGCTGAATAACTGGTACATATATAAGGTCTCTGCATATGGCCTAAAGCCAGTCTGAATGGTGGGCTTTTTCCCAAACTTACTTCCTGGCTTCTGAGAGCTAAGAAGTGGCTGAGTATAGCAAACATCAGGGGAAACAGGCATCAGCTGGACAGAGCCGCCATATTGGGGAAAGTGGACCAGTCTATAAGCTGTGAGATTAGAAAAGAGCTGCTGGGAAGCAGCAGTGAAGGAAACCCATGGTGAAAGCACTTGAGTGACCCAGGCTGATGGAAGCATGGGAGAAGGGGCAAGAGTGAGGGGAGGCGCATTCACTAAGAATACGAAGAGAAAATATTTGAGCTTTCAGCTGGGATTCTGAGAGTGGAGCTCAGAAAGCTAATTCCATCTCTGAAGCCTCCTGTCCCTATATTGGTCTCTGGTTGGGCAAAGGAAGGAGACAGGGAGGTCTGAGTGGAACAAAAGCACCCAGCCCTTCCTTCCTTTCAAATCCCCTTGGGTTTCCTTCTTAATGAACCCCATCTGAGGTAGGACAGGGTGGGACACTTCAGAGATCTGGGGAAGATGTGGGGACTCAAGTGATGGGAGAGCCCAGGCAATTCTGGCTGGAGAGAGCTCCCCACACCAACATTCTTTTTTTTTTTTTTTTTTTTTTTTTTTGAGACAGAGTTTTGCTCTTGTTGCCCAGGCTGGAGTGGTACAATGGCACGATCTCAGCTCACCACAACCTCCGCCTCCCGGGTTCAAGTGATTCTCCTGCCTCAGCCTCCTGAGTAGCTGGGATTACAGGCATGCACCACCATGCCTAGCTAATTTTGTAATTTTAGTAGAGACGGGGTTTCTCCATGTTGGTCAGGCACCAACATTATTTTCTTCTGATTTACTGTTCTCAAAATTAACAAAAGAAGGGAAATGGAGGTGGGAAGCACTCCTGCCCCACTGGGCCCAGATTCATTCACTCCTGTCAGCTCACCTTTCAGATAATTCCCATGCTTACCACCTGCCAATCCGGATTGCAAGTCCTCCAACATGATTTATAGCCATGTCAACCATCCGTCTGCTGACAGAAGGCCTGAGCTCAGCCTTCTTACATCTCCAGCTGCTCAAAGTCTCCCGTGGAGGCCCTGCTGCTTGGTAATTTGAGTCCAACTCCCAATCTATATGATCACACTCCCATGGTTTCTTATACAGCCTCAAAAGACTGGAAGCATTTGAAATACTTACAATCAAAAACTGGGAAAGATATCCCATAATGCCCTGATGATCTGTCTTCCCAAGACCAGATGAGCCTTGAGTCTCTTGGCACTGGCTATACTTCAGTTTGGGACAGGACCCAGGAATCCTGGACCCCAAGCTAGGGGTTGGGCCACTCCCCATCACATATTCCTGCACCACATAGTCCCCACCTTCTCCACAGGGTCAGTGGCCTAATGCTTCTTCCTGGAACTTTCAGCCTGCACTCCACATCTGATATGTACAAAAAAAGATAATACAACCTAAGCTCACCACTGATTTGGACAAAAGCCCTGGTGATTATTTAAACTGAAATGCATTAATAGCTCTGAATATTTCATGCCAGGTACATTAGAACAACCAGCATTATTTATTGAAGGCTGATCACCCATCATGGATATTAATACACTTTGCTGCACAGTGTCAGCCAAAGGGAAATTAGCTTCAAGGGATAAGGTGAAAGGCTTTTGGTTTCCTAGGTACTTTTGTCCCAGGAAATATATTAAGTCTTGCGTGGATGGAAGTTGTGGCTCAGTAGTGTTATCCAACATCACTCTGTCTTCTGACAAAACTTTTGGAAGGCTCATCAGGATGGCCTTTCCATCACCATCCAATTTGTGAGTAGGAGACCTACCATCATGTTCCAGGCACCAATTAGTCCAGGCTGAGATGCATATTTCTCTAGCAGATATTAATTCTCCAACATCTTGCTCTTCTGGTTTTCTACAGAGGAGAGTAAAAGAGTAAATGGGTTTAACTGATGAGGGAAGAATTTTGTTGATATAAGAGAGAAACTCACAGCAATGAGCAGCTCTAGTTTCTCTTCCTGGATGATGTATTTATCGTGTTGAGTCTCTGACACTGTTCCCTTTGGCCTGTGCTCTCAAACTCATTTGTCAGTCAGGGTCAGTGCAGGAAACCAACCACTCTAGCTATTTTAAGCTGCAAGAAATGTAATACAGATAATTAGATTCTTATAAAATTGTCAAAAGGTTGGAGGAATGAGCTTTAGGCTAACATTCTGTGGCTAACATTCGGAATTTCAGAGAATGGACCCACAAGAACTATCAATCTAATCTTATCTTTTCTTTCTTTCTCTCTCTCTCTCTTTTTTTTTTTTTTCTTTTTTTGAGACGGAGTCTCACTCTGTTGCCCAGGCTGGAGTGCAGCGGAGCGATCTTGGCTCACTGCAACCTCTGCCTCCCAGGTTCAAGTGATTCTCCTGCCTCAGCCTCCCAAGTAGCTGGGATTACAGGTGCCTGCCACCAGGCCTGGCTAATTTTTGTATTTTTAGTAGAGATGCGGTTTCACCATGTTGGCCAGGCTGGCCTGGAACTCCTGACCTCAGGTGATCCACCTGCCTCAGCCTCCCAAAGTGCTGGGATTACAGGCGTGAGCTACCACACCCGGCCTACTTTCTTTACATATATTTTCCCAATTCAGGGATCTACACTGTCAACTATGTAAATATTATACAATTGTAATAATATTAGCAACTACTATTTTTCACTTCATAATCTGAGCCAGGCTCTTTACGTTCATTATAGTAACTAATTTAATCTTCACATAACTCATTTTACAGAAGAGAAAACCATGTCTGAAAAGTTAAGCAAGAGATAATGCAGACACTCTACTTTGCATACAGGTGTTTCTGATTCTAAATTTCATGTTTCATTCACTCATTCTAGGCTCTCTCTAATTAAGTGCCCCTTTCTTTAATATTTGAGCCGTGGATATTAAGGCTCCCCACTGCTTTGCACCTTCTCACCCTGTCCTTTTGCTCTTGCCATGCTTACTGCAGCCCACAGCCTGGAAAGGACAGGCTTTCTTCCTCCCCCAGGGCTGAGTGGACCTACTTAGCAATCTCCCTTCACGTGCAATTCATTTGAAGAGGAAAAGTTGTAAATAATTTTTTGTCCAGTAGAAGTGCAAATGATAGCACCTCTGCCCCATAGAAAAGATAGATACAAAGGTTACCATTGTATTGTCTCATAGGGCATTAACAAAGTTTTATAGTTAACTTAGCAAATTTTCTTTCTCTGTCCATATATACTGTATCATATATCCTTCTTTGAAATGGCTTTACCATTCTGCCCATTCCCTCATTAATGAGTTAAATAAATGCTCACTATATATTTACAAGAGAATCATCTTTTAACTTTTCGAAAATTATACTTGAACTTCCCCTCACCTGCAGTTTCTATTTTCTTTAAGAACCCCTCATAGATAACCACATCATCTAAATACACCCACGAAAGAGACCAGAGGATTTTTGATCAATAACAACAGTGGTGGGGTAGAGAGGATCTCCCAAGGAGGTGTCCTCTCGTTTTCCTGGAGGATAGGACATCTTCCCACATTCATCTCACAGCAACCATTCAATCTGGAGTGTCGGAATTCCGCAGGCCTGGGCCTGGGTGCACAGAGATGAAGAAGGTGCCTCAGGAGCCTAAGCTTGAGCTCTTCAGCCTTCCTTGGGTGCTCCCTGCTTCACCAGCCAGACGGGATTATAATTAGGCTGCCTTCTCTACTTTCTTTTTTGCCTTCCTTCCTCTAGAGGCAAGAGGGTGGAGTGGGAGTTGAGAGAGAAAAACATTTCAACGAATCAATTAGTTCACCCAACCAATTTCCATTCATTAGGGGCAGTTTCCTTTAGGCCAGATCCCCTCCATGAATTTCTCTGTACCCAATACACACACTCTCTCTCTGTCTCTCTCTCTCTCTCTCTCTCACACACACACACACACACACACACACACACACGCACACATATACACACACACACACACAGGGGTAGCTCCACAGGTCCCTGCTCCACCTTTTTTTTTTTTTTTTTTTTTGAGATGGAGCTTCGCTCTTGTTGCCCAGGCTACATGATTTTGGCTCACCGCAACCTCTGCCTCCCGGGTTCAAGTGATTCTCCTGCCTCAGCCTACCGAGTAGCTGGGATTACAGGCATGCGCCACCACGCCCAGCTAATTTTGTATTTTTAGTAGAGGTGGGGTTTCTCCATATTGCTCAGGCTGGTCTCAAACTCCCGACCTCCGGTGATCCGCCCGCCTCAGCCTCCCAAAGTGCTGGGAATACAGGTGTGAGCCATCGCACCTGGGCCCTGCTCCACTTTTGTCTCTTCCTTACCTCCCTTCTTTTTTTCCTAAATGCATTAGGGGACTTGGAGTTAGAATGAAATAAATGGCAAGGACCCAAAGCCAATTTGTTTTAATATGCTAATGGAGTGAGTGCTGAAATGTGTTATTTTTGCATACACCACTTTGAAATGCAAATTACAAGAACTGTCAGTAACCATTTCTCTAATCTCCTGGGGTTAAAGGACAAAGGGGAGAAAATTACTTGAAATGAAAACTTATTTGCCAACTCTTTTGTAGCAGAGAAACTTCTTGCATTCCCCAGGGCCGTCTTCTGCTCCCCCTAAACAGTGTGAAGTCCTAGAGTCCTCTTCACACTAAAGGGAACTTGTTACTTTCATAGCCAGTGGCCTTGCAGATAGCTGGGGGTAGTGGGGTGGAGGTGAAAGGGTGACGGGTGGACAGATCTTATCAGAATGAAAACACAGTTGCCTTGTTTCAGTTTTTCTTTCCTCTCTATAACACCAACTGGGATCTCGAAAGAGAAGAGACCAGAGAGACTCACTGAAAACAAAGTCTTGAACTATTTCAGTGTCCTCGCCTGCAAAGTTGATTAGAACTCCTAAGTTCAAAGCACGGGCTAACTCATTCAAGTTTCCGTGCTTCTGTTCCTAACCTTATATTCACTGGCCTGGTCTTGCCTTGTAGAAAACATTGCTGATCTGACATTCCCTTATTGTCAACCTTCTGAGGAGTCTGGCTCCCGATTAAAAACCCACATGTGATTTTTCAGCCTTGACACAAGGCCTGAACCACCCAGTTCTCCTTTCTTGCTTGTAGTTCTCAAGAATAACTATAGAATGTGCTGGGAATGCAAAATCCTGAGATAAGGGGAAAGTTGGCTGGAACAGCCCGGGCTCTGTTCCAGTCCCCCCTTGCACAGCATGGCCTTCAACACGAGTCCTGTGTGTCATGTGACCCCAAGGTATATAACCCAGGTGGACTGCCTTACAGGGGCACGCGCAGTGGAGACTCCCCGCCCCGGGCAGCTTTCTGAGCCATGGAGAACTGGGTCACAGTGAGTCCTTGGCATCTGTTGTCCTTTGCTGCCTACCTGTAAGTGATAAACCTGCTTCATATAACTCAAGTATCATTGTGTTTGGTCTCACTGGATTCACAAAAGTGAGCCTGCTTCACAGCAGTTAGGAAGGCTTCACCTGCCAGGTCTCCCAGGCAGGCTGCCCTCCTGCAGCAGTCTCAGCTTACCACTAGTGCATCTCAGCCTTGGAGGGAGCCGCAGTCAAGGTCTCAAGGCCTGCTGTGGGCCATGTTCTTATACATATCTACATTCCTAGCCCATTCAGTGCCCCACATTCCTACATCTCTTTCTCTGAGGCCTCAGGCAGAGGTTCTCTTCAGGTGACCTCTTCAGAGGACTTCTGTCCAGGTCTCCTTAATCGGGGGAAGGAAGAAAACCTTGAAGATACTGTTCTCCACTCTAACTCAGTACTCAGGACTTCACTTCTAGACCTTTCCCCTTGCCCTTCCTCAACTCCAAGGTCCATAAAGCGGCCACAGCCTTTTGTTGGGGGCTTTCTCAACAGTGAAACCCTAGGTCTATGCTGATCCACCTGACCTTCAACTGGTGCGCTGCTGTCTCACGAAAGCTGGAACAGGGGATGCCGGTGCTTCCCCCAGTTTTAGCCCCTCGCTTATACTATCACAGTAACTAAAGGCTTAATGTTTTTATTTACAGCTTGCTTTAATCATCAACTTCAACACCTGAAAGCTCAGCTCTCTCTCTCCCTTTCCTCCTCTCCTGAGCTCCTGACACCTTCTCTTGCAATCCTCATACCCATTAGACTGGGAGATCTCTAAGGTCAAAAGGACTTTTTTCTTGATAATAATGGGTAACATTTTTCAGCATTTGCTGTATGCCAAACACAATGCTATGTACGTTATTTAAAATACTTAACTGGGGGGTGTAAACCAAAAATAAAATTCTAAGTCCCCCGACCATCTGAATGGAACCTTCCTCTCCACCAAGGACATTTCAAAGTTGACCTGAAAAACCAATTCAGGCCATGATGGGAGGGGGTGTTCAGACACACCTTATTATACCTTCCTCACTTTTGGGGATAATGCTGACCAGCATTATCATCAACATAGACCTTAAGACTGATGGAACAGACTCTTTAAGTATGATGAGAAACATTTACAATCTATTCTCTCTGAAGCCTGCTACCTGGAGGCTTCCTCTGCATGATATCTTTTTTTTTTTGAGACGGAGTCTCACTCTTGTCACCCATGCTGGAGTGCAGTGGCACGATCTCAGCTCACTGCAACCTCTGCCTCCCGGGTTCAAGTGATTCTCCTGCCTCAGTCTCCTGAGTAGCTGGAATTACAGGCGCCCACCACCATGCCCAGCTGATTTTTTGTATTTTTTTTTAGTACAGACAGGGTTTCACTGTGTTAGCCAGGATGGTCTCAATCTCCTGACCTCCTCATCTGCCCGCCTCGGCCTCCCAAAGTGCTGGGATTACAGGCGTGAGCCACGGCGCCCGGCCTGTTTGCTTTTTTGAGATGGAGTCTCACTCTGTCACCCAGGCTGGAGTGCAATGGCGTGATCTCAGCTCACTGCAACCTCTGCCTCCTGGGTTTAAGCGATTATCCTGCCTCAGCCTCCTGAGTAGCTGGGATTACAGGCACACGTCCCCATGCCCAGCTAGTTTTTGTATTTTTAGTAGAGACGGGGTTTCACCATGTTGGTCAGGCTGGTCTTGAACTCCTGACCTCATGATCCGCCCGCCTTGGCCTTCCAAAGTGCTGGGATTACAGGCGTGAGTCACTGCGCCCAGCCTTCTCTGCATGATAAAACCTTCATCTCCACAAGCCCTTATCTTAGCCCAGACATTCCTTTCTAGTGATTCTAAGTCTTTAGACAATAACTTAACTCTTTCAACCAATTGCCAATCAGAGAATCTTTGAATCTACCTGAGAGCACTTCAATTGTCCCATCTTTCCAGACTGAAGCAATGTACATCTAACATGTATTGATTGGTGTTTTCTGTCTCCCTAAAATGTATAAAGCCAAGTTGTAGCCCATCCACCTTGGGTGCATGTTCTCAGGATCTCCTGAGGGCTGGGTCATGAGCCATTGGTCACTCATATTTGGCTCAGAATAAACCTTGTCAAATATTTTACAGAGTTTGACTGCTTTTGTCCACAGAGGCCATTAGGCTGAGATGGCTTCAGCACCTTCAGTTCCTACATAAACAAACTAAAATCAAAGTCAACGTAAACCATAAAGTGAAAGTTAAGCTAAACCAATCAGAAACTGCCAACTATGCTCATTTTAAAGATTTCACCAATATGAAACCGCCAGCTAACGACCAAGCAGGGACTTTACACTTCAACCAAGCAAATATTTTCTTTGTGTTTCCCAAACACCTTATAAAAGGTTTTTCCTTGCACCCATTGGTGGAACCCAAACTGCTTGTGATTTGGCCCTGCGTGATTCATGAGTTGCTGTCCACTCAAATAAACTCTTTAAAATTTCAGTGTGCCCAAGTTTACCTTTTAACAAGTTTATATGCATTATCTTGACTAATAATCACAAGAATTGCCTTTATTGTTGATGATTATATGCCAGACACACTCCTGATTGGATCAGCAATTATCGGACAATTAGATTTGGAAGGGTGCAGGGTGACTACCCTGTCATTCGTAAGATATGCCTATCTGCCAACCCAGGCCAGTCTCAGTCCCATCCATCAGCTTTGGAGCCAGCTCACCAGGAGGGGGTGGAGTGAAGGCCTAAAAGCGGGGCTAAGATAAGGGGTGGCTCTGTGCATCTCTTTGGGTTCTGAAGCCGCTCCTTCCCACCAGCCTGCGGTGTCTCCTCTCCCATTCTAAGACCAGGGCACGGGCATTTTAAAGACTATATCCGTCAAGATATATGAAGCCTTTGGAGACTATTGTGAAAGTTTACACAAATCTGATTATCCCCACAGTGAACTGAATTATAGTCAATTAGTCTAACAAGATTAGTGTCGAGTAGATTTGCTGAATTTACTGCCTTGACTGATAATGCGGAAAGGGAAGAATAAACAGACTTCTGTCTCTATCTTAGTCCTTTCCTTCATTCTTCATTCCCCTCCCCACTCAGAAACTTTTGGATCTTCAAGGGAGAGAGCTTATAAATCACACATGCCATCCACCCAATGGGGCAGATTCATCTGTTCCTGACCTCATTCTGGCTGCCCTTCCTTCCTGCTGATCAGTAAACAGTCCTTCATTACCATAGCAGCTTTGTCCTTCTTCCCTGGCAGTTCCTGTCCACTGGGGAATAATAATTGAACCAAAGTTTGGAGCTGAGAAGAAAGCGATTTTTCTTCCTTGAGGTTTGGTGTGGGTTGGGTGTGAATTGACCAGTAGTTGTGTGCAGGCTGGGGAGCTCCTGCTTCTATCATCAGCCAACTCAGAAATTTCATCAAGATCTAAATCTAAAGCCATTTCCCCTTGGAGTCAACCTGACTGGCATTCTCTTTGGTGTTTGACTTCTAAATCTCTCTCTAATGTGCCAGGAGATGGGGAGTTGGCATTAGTTCTAATTGTCAATCATCCCGCTCCACCATACCTTTATCTCCACTAACTTCACACCACCTAGCTGGAGAGATGGATCATTCCCTTCCTTTTACAGAAGATGAGGATGAAGCTCAGTTGACACCAAGCCAGGCTAGAATGCTGATGAGACCTCAGTGAGCTTTGCCTAGGTCCCATCCACATGCCCTTGGCATTCACCTCTGCCCATCCAAGGCTGCCCACTTAGAACATCTACATGCCTGGCAAACTAGAAGTGCCAGAGAGTGGAAGGCCCCAGAGGCAAAATGGCAAGTGGTAAAAGGGTGGGGCATAAGCACCTGGCTTCCTTGTCCTGAGTTGCCTCATGACAGCATGTCCCATATCATCTCCTGACGTTCCCCAGTAGGATAGGGCTCCAGTTGCCTACAGTGGTAACTGGCTTGGTAACATCCCTTCATTAACTTCCTTTCCTTCCCTATCTCACTTTACCACTCCTGATGGGTGTTTCCTGAGATTACCTCCCAAAAAATGCTTTGCACTTACATCCTTGTCTCAGGATCTGTTTCAGAGGAATTCAATCCAATATAAGACACTTCCATTTTTGGTGCCTTAACTTCTGGCTCTGCAGTAGCAGCACTAACAGCAGTAGTTGCTGGGCTTCCCTAGAGCTCCTAATGGGGCACATCTAGGGGTTCAGGATGGAATGACTTGCCCTCACCAAGTTGTGCAAATCCCAGTACGGGGGAGTGTGTAAGACCTCAGGTCATTAGCACCCTTCCCTGTTAAAGGGGTTTGAAAAGTTTAGGAACCATATGTCTGAATGGCCATACTTGCCTTGCAAGGTGTGGGAATCAGAAATGCAAGAGGAAGAGGCCGGGCGTGGTGGCTCACGCCTGTAATCCCAGCACTTTGGGAGGCCGAGACGGGCAGATCACAAGGTCAGCAGATTGAGACCATCCTGGCTAACAAGGTGAAACCTCGTCTCTACTAAAAATACAAAAAATTAGCCGGGCATGTTGGCGGGCATCTGTAGTCCCAGCTACTCGGGAGGCTGAGGCAGGAGAATGGCATGAACCCGGGAGGCAGAGTTTGCAGTGAGCCCAGATCGCGCCACTGCACTCCAGCCTGGGCAACAGAGCGAGAATCCGCCTCAAAAAAAAAACAAGAAATGCAAGAGGAAGTGACCCTGGGTCAGCAAAGGAGCTGAGGGACACCATTTACCTTTCTGGGACAGGTTTTCAAGCTCTGGTGCTTCCTCAACAGGCTATAAATAACAGGTCCAGAGTCTTACTCCCTTGCACCTCCATTCTGCGATGGGCACTCATGAGAGGGCAATGGGGAGCATGTGGCACTAGAAGCCAGAACACCTGGTCTGAGATACTGGAAAATACTTAGGAAAAATCTTGAGTTCGTAGTTTTTCAACGTTTTTCCCCTAGAGACAGGGCCTTGCTCTCTTGTCCAGGCTGGAATGCGGTGGCACAATTATAGCTCACTGCAGCCTTGAACTCTTGGCATCAAGTGATCCTCCTGCCTCAGCCTCCTGCTGGGATTACAGGCACGAGCCACTGTGCCCAGCTTCAACCTTCTTTAAACATTTGTTTTTCAGTTTATAATTCTAGCTGAGTGACCTTAGGCAAACGACACTACCACTCTATCTATGCATTGCTCATCCATCCATTCATTTATCAGACATTTTAAAGGCAATGTGCCAGGTACTGTGCTGGGTACACAGATATAGAAATTAATGACAGTCCATACCCTCTGGAAGCTCCCAGTCTCATGTGGCAGACACAGACTAGATCCATGCTATGAGAGAGGTAGATACAGTGGGAAGGAGTGCTTGGAGAGGCCTCTCACCCAGGCTTAGAAAAGTGAAGAAAGAGTTCCTGGAGAGCTGCCACCTGAGATGAGTCTTGAGGTAGCAGTTAATAAAAGGAACAGCATCTGCAGCAGAGAGAACAGTACATAAACAGATGAGGAGGTCAGAGAAGCCAGAGAAAGATGGGGACCCTGAAGCTGTTTCCACATGGTATGTCCCTGAGCAGATCACTTCACCATGCTGGGCCTTGGCTTCCCCACTTGACCTGCTTTCTTCAACAATTGGAATAAGATTAAATATGATAATGGATGTGAGAGCATTTAGAAAGCCTAAGGTCATGTAGAAATATGAAAGATTGAAGAGGGGCATGATAGAACATACCCCACCCCTGTCATTGGGAAAGAAGATAGTGTTGGGAGAGGGGACACACAAGGTGATATTTCTTTGCTCTGTGTCTTGTCTGAAGTAGTCAGTGTGGCTGACGGGGCCATAAATTAGACTGAGCAGCAATAAACATAATCCTGTGTAAAGTATTAGACAGCTGATGAGCACATTTTGTATGTGTGTGTTTTGTTTTGTTTTTGAGAGAGAGTCTCACTCTGTTGCCTAGGCTGCAGTGTAGTGGTGCTGATGAGCACTTTTACAACAATTTATTCCTCATGTGATATGGTTTGGATCTGCATCTCTGCCCGAATCTCATGTTGAATTATAATCCTCAATATGGGGGGTGGGGCCTGGTGGGAGGTGATTGGATCATGGGGGTGGTCTCTCATGGTTTAACACCATCCCCGCTTGGTCCTGTATAGTGATAGAGTTCTCAGGAGATTTGGTCGTTTAAAAGTGTGTTGGCTGGGTGCGGTGGCTCACACTTGTAATCCCAGCAATTTGGGAGGCTGAGGTGGGCAGATCAATGAGGTCAACAGTTTGAGACCAGCCTGGCCAACGTGGTGAAACCCCATCTCTACTAAAAATACAAAAATGAGCTGGGCATGCTGGTGAGCACCCGTAATCCCAGCTACTTGGGAGGCTGATGCAGGGAATTGCTTGAACTGGGAGGTGGAGACTGCAGTGAGCTGAGATCCCACCACTGCCCTCCAGCTTGGGTGACAGAGTGAGACTCAGTCTCAAAAAATAAAATAAAAATAAAAGTGTGTAGCATCTCTCTCTCTCTCAGTCCTACTCTGGCCATGTAAGATGTGTCTGCTTCCCCTTTGCCTTCGGCCATGATTGTAAGTTGACTGAGGCTTCCCCAGAAGCTGAGCAGATACCAGCATCATGCTTCCTATACAGTTGGTGGAACTGTAAATTAATTAAACCCCTTTTTTTTTACTATTATTATTTTTTTGAGATGGAGTTTCACTCTTGTTGCCCAGGTTGGAGTGCAATGGCATGATCTCTTAGCTCACTACAACCTCCACCTCCCTGGTTCAAGCAATTCTCCTGCCTCAGCCTCCCGAGTAACTGGGATTAGAGGCATGAGCCACCACGCCCAGCTAAATTTGTATTATTTTTTTTTTTTTTGGAGACAGAGTCTCACTGTCTCTCAGGCTGGAGTGCAGTGGTGCCATCTCTGCTCACTACGCTCACTACAAGCTCCTCCTCCCGGGTTCAGGTCATTCTCCTGCCTCAGCCTCCCGAGTAGCTGGGACTACAGGCGCCCACCACAACGCCCAGCTAATTTTTTGTATTTTTAGTAGAGATGGGGTTTCACCGTGTTAACCAGAATGGTCTCAATCTCCTGACCTTGTGATCTGCCTGCCTCGGCCTCCCAAAGTGCTGGGATTACAGGCGTGAGCCACCGTGCCGAGCTCTAATTTTGTATTTTTAGTAGAGACAGGGTTTGTCCATGTTGGTCAGGCTAGTCTTGAACTCCTGACCTCAGGTTATCTGCCCGCCTCAGCCTCCCAAAGTGCTGGGATTACAGGCATGAGCCACCAAGCCCAGCCTAAACCTCTTCTTTCTTTCTTTTCTTTTTTTTTGAAACAGAGTCTCACTCTTTTTGCCCAGGCTGGAGTGCAATGGCGCAATCTCGGCAGACTGCAACCTCCCCTTCCCGGGTTCAAGCAATTGTCCTGCCTGCCTCAGCCTCCCGAGAAGCTGAGATTACAGGTGTGCATCACCACGCCCAGCTATTTTTTTTTGTATTATTAGTAGAGGCGGGATTTCACCATGTTGGCCAGGCTAGTCTAAAACTCCTGACCTCAGGTGATCCACCCACCTCAGCCTCCCAGAGTGCTGGAATTATAGGCGTGAGCCACTGTGCCCAGCCAATTTCTTTTTTTTTTTAATGAAAAAAATATAATGATGGAACTGATAAAGAAATTTCATTATTTTGTCCTCTAAAATGTGTGTGCCTGCTCTCAGATTGTCTTTTTGTCTTGGCTGCGATTCTGCATAAAATCTCTCACTGAAGCACTCAAAAGGCTGGTCGATTTAATGTCAGGCTGGGCGTGGTGGCTCACACCTGTAATCCCAGCACTTTGGGAGGCCGAGGCGGGCGGATCACGAGGTCAGGAGATCAAGACCATCCTGGCTAACACGGTGAAATCCCGTCTCTACTAAAAATACAAAAAATTAGCCGGGCATGGTAGCGGGCGCCTGTAATCCCAGCTACTCAGGAGGCTGAGGCAGGAGAATGCCAATTTCTTTTCTTTAATAAATTACCCAGTCTTGGCTGGGCACAGTGGCTAATGCCTGTAATCCCAGCACTTTGGGAGGCCGAGGCAGGGGAAAAACCTGAGGTCAGGAGTTTGAGACCAGCCTGACCAATATGGTGAAACCCCATCTCTACTAAAAATACAAAAATTAGCCAGTTGTGGTGTTGGGTGCCTGTAGTCCCAGCTACTCAGGAGGCTGAGACCAGAGAATTGCTTGAACCCAGAAGGCAAAGGTTGCAGCGAGCCAAGATCACGCCACTGCACTCCAGCCTGGGCGACAGAGCGAGACTCTGTCTCAAAAATAAATAAATAAATAAAATTACTCAGTCTTAGGTGTTTCTTTTTTTTTCTTTTCTTTTTTCTTTCTTTCTTTCTTTCTTTCTTTCTTTTTTTTTTTGAGACAGAGTTTTGCTCTTGTTGCCCAGGCTGGAGTGCAATGGTGCAATCTCGGCTCACTGCAACCTCTGCCTCCTGAGTTCAAGCAATTCTCCTGCTTCAGCCTCCCAATTAGCTGGGATTACAGGCATGCACCACCATGCCTGGCTAATTTTGTATTTTTAGTAGAGACGGGGTTTCTCCATGTTGGTCAGGCTGGCCTCGAACTCCCGACCTGAGGTGATCCGCCTGCCTCGGCCTCCCAAAGTGCTGGGATTACAGGCGTGAGCCATCACACCTGGCCTTTTTTTTTTTTTTTTTTTGAGACAGAGTCTTGCCCTCTTGCCCAGGCTGGAGTGCAGTGGCATGATCTCTGCTCACTGCAACTTCTGCCTCCTGGGTTCAAGCAATTCTCCTGCCTCAGCCTCCCGAGTAGCTGGGAATACAGGCACGTGGCATCATGCCTGGCTAATTTTTGTATTTTTAGTAGAGACAAGGTTTCACCATGTTGGCCAGGCTGGTCTCAAACTCCTGACCTTGTGATCCGCCCGCCTCAGCCTCCCAAACTGCTGGGATTACAGGCTTAAAATAATTCCTTGCCGGGAGCAGTGGCTCATGCCTGTAATCCCAACACTTTGGGAGGCCAAGGCGGGCAGATCACGAGGTCAAGAGATCAAGACCTTCCTGGCCAACATGGTGAAAACCAGTCTCTACTAAAAATAAAAAAATTAGCTGGGCATGGTGGTGCGCACCTGTAGTCCCAGCTACTCGGGAAGCTGAGGCAGGAGAATCGCTTGAACCTGGGAGGCAGAGGTTGCAGTGAGCCAAGATCGCGCCACTGCATTCCAGCCTGGCGACAGAGTGAGACTCCAGCTCAAAAAAAAAAAAAAAAAAAAGAAAGAGAAAAGTATTTCTTTATAGCAATGTAAGAACAAACTAGGGCCAGGCACGGTTGCTCACGCTTGTAATCCCGGCACTTTGGGAGGCCGAGGTTGGTGGAGCACCTGCGGTCAGGAGTTGGAGACCAACCTGGCCAATATGGTGAAGCCTCATCTCTACTAAAAATACAAAAAAATTTAGCTGGGCATGGTGGTGGGCACCTGTAACCCCAGGTACTCAGGAGGCTGAGGCAGGAGAATTACTTGAACCTGGGATGCGGAGGTTGCAGTGACCCAAGATTGCGCCATTGCACTCCAGCCTGGGCAAAAAGAGTGAAACTCCATCTCAAAAAAAAAAAAAAACCAAAAAAAACAAAAACCAAAAAAACCCCACAAACTAACACAGAAAACTGGTACCAAGGAGTGGGGCATTGCTATAAAGATACCTGAAAATGTGGAAGCACCTTTGGAGATGGGTAATGGAAAGAGGCTGGAACAGTGTGGAAGGTCAGAAGATGGCAGGAAGATGAGGGAAACTTTGGAACTTCCTAGAGATGTGTTAAATCAAGCTTCTCCGACCAGCAGCCCATGGGCCACACGCAAACCAGAATGGCTTTGAATGCAGCCCAGCACAAATTCATAATCTTTCTTAAAACATTATGAAATGTTGGCTGGGCGCAGTGGCTCACACCTTAATCCCAGCACTTTGGGAGGCCAAAGTGGGTGGATCATGAGGTCAAGAGATCGAGGCCATCCTGGCCAACATGGTGAAACTCCATCTCTACTAAAAATACAAAAATTAGCAGGGTGTGGTGGTGTGTGCCTGTAGTCCCAGCTATTTGGGAGGCTGAGGCAAGAGAATCACTTCAACCCAGGAGGCAGAGGTTGCAGTGAGCCGAGATCATACCACTGCACTCCAGCCTGGCAACAGAGCGAGACTCCATCTCAAAAAAAAAAAAAAATTATGGAATGTTTTTGTGATTTTTTTTAGCTCATCAGCTATTGTTAGTATTAGTGTATTTTATGTGTGGCCCAAGACAATTCTTCTTCTTCCAGTGCAGCCCAGGGAAGTGAAAAGATTGGACACTGCTGTGCTAAATTCTTGTAGCCAAAATGCTGATAGTGATATGGACAGCGAAGTACAGGCTGAGGAGGTCTCAGAGAGAGGAAGAACTTAATGGGAACTGAAATAAAGGTCACTTTGGCTATGCTTCAGCAAAGAGCTTGGTTGGATTTTGCCCCTGCCCTAGGCATATATGGAACTTTAAACTTGAGAGAGATGATTTAGGGTATCCAGCAGAAGAAATGTCTAAGCAGCAAAGTGTTCAAGATGTAGCCTGGCTGCTTCTAACAACCTATGTCCATACACATGAACACAGAAATAACCTGAAATTGGAACTTACATTTAAAAGGGAAGCAGAGCATTAAAATTTGGAAAATTTGCAGTGTGGTCATGTAGTAGAAAAGAAAAGCCAATTTTCAAGGGAGAAATTCAAGCAGGCTGTAGAAATATACATAAGTAAAGAGGAGCCAAGTGCTAATAGCCAAGAAAATGGGGAAAAGGCCTTGAAGGTATTTCAGAGCCCTTCTGGGAAGCCCCTCCCATCACAGGTCTGGAGGTCTAGGAGGGAAGAATGGTTTCCTGGCCAGGCCCAGTGCCCCACACCCTGTGGAAGCCTTGGGACACTGCTCCCTGTGTGCCAGCCACTCCAGCTCCAATCTTGGCCCAAAGGTGCCCATGTACAGCTCAGGGCACTGCTTTAGAGGGTGCAAACCATCAGCCTTGGTGGCTTCCACATGGTGTTAAGCCTGCAGGTGCTCAGAGTGCAAGAGTTGAGGCTTAGGAGCCTCTGCCTAGATTTCAGAGGATTATGAAAAAGCCTAGATGTCCAGGCAGAAACTTGCTGCAAGGGCAGAGCCCTCATGGAGAACCTCTACTAGGGTGGTGCAGAGGAGAGCCTGGATGTCTACCTAGAAGCCTGCTGCAGGATTGGAGCCCCCACACAGAATCCCCACTGGGGAACTGCCTAGTGCAGCTGTAAGAAAGTGGCCGCCATCCTCCAGACCCCAGAATGGCAGATCCACCAGCAGCTTGCACCCTGCACCTGGAAAAACCACAGGCACTCAATGCCAGTTCATGAGAGTAGTCATGGGGTCTGAACCCTGTAAAGCTTCAGGAGTGTAGCTGCCCAAGGCCTTGGGAACCCACCCCTCATACCAGTGTGTCCTGGATGTGAGACATGAGGTAAAGAGAGATTATTTTGGAGCTTTAAGATTTAATGACTGCCCTTTAGGGTTTCAGATTTATGTGGGGCTTATAGCCCCTTTCTTTGGCTGATTTTTCCCCTTTGGAATGGGAATGTTTACCCAATGTCTATACCCCCATTGTATCTTGGAAGTAACTAACTTGTTTTTTATTTTACAGGCTCATAGGTAGAGGGGACTAGCCTTGTTTCAGATGAGACTTTGGGCTTTGGGCTTTTAAGTTAATGCTAGAATGAGTTAAGACTTCGGGGAACTGTTGGGAAGATGTGATTGAATTTTGCAATGTGAGAAGGACATGAGATTTGGGAGGGACCAGTGGCAGAATGATATGGGTGGGGATCTGTGTCCCCACCCAAATCTCATGTCAAATTGTAATCCCCAGTGTTGGAGGTGGGATCTGGTGGGAAGTGATTGGATTATGGGGGCAGTTTCTCATGGTTTAACACCATCCCCCCTTGGTACTGTATAGTGATAGAGTTCTAACAAGATCTAATTTAAAAGTGTGTAGCACATCCCCTCTCTCATTCTTGCTCTTGCTCTGGCCATGTAAGTCATGCCTGTTTCCCCTTTGCCTTCCGCCATGATTGTAAGTTTCCTAAGGCCTGTCCAGAAGCTAAGCAGATGTCAGCATCATGCTTCCTGTACAGCCTGCAGAACTGTGAGCCAATTAAACCTCTTTTCTTTAACAAATTACCCAGTCTGGCCAGGCGTGGTGGCTTACTCCTGTAATCTCAGCACTTTGGGAGGCTGAGGCAGGTGGATCACCTGAGGTCAGGAGTTGGAGACCAGCTTGGCCAACCTGGTGAAACCCCATCTCTACTAAAATACAAAAATTAGCCAGATGTTGTGGCGGGCACTTGTAATTCCAGCTACTCAGGAGGCTGAGACAGGAGTATCACTTGTACCTGGGAGGCAGAGGTTGCAGTGAGCCGATATCATGCCATTTCTTCTACCCTGAGCAACAGAGCGAGATCTCCATCTCAAAAATAAATAAATAAATAAATAAATAAATAAATGTTCTAGTTTTAGTTATTTCTTTATAGCAATGCAAGAATTGACGAATGTAACATGTTTCATTGAGCTCCTACTACATGTCAGAGACTTTCTCAGGTTCTAGGAACAGGATAACTCTGAGATGGTCTGGTGAATAAGCAGGCAATGTACCAGGTAACACTTTACCCTCACAACAGCCATGTGAAGTAAACCTGCCTGAGATTCTACTTCCTGATTTATCAATTAGGAAACTGAGGCCCAGAGAAGAGCATAACTTGTCCAAAGGCATATCTAGATCCTGCTGGTGCCAGGGCCCACAGTAATGTCCCACCATCAACTTTCCGGCCATCAACTTTCCATAGAGACAAAAATTATGCCAATCCCAGAGCTGACAAGAGTTAGCAAAGGAAGCTGACTGGGAGCGGTGGCTCACACCTATTATCCCAGCACTTTGGGAGGCTGAGGCAGAAGGATTGCTTGAGCCTAAGAGCTCAAGACCAGCCTGGGAAAAATAGTGAGACTTTCTTTCTACAAAAAATAAAAAATTAGCCAGGCATGGTGGCATGTGCCTGTAGTCCCAGCTACCCAAGAGACTGAGTTACCCAAGAGACTGGGAAAATTGCTTGATCCCAGGAAGTCGAGGTTGTGGTGAGCTATGATTCCAACACTGCACTCCAGCCTGGGCAACACAGCAAGACCCAGCCACAAAAAGAAAAAAAAAAGAATAAAGGAAACCAACTGGCCTCAGAATGTATTAAGTAGAAGGAAGAGATGGTCCTTTGAGCCCTCCAGCAATAGTCTCCAAGCAGCAGAGGTAGGAAGAATAGGCAACTGAGTTTGGATGTCTCTAGGCCTAAATCCAAGAAGGCCTTCTTTTTTTTTTTTTTTTTTTTTTGAGACGGAGTCTCGCTCTGTCACTCTGTCACTCAGGCTGGAGTGCAATGGCACGATCTCGGCTCACTGCAACCTCCGCCTGCCAGGTTCAAGCGATTCTCCTGCCTCAGACTCCTGAGTAGCTGGGATTACAGGCATGCATCACCATGCCTGGCTAATTTTTGTATTTTTAGTAGAGACGGGGTTTCATCATATTAGTCAGGCTGGTCTCAAACTCCTGATGTCGTGATCTGCCCACCTCGGCCTCCCAAAGTGCTGGGATTACAAGCGTGAGCCACCGCGCCCCGCCAGGCCTTCATTTTTCATCTTACATCCCTTCTGCTGTCTCCAGCCCCTCCAGTAAAGCTTGACTCAGATTTCCTTAGACACAAATTAATTTGTTCTGAGAGGAAATAATGGATCGTTGCGTTCCCTTTGTCATCCTGGCTCCCTCCACGGCTCCCACTTGCTTCCTCCACACATAGAAATGAAGGGACAGAGGGGGATAGAAACCAGCCTGCAGATAGGCTGCTACTGACCTGAACGTTCCTTATTGAAATCTCCCCTCCAAATGTGGCTTTGGGGCTGAAAGATTTGGGGATAGAAAGCTTGCCGAAGCCTCTGATGAAATTCAAACAGCTGTGGGAGGTGGCTTTAACTGGACATGCTGAATAGGAGCCATTAATAATCCAGCATTTCATTAGGCAGAGCCAGATGTTGGGGGTAGTGGGAGGGGCGTGCTGTGAAGCAGGAATGACAAGAGATTAGCCACTTCTTTTTCAGGAGTGGGAAGCACAAGCTTCCAGGTACAGCAAGAAGAGTCCAGGCAGAGTCAGGAGCATGACTATGGGTACCCCTGTCCAGATAGTCAAAATCCTTAGCTAGAGAAGCTGAATAACCTACTGATTCATACATCCGCTGGCCAAATCTTTGCTGTGTACAGACCAGCAACCAGGCACAGTACTCAGTGCTAGGAAGCAAGGTCAATGAAACACAATCTTTGTAATCAAGGGACTTATAGTCTAGGAGAGGAGACAGACAGGTTAGCTAATGAGTGAATAGAATATCATAAATCTATCCTGAAAGGCTGTGTAGTGCACAGTGAGGACACAGAAGCAATGGCCAGTTCTACTCGGGATGTCTGAGATGTTACAGTTTAAGAGGGTGAGGCTTGAAAGATGACTAGGGTTTGCTAGGCAGAGAGGGAGGAGAAATGTCCCAACATTAATAACAGTGATATCTGCAACATTTACTGAATGCGTATGCCAGGTGTGACTGTAACAGCTTTAATTATATATGTGTGTGTGTGTGTGTGTGTGTGTGTATGTTTTGTTTTGTTTCGTTTTTTTAAGATGGAGTTTCACTCTTTCGCCCAGGCTGGAGTGCAATGGCATGATCTCGGCTCACTGCAACCTCCGCTTCCTGGGTTCAAGCGATTCTCTTGCCCCAGCCTCCCGAGTAGCTGGGACTATAGGTGCCTGCTACCATGTCCAGCTAATTTTTGTATTTTTAGTAAAGATGGAGTTTCACCATGTTGGCCAGGCTGGTCTCAAACTCCTGACCTTGTGATCCGCCTTCCTCAGCCTCCCAAAGTGCTGGGATTACAGGAGTGAGCCACTACACCTGGCGATATATTTTCTTCATTTAGTGTTCACAGTGACCTACACAGTAGATTTTATTATCTTTGTTTTGCAATTGAAGAAACTAGGGCCCAGAGTGGTTAAGAAACTTGCCCAAGGCCAGTTTGGGGAACTGAGGTGACATAGTGGGACTTGAGAAGCCAGAAAAGTGGGCAGAATCTGGGCATGAAAGGCCTCAGCAGTTTTGCTGAGCAGTGTGGATTTTACCCTGCTGGGCAGGGAATGGCAAGACCTGATTTCTGCTTTCCAAGATCACTTTGGCAGCTATTTAGAGGTGGAATTGGAGGCAGCAAGGCAAGGAGGCCAATTAGACGGAAATGTTAATGGTCCATGGGAGAGACCATGAGCTTAACACTAAGTCACCGACATTAGCAATGGAGAAGACTTCAACACTAGAAGATAAAATGGGCAGGAATTTCTGGCCGCCCAAAGGACAGAAGAAAATGCTTTGTAGAGTCACACAGAGCTGAATTTGAGTCCTAATCATGCCGCTTACCAGCCGTGGGCAACTAGTGCTTTTATAGTCTCTCCATATGTAAAATAGAGAAAATAATATAAGAGGTGATCCCACTAGATTGCATAACTCTCCATCATAATTTTCCACTTGAGTGTGAGCTCCTTGAGGGCAGATACTGTGCCTAAATAGTCTTTGTACTGCTAGCACCCAGCACTGTGCCTGGATCCCACTACATGCCCAGTGCTGCTTCTGTGAATTACCATGAAATGGTTAGGGCTGAGCAAAGGGAGGACTCAGGATGACATCAGGTTTCTGCCTTGGCTGACTGGTGGGTGGTGCCATTTACTGAGACAGAGGGTGTGGAAGGAGTAAGGCACATTAGAGGGGGAGGATCATGAGCTTTGTTTTAAACAGAAATAGGTAGTGGTGGTTACTGTGACAAGAGTCAAGGGAACAGTCATGGGAGTGAGCAGGTAGCTGAGAAGGAGTAGGAAGCTTTAAAGTGTTGGAGAAGTTGTCCATACGGATGTTGAACTTTCTTTTTTCTTTTTCTTTTTCTTTTTTTTTTTTTTTGAGACAGAGTCTCGCTCTTCGCTCTGTCACCCAGGCTGGAGTGCAATGGCTCGATCTCGGCTCACTGCAACCTCCGCCTCCCGGGTTTAAGCGATTCTCCTGCCTCAGCCTCCCGAGTAGCTAGGACTACAGGCACCTGCCACCATGCCTGGCTAATTTTTGTATTTTTAGTAGAGATGGGGTTTCACTGTGTTAGCCAGAATGGTCTCGATCTCCTGACCTCATGATCCACCCACCTTGGCCTTCCCAAATGCTGGGATCGCAGGTGTGAGCCACCGCGCCTGGCAGATATTGAACTTTCTTAAGACAGTCACTCATTATCTTTCACCTCAACATGTGAAAGTGTCTTCCTAATGGCCTTCCTTGACTTGCTGCCTCCAATTCAGCCTCTATACTTCTGCCAAATTGATCTTAAGAAACAGAAACCAGGTCATGCCAGAACCATGTGGACTCTGGAAAGCACTGAAGACTATGAATAATATGCTGCTATTTTGTATAAAAAGTTAGAGGAGGTATTGTGGATTGAATCGTGTCCCCCAAAAAGATATGTTCAAGTCCGAGTCCCCAGTACTTGTGAATATGACTTTATTTGGAAATAGAATCTTTGCAGGTATTATCAAGTGAAGATAAGGTCATCCTTGATTAGGGTAGGCCCTAATCCAACGACTTGTGTCCTTATGAGAAGAGGGACATTTAGACACAGAGACACAGAGACACAGAGGAAGGCCAGGTGATGAAAGAGGCTGCAAACCAAGGAACACTAAGGGTTGCCAGCAACCATCAGAAATTAGGAAGAGGCAAGGAAGGATTCTTCCCTACAGCCTTCGCAGGGAGCACAGCCCTGCCAACACCTACATTTCTGACTTCCAGCCTGCAGACTTATGAAAGAATAAATTACTATTGTTTTAAGCCACTCAGTTTGTGGTGCTTTGTTATGGCATCCCTAGGAAAATAATAGAGAGGAAGATAGGAATACACATATATAATTGCTTATATGTTCCACACTCAATAATAGAAGAACCAACTAGCTGTTGGCTGATCTAGGTTAGCCATGCTGGACTGACTGGGTGGACTCAGATCTGCTCCACTTGTCTCCAGCAGGTCTATCCAGGTGTGTTCTCCAGGTGTTGGTGGAGGTACAAGTTAATAACTAGAAATAGCAAAGGATCCTTAACGCCTGGGCTTGGAACTGGCACACCATCACTTCTGCTTCATTCTATTGGCCGAAGCTTGGCACAAGGCCAGCCCAGACTCAAGGGTTGGTAAAACAGACTCGACTTCTTTAGTGAAAGACTGAAAAAGGGTATAGATGCAGAAAGAGGTGAAGAATTAGGGCCACTGATGCAGTCTATCACATTCATGTACATATATACACACATATAAACACATATACACATGAATATATGTATATATAGTGAGGTAAAGCAAAAAACAAGTCATTATATTCACGTTTTTAAGATCTAAAATTTTCAGAATAAGAGACAAGCGATACAAATCAAATGAGATGCAAATATATGCAAATATATATGACAGAATTTGCAAAAACCAGAAAGTTAAGTGCAAATTCTGTCATATATATTTTAAGTTGGAAATAACAGTATGAACTCAGAATATATTTTTTTCTTTCTAAGAAATATGTATTTATCTCCAGGCATGGTGGCTCATGTCTGTAATCCCAGCACTTTGGGAGGCCAAGGCGGGAGGATCACCTGAGGTGAGGAGTTCAAAACCAGCCTGACCAACATGGAGAAACCCTGTCTCTACTAAAAATACAAAATTAGCTGGGCATGGTGGCAGGTGCCCGCAATCCCAGCTACTGAGGAGGCTGAGGCAGGAGAATCGCTTGAACCCAGGAGGCGGAGGTTGCAGTGAGCTGAGATCTCACCATTGCACTCCAGCCTGGGCAAAAGAGCGAAACTCCGTCTCAAGAAAAACAAATAAACAAACAAACAAAAAACAAAGAAATGCTTACTTATCAATCTGGTTCACCAAAAAGACCTAGGAGCAGTGATAAGCTGGTAGCAATGAGTACTGCTACAGTTTGTGTTGTATTCTCACTTTTTTTTTTTTTTTTGAGACAGTGTCACACTCTATCGCCCAGGCTGGAGTGCAGTGGCACAGTCTCAGCTTATTGCAGCCTTGACTGCCCAGGCTCAAGCGATCCTCCTACCTCGGCCTCCCTAGTAACTGGGACTACAGGTGCAAGCCACTACACCTATGAATTTTGTTTATTTATTTATTTATTTTTGAGACAGGGTCTCACTCTGTCGCCCAAGCTGGAGTGCAGTGCCTCAGTCTCGGTTCACTGCAACCTCCGCCTCCCTGGTTCAAGTGATTCTCCCACCTCAGCCTCCTGAGTAGTTGGGACTACAGGCACATGCCACCACACCTGGCTAATTTTTGTATTTTTTGGTAGACATGGGGTTTCAGCACGTTGGGTAGGCTAGTCTCAAACTCCTGACCTCAAGTGATCTGCCCACTTTGGCCTCCCAAAGTGTTGGGATTACAGGCGTGAGCCACTGCATCTGACCATGTTGTGTTCTCAAATACCATTTTCCACTAAAAGGAACCAGGGCTGTTGGGAGAAAGGCTTAACTCCTGGCTGGAGCTGGAAATGCACAAGATAAGCCTTGTCTAAAATCAAGGAAGCTCTTGAAGACTTTGGGGTAATGTCAGATAGACACAACAGTCAACTTGATTGGGCTCTCAGTAGTCAAAGGTGGGAAAATATGAGCACCCAAAAGAATGATGACAGCAATAGATTATAACATGTCAAAAATAAAAAATCTAGGAGTTCATAATTATGGTTGTTTTTTTTGTTTTTGTTTTTTCTCTGAGAGGGAGTCTTGCTCTGTCGCCCAGGCTGGAGTGCAGTGGCGCGATCTCGGCTCACTGCAAGCTCCGCCTCCCGGGTTCACGCCATTCTCCTGCCTCAGCCTCCCGAGTAGCTGGGACTACAGGCACCCGCCACCACCCAGGCTAATTTTTTGTATTTTTAGTAGAGATGGGGTTTCACCATATTAGCCAGGATGGTCTCAATCTCCTGACCTTGTGATCCGCCCACCTCGGCCTCCCAAAGTGCTGGGATTACAGGTGTGAGCCACCGCTCCCGTCCCTATAAGTTATTTTTTTTTTTTTTTTTTAATTTATCTTTTTATTGATAATTCTTGGGTGTTTCTCACAGAGGGGGATTTGGCAGGGTCATGGGACAATAGTGGAGGGAAGGTCAGCAGATAAACAAGTGAACAAAGGTCTCTGGTTTTCCTAGGCAGAGGACCCTGCGGCCTTCCGCAGTGTTTGTGTCCCTGATTACTTGAGATTAGGGATTGGTGATGACTCTTAACGAGCACCCTGCCTTCAAGCATCTGTTTAACAAAGCACATCTTGCACCGCCCTTAATCCATTTAACCCTGAGTGGACACAGCACATGTTTCAGAGAGCACAGGGTTGGGGGTAAGGTCACAGATCAACAGGATCCCAAGGCAGAGGAATTTTTCTTAGTACAGAACAAAATGAAAAGTCTCCCATGTCTACTTCTTTCTACACAGACACGGCAACCATCCGATTTCTCAATCTTTTCCCCACCTTTCCTGCCTTTCTATTCCACAAAGCCGCCATTGTCATCCAGGCCCGTTCTCAATGAGCTGTTGGGCACACCTCCCAGACGGGGTGGTGGCCGGGCAGAGGGGCTCCTCACTTCCCAGTAGGGGCGGCCGGGCAGAGGCGCCCCTCACCTCCCGGACGGGGCGGCTGGCCGGGCGGGGGGGCTGACCCCCCCCACCTCCCTCCCGGACGGGGCGGCTGGCCGGGCGGGGGGCTGACACCCCCACCTCCCTCCCGGACGGGGCGGCTGGCCGGGCAGAGGGGCTCCTCACTTCCCAGTAGGGGCGGCCGGGCAGAGGCGCCCCTCACCTCCTGGACGGGGCGGCTGGCCGGGCTGGGGGGCTGACCCCCCCCACCTCCCTCCCGGACGGGGTGGCTGGCCGGGCGGGGGGCTGACACCCCCACCTCCCTCCCGGACGGGGCGGCTGGCCGGGCAGAGGGGCTCCTCACTTCCCAGTAGGGCGGCCGGGCAGAGGCGCCCCTCACCTCCCAGATGGGGCGGCTGGCCGGGCGGAGGGCTGACCCCCCCCACCTCCCTCCCGGACAGGGCGGCTGGCCAGGCGGGGGGCTGACACCCCCACCTCCCTCCCGGACGGGGCGGCTGGCCGGGCAGAGGGGCTCCTCACTTCCCAGTAGGGGCGGCCGGGCAGAGGCGCCCCTCACCTCCCGGACGGGGCGGCTGGCCGGGCGGAGGGCTGACCCCCCCACCTCCCTCCCGGACGGGGCGGCTGGCCGGGCGGGGGGCTGACACCCCCACCTCCCTCCCGGATGGGGCGGCTGGCCGGGCAGAGGGGCTCCTCACTTCCCAGTAGGGGCGGCCGGGCAGAGGCGCCCCTCACCTCCCGGACGGGGCGGCTGGCCGGGCGGAGGGCTGACCCCCCCCACCTCCCTCCCGGACGGGGCGGCTGGCCAGGCGGGGGGCTTACCCCCCCACCTCCCTCCCGGACGGGGCGGCTGGCCGGGTGGGGGGGCTGACCCCCCCATCTCCCTCCCGGACGGGGTGGCTGGCCGGGCTGAGGGGCTCCTCACTTCCCAGTAGGGGTGGCCGGGCAGAGGCACCCCTCAATAAGTTATTTTTAATAGAAGAACCACAGCTAATAATTTCAGAAGGAATTATTGAAATAGAATACCACCATCATTATAATTCGTGCTGAAAATAAGAAATAAGTTGTTGGGAAATTTATGATAAATGGATCAGGCTGACATTACTTGAACCCACTAATTAATCTTTACTTCAACAAAAGTAGGACAACTGAACATCACATTTCCCCTAATACAAGGCAATAGAAACTATACAACACAACCTTTGAAGTATTCATTCAAAGGATGTGAAGCAGAATCTAGTTGTCAGTTTGTGTAAGCCTAGAAGAAGATCCTGAGACTAGGATTCACTTTAAGTAGTTTATTTGGGAGATGACGCCAGAAAACTTCCATAATGGAGTAGGAAAGTAAGACAGGTCCACTGTGGGCAGCTGGAGCTCAGCCTCACTGGGGAACTTTGGCAGACAATGTAGAGCAAATTTCAGAGCTGTTCCAACTGCGAGATAAGGAAGCCGAGGTATTATGCACCAAATCCCTGGCTATTGGTTGAGGTTTGCTTCTGGGGAGATTAATTCTCCTGCATTCCTGACTTGCCTAGAGCATAAGTAAGTGTGCTTCATGGTGAGGAAGAAGTCCTTGGGCAGTAAAATGCTAACCTTTGGCATGTAGAAATGAATGCCCAGCGAGATGGAGAAGCACCTAGTGTGTGCTCCGCTAATCAGTACTCTGCATCTAACTACCACTTTACAGTAGAATAGATGCTGAACAATATCACATGAATACAAGCAGCCAAATCCAGAGTGTGAGAAATACTACAGGACAAACGGTTGAGTTTCTTCCACAAATTAATTATTTTAGAAAATAGGGCGGGAGGCTGGGCGCGGTGGCTCACACCTGTAATCCCAGCCGAGGCGGGCGGATCACGAGGTCAGCAGATCGAGACCATCCTGGCTAACACGGTGAAACCCCGTCTCTACTAAAAATACAAAAAAATTAGCCGGGGATGGTGGCGGGCGCCTGTAGTCCCAGCTACTCGGGAGGCTGAGGCAGGAGAATGGCGTGGACCCGGGAGGCAGAGGTTGCAGTGAGCCAAGATTGCACCACTGCACTCCAGCCTGGGCGACAGAGCGAGACTCCGTCTAAAAAAAAAACAAAATCAAAAAACAAACAAACAAACAAAAAACAAAAAAAAAATTGGGCGGGAGTGTTATAGATTAAAACATAATCTATAATGTAAGACTTGAGAGATGTTTCAACCAAATGCAATGTATCAATTTTTGATCCTAATTTAAATTTAAAAACTGTATTTTTTGATATTATCAGAAAAAAATTGAACATGGACTATTAGATAATATGAAGAAATTGCTATTGATTTACAGTGTGATCATGGTATCATGGCATGTTATTTTTAAAAACCTTTATCTAATAGAGACTTAAAAAAATAGATGAAGCAAATATGGCAAAATGTTGACAGTTGTTACATTGAGGTGACAGGTGTATGGGAATTCATTATAGAATTCTGCCTACCTTTCTGTCTGTTGAAAACTTTATAAAAGAGAAGGGGAAAAGTAGTGAGGGAGGAGGGGGCACACTAGACTCCCTAGGTTTGAATCCTAACTCTGCTGCTTTCTAGCTGAGTAAATTTGAGCAAGTTACTTAAACCTTCTGTGCCTCAGTTTCTTCATCTGCAAATTAGGCTAATAGAATGACTAACTCATAAGATTGGAGTAAAGATTAAGTGAATTAGTATCAGTAAAGGGCTTAGAACAGTGCTCAGTAAATATTAGCTGTTATAACTCCATCAACAGTGAATTTCAGTTTATAACACCCAGGGAATGCTGACTTCTGGTCCAGTCAAACCTGGCAAGGGGGTGTAGTTAGGTAAGAAAGGGCAGCTCTGCCTGAAAACATGCGGTTGGGAGTGGAGCAGCATTCAAGGTAACAGTGGTCTCAGGAGGAGGAGACTATAATTCTGAAAAGACGACATTTGGAGAGGAGGTGGAACTTCCTAGGTGTGTTTCACTACCAGGAAAGAGGTGGCTTTAAACTGCAAAGAGCAATTCATACACAAAATGCAATGAATGACACAAAGCACAAAGCTTCACCGAGTGCCAGCCTAGCAGACCACCTGGGAGAGGAGCGGGGAGTGGTGGCTGATATTTCCTTCACTCCACCTTGCCACGGGGGACCCAAGGCTCTGAAACAGGAAGCATCGGGGCAGTGCATACCTATTAATTAATACCCATTAGCGCACCCCTGACAGTGAGTGGACAGTGCAAATGTCCATAAGTGAGGCTGGTCACACACCTAATAATTCTCACTCTAGAAGATGACTAGGGTGCAATTCAAAGAGCTCATAGGGCCAAAGTTATATCTTCCTGCCTCAACTCAAGCCTCCAAAACCAAAGGAAGCATTAATGTTCCACCCTGGAAAAGAGCCAGTCACCTCAATACACTTAGCCAAAGTGAGAATAAGCAGGGTTTGCAGAATGGCTTTAGAGAGTGGTTCGGGTTCCTCTCCCTCTCTCGGAGCTCCTGGCAGGGTAGAAATCCCTATGAGTTCACCCCTCCTGACTCCTGGGTGGAGTATTGAGGTGTTTAGATTTGAGGGAGAAAACTTGCTAACACTCTTCAAACAGCCTGCTGGGCCCTTGGGGAGAATTCTCGGGGCCCAGGAAGCTATTGCTGCTGCTGTTTTTGCTTCCTCCCACCCTCCACCCAAAATGGGCCGTTTTCTGTCTGTCCTGGATCCGAGTGCCCTTTGAGTGGGACCAGCCTTAGTACACATATTCCCGGCAGCTTGGGAATGAATGGAGAGAGCAGCATGGTACAATGGAATGAAGTTCAAATTTGCAGTTGGAAGAACTGGTTTCAAGTCCCAGCTGTGCCACGTACCTGCTTGTCTGTTTGCTTATTTACCTTGGGCAAGTCAGTTAACCTCTCTGAGCCTCTGTTTTTTCATTTGTAAAATGGGAATAATACTAATATCTTGATTATGCAGGGCTTTTGTGAGATCAAGCGAGATAATGGGAGAGCAAAGGAAAATTCAAACTTCAATTTCATGCAGAACCCCAATATATAAAACAGAAAAAAATGGTGTAATACATGACTAAATATGTCTCCCCTGCTTATCTGCAGTTTCACTTTCCGAAAGTGAAAATTACTATCATGGTTTCAGTTACAACCACAGTCGAAAAATATTAAATGAAAACGTCCAGGCCGGGCACAGTGGCTCATGCCTGTAATCCCAGCACTTTGGGAGGCCAAGGCAGGTGGATCACGAGGTCAGGAGTTCGAGACCAGTCTGGCCAGTATGGTGAAATGCCCGTCTCTACTAAAATACAAAAAAATTAGCCAGGCATAGTGGCACACACCTGTAGTCCCAGCTACTCGGAAGGCTGAGGCAGGAGAATTGCTTGAACCCAGGAGGCAGAGGTTGTAGTGAGCGAAGATGGTGCCACTGCACTCCAGTCTGGGCAACAGGGCGAGACTCCATCTCAAAAAAAAAAAAAAGAGAAAGAAAACGTCCAGAAATAATTCACAAGTTTTAAATTGTGCACCATTCTGAGTAGCCCGATGAAGTATCTCACCATCCCACTCCATCCTGCCCAGGATGTGAATCATCCTTTGTCCAGTGTATCCACTACTGGCTCTCAGGTCACTTAGGAGCCCTCTAGGTTATCCGATCAACTGTTGAGGTATCACAATGCTTGTGTCAAGTAACCCTTATTTTACTTAATAATTGCCCTAAAGTGCAGTAGCAGTGATCATGGCAATTTGAATATACTGTATATTAATGTTGAATAAGCTGGAAAGTTCTTCCTTTAAGTGAAAAGGTAAAAGTTTTTGACTTAAGGATAGAAAAAAAAAATCTGTATGCTGAGGTTGCTAAGATCTACAATGAGAATGAATCTTCCCTCCATGAAATTGTGACCAAGGAAAAAGAAATTTATGCTAGTTTTGTTGTTGTACCTCAAACTGCAAAAGTTACGGCCACAGTGCATGATGAGTGCTTGGTTGAGACAGATACATAGGGTGTGGTACTATCCAAGGTTTCAAGAATCCAGTGAGGGTCTTGGAACATATCCCCCACAGGTAAGAGGAAACAACTGTATTAACATATTAAAGCAAATAACTCTAATTCAAGAGGTCGCTAGATAAATTTGAAATTGAGATGTTAGATGATAGTTACAATCTCATGTGTCCTATTTATTTCTGAATTTTATTTTGGTTACTCAGAAAAAAAAATCCTGATTCCACAAATAAGTAGTTGTAAATTGTAGCAGTATTTTAAATCTTGCAATGTTAGGATCCTCTTTAATTATCTTAATTCCAGAAGCTTCACAGAAGTATAATGGGAATTTTCCCCTCTAATAAAAATCAATAGAAAAACTGTGCTGCAACCAGATGTGCTCCAAACCTTATAGGGTTGTGGTGAGGATTTTACAAAACCATCTATGTGGAGCGCCTAATGCTGAACCTCTAAAATTATTACTTACATTTGAACATAGTATACCTCAACTGAATACACATACTTCAACATATACTAGCAGACTGGTCAGGTGCAGTGGCTTAAGCCTGTAATCCCAGCACTTTGGGAGGCTGAGGCAGGAGGGTCACCTGCGGTCAGGAGTTCGAGCCCAGCCTGGCCAGCATAGTGAAACCCTGTCTCTACTAAAAATACAAAAATTAGACAGGCGTGGTGGCAGGCACCTGTAATCCCAGCTACTTGGGAAGCTGAGGCAGGAGAAACACTTGAACCCGAGGGGTGGAGTTTGCAGTGAGCTGAGACCAAGTCATTGCACTCCAGCCTGGGCAGCAAGAGCAAAACTGCATCTCAAAAAAAAAAAAATTAAATAAATAAATAAATATATATATACACACACACACACACACACACACACACACACACTAGCAGATATCAGGAATAGGAGAAGGAGGAAAGTGTGACGAAGTATTTAAGTGGACTAATGTCACCATCTAATAAATAGTAGGTACCCAGTTAATAGTAGCAATTATTATTTGAACTCATGAAAGTGATCCGATAAGCCATCTAAGCAGCTCAGAACAGAAGAATTGCTCAACTGAGCCACAGAATTGTGAGGAATTATAAATGTTTTAAGCTACTAAGTTTGGGGTTGATTTGTTATAGGGTAAAATGTCATACAAAATGTAATGGACATCTTTTACTCTCACCTTCCCAACATCCATTTCCCTTTTATGCTTACAGCACCCAATTTTTCTCCACCATTTTCAGTCCATGTGATTGTGGAAAATCAGGGTCTACCAAGGTTTCAGAGGTGGGCACGTGAAGTAGGCCTGCCAATCACAGCATTGCATCTGTAGCAGATACCTCTGACTGGCTAACCTAACTCCCATCCCCAACCTCCTTCCCCCTAACTCACCTCGGTGAGAGACTCTGGAGGAGCAAATGGTTCTCCCAGCCTCCCTTCAAGGTAGAAGCGGCTTTGTGACTCAGAATAGCCAGTAGGTTGTAAACAAGTCTGCCAAGTACCTCTGGGAAATCTCTTCATTACTCGTAAAGCTCGTAAAGGAACAGTTAATGCTAATACCTTCCCTTTTCTTCTTACTGCCTTGAACATGGTTGTGATTTTTGGAGCTGTAGCAGCTATTCTGTAACCATGAGGCAAAGGCCAAGAGCATTTTGAAGTTGTGATTCATTCCTGAACCACTAAACCAGCAGTGGCAACTGTCTACCTCTAGGCTTCTTGTTATACAAGCAAAATAAATCTCTATTTTTAAAACACCCCTGATCTTTGTGCTGATAGTCAAGTTGTCTGTTCTTTTTTTTTTTTTTTTTTTTTTTTGAGACAGAGTGGCTGAAGTGCAATGGCACGATCTTGGCTCACTGTAACCTCTGCCTCCTGGGCTCAAGCAATCCTCCAACCTCAGCCTCCCCAGTAGCTGGGACTACAGGTGTGTGCCACCAGGCCAGGCTAATTTTTGTTTTTTTGTGTGTGTGGAGACAAGGGTTTTGCCATGTTGCCCAGGCTAGTCTTGAACTCCTAGGCTCAAACGATCCACTCACCTCGGCCTCCCAAAGTGCTGGGATTACAGTGTCTGTCTCTTATAGTTGAAAACATTTCTTAGCCTGGTGTGGTAGAGCATGCCTGTAGTCCCAGCTATTCAGGAGGCTGAGGTGGGAGGATCACTTGATCCCAGGAGGTGGAGACTGCAGTGAGCTGTGATCCAGCCTCTGCATTCCAGCCTGGCAACAGAGTGAGACCTTGTCTCAAACAAACAAACAAACAAACAAACAAGGCATTCCTAATACAGCATCTCACTAACTATAATAATTAGTCATAAAGAAAATAGAAGAAAATAGAAACCACTACCAATTGCAAATAATTTATTTTATTTTATTTTATTTTATTTTTATTATTATTATTTTGAGACAGAGTCTTGCTCTGCTGCCCAGGCTGGAGTGCAGTAAGGTGATCTCGGCTCACTGCAACCTCTACCTCCCGGGTTCAAGCAATTCTCCTGCCTCAGCCTCCCATGTAGCTGGGATTACAGGTGCCCTCCACCATGCCCGGCTAATTTTTGTGTAGTTTTTAGTAGAGACAGCATTTCGCCATGTTGGCCAGACTGGTCTCAAACTCCTGACCTCATAATCTGCCCGCCTCGGCCTCCCAAAGTGCTGGGATTACAGGGGTGAGCCACCATGCCTGGCCATGCAAATGACTTTTATATTCTTCTTTGTAACTTTCACTATTTATAAATGCCTTTAGTAAGCATGCATTTATCGGGGAACCTGCCCCAATAGTCACGTAGGTTCTTTTCTATTTTCCCTAAGCATCAGCCAATTTGAGAGATAAAGGGACAGAGTACAAAAGAGAGAAATTTTAAAGCTGGGCGTCCAGGGGAGACATCACATGTCGGTAGGTTCCGTGATGTCCCACAAGCTGCAAAACCAGCAAGTTTTTATTAGGGACTTTCAAAAGGGGAAGGAGTATACGAATAGGTGTGGGTCACAGAGGTCACATACTTTACAAGGTAATAGAATATCACAAGGCAAATGGAGGCAGGGCAAGATCACAGGACCACAGGACTGGGGCAAAATTAAAATTGCTAATGAAGTTTCGAGCACCATTGTCATTGATAACATCTTATCAGGATACAGGGTTTGAGAGTAACCAGTCTGACCAAAATTTATTAGGTGGGAATTTCCTCGTCCTAATAAGCCTGGGAGCACTATGGGAGACTGGGGTCTATTTCACCTCTACAGCCTCGACCATAGCAGGCAGCCATGCCCAGGGGGGCCAGTTCAGAGACCCACCCCTAGGCATGTATTCTCTTTCCCAGGGATGTTCCTTGCTGAGAAAAAGAATTCAGCGATATTTCTCCCATTTGCTTTTGAAAGAAGAGACTGCTCACCGGCGGTCAGAGTTTAAGGTTATCTCTCTTGTTCCCTGAACATCGCTGTTATCCTGTTCTTTTTTCAAGGTGCCCAGATTTCATATTGCACAAACACACATGCTCTACAATTTGTATAGTTAACGCAATTATCACAGGGTCCTGAGGCAACATACATCCTCCTCGGCTTACGAGATGACAGGATTAAGAGATTAAAGTAAAGACAGGCATAGGAAATCACAAGGGTATTGACTGGGGAAGTGATAAGTGTCCATGAAATCTTCACAATTTATGTTTAGAGACTGCAGTAAAGACAGGCATAAGAAATTATAAAAGTATTAATTTGGGGAACTAATAAATGTCCATGAAATCTTCACAGTCCATGTTCTTCTGCCATGGCTTCAGCCGGTCCCTCCGTTTGGGGTCCCTGACTTCCCACAACATGCATTTACTTGGTAACCAGGGGAAAAAATGAAGATTGAAATAATTTGATAGCAACAACTCAGACTTTCAAGACCCAAAGGATGGAAGCAGGCTGATCCATTGTCAGGAGACAGACCAGGTGTGACCTTTTGATGTTCAAGTTTCCTTATCTATAAAGTGGAGATAATATTTCCTAAGTATCTACTTCCTATGAACAATGTTAGAATTAAATAACATAGTTTTCTTGGGAAGCTGAGGTGGGCAGATCACTTGAGGTCAGGAGTTTGAGATTAGCCTGACCAACATGGTAAAACCCTGTTTCTACTAAAAATACAAAAATTAGCCAGGCATGGTGGCATGCACCTGTAATCCCAGCTACTCGGGAGGCTGAGGCAGGAGAATCACTTGAATCCAGGAGATGGAGGGTGCAGTGAGCTGAGATCGTGCCGCTGCACTCCAGCCTGGGTGACAGAGCAAAACTCTGTCTCAAAATAAATAAATAAATAAACAAATAAATAAATAACATAGTGTTCTTTTTTCTTTTTTGAGACAGAGTCTTACTCTGTTGCCCAGGCTGGAGTGCAGTGGCATGATCTCGGCTCACTGCAACCTCCATCTCCTGGATTCAAGTGATTCTCCTGCCTCAGCCTCCCAAGTAGCTGGGATTACAGGTGCCCACCACCACGACTGGCTAATTTTTGTATTTTTAGTGGAGAGTGGGTTTTACCATGTTGGTCAGGCTGGTCTCAAACTCTTGACCTCAAGTGATCTGCCTGCCTCGGTCTCTCAAAGTGCTGGGATTACAGACGTGAGCCACTGCACCTGGCCATAAGATAGTATTTATAAATGTACATGGTGTTAAATAAAGATTCATTTTTTATGCTTCCTAATAAAATAAGAGTTCAGATATAAGTGACGGGCGTTAGTGGGTGCAGGAAAGAAAGATTGGGGTGAACCAATGAGTGGGTAATGAAAATGTAGAGCTTGGTATGGTGGCTCATGCCTGTAATCCCAGCACTTTGAGAGGCTGAGGCAGGAGGATCACTTGAGTCCAGGAGTTCAAGACTAGCTTGGGCAGCATGGCAAAACCCTGTCTCTACAAAAAATACAAAAATTAGCTGGGCATGGTGGTGCACACCTGTGGTCCCAGCTACTCGGGAGGCTGAGGTGGGAGAATCACTTGGACCCAGAAGGCGGAGGCTGCAGTGAGCCAAGATCATGCCACTGCACTCCAGCCTGGGCAGCAAAGTGAGACCCTGTCTCAAACAAACAAACAAACAAAAAACAAAAAAAAGAAAGAAAGAAAAAGAAAATATGGTATATATACACCATGGAATACTAGTCCGCCATAAAGAAGAACAAATAATGTCTTTTGCAGAAACTTGGATGAAGCTGGAGGCATTATTCTAAGTGAAGTAACTCAGGAATGGAAAAGCAAATACCTTATGTTCTCACTTACAAGTGGGAGCTAAGCTATGGATACACAAAGGCATAAAGAGTGGTATAATGGACTTTGGATACTCAGAATGGGGAGAATGGGAAGTGGGTGAGGGGTAAAAAAACCACATACTGGGAACACTGTACACTACTCAGGTGATAGATGCACTAAAAACCGAAGTCTGCTTCACCAAAATACAATTCATCCATGTAACTAAAAACCACTGTACCTTAAAAGCTATTGAAATTGTAAAAATGAAAGACTGGAGTGAGAGCTTGGACGGCTATTTTCAGGTCCCACCCCATATTCCCAGTGCCTACTGCATTCCATCTTGTGAGGCCTCTGTCCTCCTTGTGCAGGGGCAGCCCAGCACAGACCACTTCATTTGCCTCTTCAAAAAGGGAAACCCCAAGCCAGCGCCACCTCTCATCCTACTGACTCTCCTCTGAGATCAGGCCCTTTTGTTGTTGATCCTGAGTCGTTTTTACCCTCACGAGTCATGTGTGTCCTTGAGGTTGCTCTTTACAAAATTCAGGGAGTAACTCCCTTTCCCCCTGCGTACCTGCAGCATTTTTTTTTTTTTTTTTTTTGAGACAGAGTCTTGCTCTGTCGCCCAGGCTGGAGTGCAATGGTGCGGTCTCAGCTCACTGCAACCTCTGCCTCCCAGGTTCAAGCAATTCTCCTGTCTCCGCCTTCCGAGTAGGTAGAATTACAGGCATGCGCCACCACGTCTGGCTAATTATTGTATTTTTAGTAGAGATGGGGTTTCACAATGTTGGCCAGGCTGGTCTCCAACTCCTGACCTCAGGTGATCCACCCGCCTCAGCCTCCTGAAGTGTTGGGATTACAGGCGTGAGCCACCGCGCTGGCCACTGCAGCATTTTTCTGGCCCTCGACAGCTCTGTGTCTGTGACTCTTCTATTCTCTCCTTTCTCCCTCTCTAGAGGCTAATTGACATGCACAGACATGTTCTTCAGGGTTGTGTCCTCAATGTTAAAAAATGTGAATGGCAAGTAAGATTTCTAGTCTGAAGTTTATCCTTTGAAGTCTTTTAACAAGTCACCAGGGATTGAGAGGGGCGCAGAGATGGGGCCTGAGAGCTGTTGCTGCTTCCAGGAAAGGGATGGAATGCCCCCACAGTTCCCAGACAACCCCTGAGAAATTCCTTCAGAGATTTCCTCTGATGCTTTTCTGGAGACCTTTCCAAGAATGCTGGAGAATGCAGGCTTCTTAATCCATAGAGAGACCACAGTAAGTAGAGACTCTCAGAGCTCTACTTACACGCAGCCACGCCACACATGCTCAGCTCCCACACAGGGCATTTACCTCCAAGCACTCACACAGAGGTCTGTGCTCACACCCAGCTCCCAAGCCAGAAGCATGAAAACAAGAGCTATCTACAGCCTGCCTACAACATGTGATGCTATTACATACCTTGTTCTCAAATCATGACACTAATTCTGTATAGTAGGAATTATTAATTACCTTTTCACGGATGAAATTGGCTGAGGAATGTGAAGTCGCTTGCCTAAAGTCACAGAGCCGGCAAGTGGCAGAACCAGATTCCAGTCCCAAGTGAATCTGTTCCTTCTGCTGTGCCAAGCTGACTTCCGGTGCAGCCAGCAGCTGGGCCCTAACAGGATCAGTTAGTGTGAAGAGCACCCAGCCTCATGGATTTCCAGAGAAGGAGCTCTTTTCCTCTGTCAGGTAATTGGATTTTCTGCAGAAGGGAATCTTGGTGCTTAAATAAGTTTGATCAATGATTTACACCCTCTCTCTCCTCCCTCTTCCACTTGCAGGAATTGAATTTTGATTGAAAAATAAGCTTTAACCATTCACTTCATTCGTCACTGAAAATTGCTTCAGTCAAATGGCAGAGAAAACAGCCAAAGATAAACGTGGAGCTGAACCACTTCCTTCAGCCTCTCACCCAGCCCGGGGAGAGCTCCTATAGCACCCATGGAACAGCAACCTTAAAAACCACAAAGTACCACTTCTACCAGCTGGCAGCAGTTACACTAAATTTGTCTAAGTAAAGATAGTTTCATCCAACTCTAGACTTGGGGAAGGTCATGTTTCAGAGATGAAAAAAACAGACATGATTGTTTAATTCACGTAGGGAAAGAAGAAGCACTTTACACATGTTATCCACACCTGGCCTTCCCAAGCTGCCTCTCCAGAAATCCTAGGATGGAAGAAACGAAATGCATCTATCCAAGTGGCTGGTATTAGAGAAAGGGTTCTTGTGGCTCGGACACATACATCACCCACAGACTGGCGTGCATGTGCATGCACTCACCACACACACAAATACATAGGCTTCAAAAAGACACACAGAGCCCCGGGCATACTTCTTAAAACATGATAGTGATTCAACACGCATTAATAGGAGAAGACTTTGTCTATAAAGGAAACAGAAAGTAGAGTGAAAGTAAGAATTCATTTTATTTGTTGAATAAACAAATAAATAATCAAATAAATATGCCTTCCTGTGACAAATATGTATTGAGTAACTACTACATGCTAGCCTCAGTTCAGGGGTAGGGATATAACAGTGAGCAATAAGTGGCAAATAAAGCACAGCCCCTGGCCTAAATGTGTTTACAGCCTTTTGGGGAAGAAAAACAATAAACGGACAATTTCAAAACCCTATGATAAATGCTATAGTATCAACTTTGTTTAGGTTTTGACTCTTACATTCCATCCAGTTTTCCCCAAATTAATCTACAGATCAAACACAGTACCAATCAAAACTCCAGCAGGATTTTTGTAGAATTGACAAGCAGAATTACAAAAGTCATATGGAAATGCAAAGGACGTGGAATAGCTAAAAACAACTTTCAAAAAAAAAGAATTTAATTGGAGGACCAAGTCTATCTGAATTCAATACTTATTATGAAGCTAAGGCAATCATGACAGCTGGCAGCAGTTACACTAAATTTGTCTAAGTAAAGGTAGTTTCAGCCGGGTGCGGTGGCTCACCCCTGTAATCCCAGCACTTTGGGAGGCCGAGGCGGGCAGATCACCTGAGGTCAGGAGTTTGAGACCAGCCTGGCCAACATGGTGAAACCCCATCTCTACTGAAAATACAAAAAGCAGCTGAGTGTGGTGGCTCACACACGTAATCCTAGCTTCTTGGGAGGCTGAGGTAGGACAATCACTTGAACCCGGGAGGCGGAGGCTGCAGTGAGCTGAGCGCGCACCATTGCACTCCAGCCTGGGCAACAAGAGTGAAACTCTGTCTCAAAAAAAAAAAAAAAGTTACTCCAAGTAAAGAGTGTAGAACAGTGCCTGGCACATGGTAGGCACTCTGCAAGTGTTGCCATTATAATTGTAATAATAATTATTATTATTATTATTATTTTGTTGTTTGAGATGGAGTTTCACTGTTGTTGCCCAGGCTGGAGTGCAATGGTGCCATCTTGGCTCACCACAACCTCCACTTCCCGGGTTCAAGCGATTCTCCTGCCTCAGCCTCCCGAGCAGCTGGGATTGCAGGCATGCGCCACCATGCCTGGCTAATTTTGTATTTTTAGTAGAGATGGGGCTTTTCCATGTTGGTCAGGCTGGTCTCGAACTCCCAACCTCAGGTGATCCACCCACCTTGGCCTCCCAAAGTGCTGGGATTATAGGCATGAGCCACCGCACCCGGACTAATTATTATTATTATTATTATTATTATTATTACCACTTTGTTTGTTTTTGTCCCTGGACTGGGCATGGCAGACCAACTTGACGATCGGGAGGGATCAAAATAAGAACCAGGAGAGAGGTCTCGGGGCCACTGTCCTCACTAACCTCGCTCCCACCCCATCCACCCCAAATCCTTCTTTCCTCCCCTCTGCCCGCCAGTGTCCTAGCTCCCACCACCCGGCTTGTCTTTCTCCCTCCCCCTGAGTTACAGAATTAAGCCTGGGAGGTGGGGAAGGGGAGGAAGAAGAGGAGATAGTGAAAGATGGAGAAAGAAAAGAGGAAGAATGAAGATTTCTCCTTCCTTCCTTCCTTCCTTCCTCTCTCTCTCTCTTCTTTCTTTATTTTTTTCTTTGAGACGGAGTTTTGCTCTTGTTGCCCAAGCTGGAGTGCAATAGAGCGATCTTGGCTCACTGCAACCTCCACCTCCCAGGTTCAAGTGAATTCTCCTGCCTCAGCCTCCCGAGTAGCTGGGATTACAGGGACACGCCACCACACCCAGCTAATTTTTTGTATTTTTAGTAGAAACAGGGTTTCACCATGTTAGCCAGGCTGGTCTCGAACTCCTGACCTCAGGTGATCTGCCCGCCTTGGCCTCCCAAAGTGCTGGGATTACAGGTGTGAGCCACCTCACCCGGCCCCCTCCCCTCCCCTCTTCTCTTCTCTTCTCTTCTCTTCTCTTCTCTTCTCTTCTCTTCTCTTCTCTTCTTTCTTTCCCTTCCTTCCTTCCTTCCTCTCTTTCTCTTTTTTTTTTTTTTTTTTGAGACGGAGTCTCGCTCTGTCACCCAGGCTAGAGTGCAGCGGCGCAATCTTGGTTCACTGCAACCTCTGCCTCCCGGGTTCAAGCAACGCTCTGCCTCAGCCTCCTGCGTAGCTGAGATTACAGGCGCCCGCCACCACGCCCGGGTAATTTTTTTGTATTTTTAGTAGAGACGGGGTTTCACCATCTTGGCCAGGCTGGTCTTGAACTCCTGACCTGGTGATCCACTCGCCTTGGCCTCCCAAGTTGCTGGGATTACAGGCATGAGCCACCATGCCCGGCCTTCTTCCTTTCGTTCTTTCTCTCCTTCCTCCCTCCCTCCCTTCCTTCCTTCCTGTCTCTCGCTTCCTCTCTTCCTTTCTCTTTTCTTTTCTTTCTTTCTCTCTCTCTCTTTCTTTCTTAATTCTTTCTTTCTTTCTCTTTCTCTCTCTCTTTCCTTCTTTCTTTCCTTCTTTCTTTCTTGTCAGACTTTCAGAAATGGGCCAAGATCCATTCTAGCCCTGCACTTTGGTAGGAGGAAGCGTTATCATGTTGTAATCACTCTGTATTGGGCAGGGCTCTCGTCCCCAGGGCCACACAGCCAGATGCTAGCCCAGGTCCATCTCACTCTGAAGTCCGGACTCTTTCTGTCTCCTGCAACTGGGAATAGACTGGGAGTATCTACCCCACCCAGCTCCCTTAGGAAGATGTGTCCTGCCCCCATCCTTATCCCTGCCAGCGGGCTCCTGGGTCCTCCTCAATTTCCCCCTACACTCTGCCCCCAAACCCCACCAGCCTGACAAACCCCTCCCCTCAGCTAACGCAGACTGACTTGCTCCACTCTTCCCCACCCACCAGCCCCAATTTCTGCCAACTTCTTCGTACCCGGTTTTCTGACCTTAAGATGGGGATTAAATTTTTAATCAGCAAATTACAATGTTCGCTGAGTTCATGTCTTCGGTAAATGTCACGGTGGAGTCCACACCCCTTCCAGTCCCTACCCCACATGAATGAGCCTATGTCCATGGGGAGAGGGAGAAGGTGGGGTGGGGCTTTCCGTGAGCTGGAGGCATTGTGTCCTTTGAGTGCCTTCCTCTGAGCAGCATAGGGCTGGGCATGGCCGGGGCTGAGCAGGGCGCGTGGAGCTCTGTGAGTTCCCCCATTTCTGTTTCCTGTCATTTCAGGCTGCAGCATTCCAGAGGCTGAGCCTGGTTGCCTGCTGGCTTTGGTTATAGTGGTTCCTACCTCCTCCTACCGGGACTTGCTTTCTCCTCTCTTCTCTTCTGCCTGGGTCAGAATGCTGTGATGGCTTTTTCTCCCTCTTTCTCTCTCTCTCTCTCTCTCTCTCTCACACACACACACACACCACCACCACCACCACCACCGCCACCACCAGGCAGGACTAGCATATAGAAGCTCAGAGCAGGGAGTGGAGTGGGAGAGCTGAGAAATAATGGAGATGGTCCTATGCTTTTAGGATCACCCCCTCCCGTACCATGTGAGTGACCTTAGGAAAGGAAGAAAGTAGGCCATTCTTCCTCCCAGGGTCCTCGTGGTTTGAGCAAGAGACAAATCCCCACTTCCCAACACATACCTGATGACCCAGAGGCCACACAGGAACATGTGCAATAGCTGTCAGGCCATGAATGTTGGAGCACAGCGTCACCCAGGAGAGCAGCCTGAGGGAGGGCAGGGTGGGGTAGGAGAGAGAGGTGGGACTTCTTTGGAGGAGCCACTTGGGAATCCAGTGGGCGAGGGGAGACAAGAGGAGGCTTAGACAGGATCAGCCCTGCTGCATCCGCATCTCCCCTAATGAAATATTTACCAGAGACTAATTTTTCCTCAAAGGAAACTCAATTCTCAGACCCTCCATCCATGTATTAATTTTAGAGTGATTTAGTTTTCCCTGCTTTGGGGACAGGAGGAAATACTGCAGAACAGCATCCCAAACGTGGTGTTTATTCTTTGGTAGGACAGCACTCTCCCTCCAGCTCACACCCCCAGCCCTACCCTCTCCATCACAGGAAATAAGATCAAATGCTTATTTCATGCTGAGTGCTCTAAACAGACTCATGTATTTCTGGTAAATCACTGTAAACATACTATAATTTACCAATAAGGCAACTGAGACACAGTGAGGTTAAATAACTTGCCTAAAGACACTCAGCAAATAAGTGGTGGAACCTGGTTCTCTCGGATGAAACTCGTCTCTACTTTCTCTACATAGAGAAGACATATAAAGCTCTCTCTGGGAATCCAGGGCATTGACAGTTCCAGGAGCCCTTGACAATGGCTAGGGAAGGCCAGGACTCAGATGTGAGGCACAGTGTGACAGATGCAAGAGTAGACAGGCACCTGGAACAAGTGGACACAGAACCATTAACAGCAGTGAGGCACCAACCATGGGGCATCAGCCTAGAAGAGCCACAGAAACTATTCCTTCTGTCCATTCACTTCTCAGACAAGGACTCCAAGTCCAGAGCAGAAATGAACTGGCCAAAAGTGCCCATCATAGGGACAAGCAACATGGCTCTCAAGAGAGGCTTCTGTGGTCTTCTCTGACCCTTGATCTCTTTACCACTGTTCCTCATGGCATTTCCTCTACCTTCATGGCATTTCCACTACCTAGGGAGTAGCTCTGCCAACATGAGACAGCTGTCCTTTCCACCCTCAGTCTCCACCCTGGGCCGCTCTGACTGCCCAGGGGGAGGAGGCCAGCTGGAATATAGATACCAGGCAGTCATGGATGTTTAGAGGGAGACAAGGTATTGCCAAGATGGACCTACTGAGAGACTTGGTAGGAGCTCAGCCCAGAAGACCCTGAAAACTGGAGATCAGACAGAGTCACATGCGAAGTGGGATACCTTGGGTTCCTTGGACCATAGAGACTCAAAGTCCAGGTCTGTGGTTTACACAGGGCTCAGGTCTGCAGCTATGCTCAAGGCCCTGATGGCGGCACACCAAGGTCTAGGTCCAGCCATTTAATAGCTATGTGGTTTGTGAACAAGTTCTGTATCTTCATCTGAAGAATAGGAATTTTTTGTTGTTGTTTGTTTTTGTTTTGAGATGGAGTCTTGCTCTGTATGCCCAGGCTAGAGTGCAATGGCACGATCTCGGCTCACTGCAATCTCCGCCTCCCAAGTTCAGGCGATTCTCCTGTCTCAGCCTCCCGAGTAGCTGGGATTACAGGCATGCACCACCACGCCCAGCTATTTTGTATTTTTAGTAGAGATGGGGTTTCTCCATGTTGATTAGACTGGTCTCGAACTCCTGATCTCAGGTGATCCACCCACCTCGGCCTCCCAAAGTGCTGGGATTACAGGCGTGAGCCACCGCGCCTGGCCCCAGAATAGGATTTTAACAACTCTTTCCTCAAAGAAATCATGTGCAGACACTCACACTTTGGCAAGTCACAAGTTTCGCCAATCTTTTCCAATCCTCCTCCTATGTCAGGCCCTTCTCCCTTTTCCCATTTCTCCTGGCCTTTCAACTAGGAGTTAGTCAGGTTGTGATCTTTTTTTTTCTTTTTTTGAGACAAAGTCTTGCTCTGTCATCCATGTTGGAGTGCAGTGGTGCGACCAAGGCTCACTGCAGCCTCAACTTCCTGGGATCAAGTAATCCTCCCACCTCAGTCTCCCAAGTAGCTGGCAGTACATGCACAAGCCACCACACCTAGTTAGTTTTTTAATTTTTTGTAGAGATGGAGTCTCACTATGTTGCCCAGGCTGGTCTCAAACTCCTGGGCTCAAGCAATCCTCCCATCTTGGCCTCCCAAAATGCTGGGATGACAGGAATGAGCCACCGTGCCCGGCCCAGGTTGCAATCTTTAATTTACTCAAGTACAAAGTACTTCTACCACCTTCTGCCCATCTTCCTTCCCATTTGTTGTGGAGAATGAAGGACACAAAGTACTATATAGAAATGCTTTGACAATGGCCAAATGTTTCTCAAATATTAAACACATATCCAGACCTGTGCAAAGCCTTTCTACAAGGAGTGTCAGGAAATCAATGAGTTTTCAAGTCTTTGCCTTCCCCACCAGAGGTGGATTAAAGACCAGAGAGGGCCTACCTGACCTGGGTTGCTAGTCTGCCCAGCACTTTCTCCAGGCTCTATAAGTCAACCATCCAAAATAAGTTACCCCCCAGTTTACCTAGCTTAGATGAACACATCACTGCAAACCTAGTTTAAACAATATATTTTCTTGTAAAGATGGGATCTCACTATACTGCCCAGAGTGGTCTTGAACTACAGGGCTCAAGCAACCCTACCTCCTCGGCCTCCCAAAGTGCTGAGATTACAGGTGTGAACCACTGTGCCTGGCCTAAACCTAGTTTTTAAATGGAGCACAGAGACTTTTTCTTCCTCCATAAAAGATTAACTGTTACAGCAATTGCTCTCTTGCCAAAAATAACTAGCAAAACAGACAAAATATATGAAATAGCTATTTTCAGACACTGGGTAACAGTCAGTACAGGACAGTTGCAAAAAGAACTTCACTCTATTTTTTGATGGTTGATTACTGATAACTTTCAAGTCCTATCTCTTCCCTTTCTCCTTTTTTGACCCACCTTGACAAGAAGGCCACATGCTTTCTCCCTTAGTGCCAGCAAGAAAAGTTCAAAAGCTGGCCTATGGGCAGGAACTCTCACCCTGGCCCCAATTGCATTAGAAACTCAAGTCACTCACCCCTCCCTTTGCTCAAGTTATTCCAGAGGGCTTGAGGGCCTGCTCTGCTCTCCCTAGAAAGTCCCATTATGTGGGCAATAAATGTTTTCATACCCTCTTGGTGCATGTGTGGCATCATTAGTCTTGATATCCAAACCAATTTTGGGTGGGGAATTGATCCACCCCAATGGGGCAACCACAAAACACCAGCTATGCCTGTAAGAAGGGAAACAAATGAGGTAAGACCTATGAGTCCACCAACGTATAGCCTGGAGAAAGTTCCCAGGGCACAATTCAGAAGGAGAAACCCAAACAGCTCAGCAATCTCACAAAACTGAGGACTCAGAGATCAGAGTTTGGAGATGCTGAGGCATCTAAAAACTGTGGGAAAAACACCAGAGAAAAGGACACTGCATAGAGACTGAGCTCCAGAAATCTACAGAAGATTCCAAGTCCTTGGCCAAATATCAATCTGTATATGTTTGGGGTAAAACCCCTTGAGGCTGAGACTGGGCAAGAACAACTTGCAGGGAAGGAGCAACTACCTGGGAGCTGGAAGATCAACACTATCCAGAGCTGACACAGGGCTGCGTATCATCTGACTTCTCTCTACACCTCTGGAGAGACCATAGAAAGGCCACACATTGTAAGAAGTACAACACAATGCAGCAAGTCAGAAAAGTCTAACAAAAGGCAGACACTCAATAACATAAAATTCACAATGTCCAGCATCCAATCAAAATTTACTAGGCATACCAAGAAGCAGGAACATGTGATTCATAGCTGGAAGATAAAATCAGTCCATACAAACAGACCAAAAAAATGACAGAAATGATGAGCTTAGCAGACATAAATGTTAAAATAGTTATTACAAACATGTTCTTTATGCCCAATTAGGCCAAGAATATGAAAATGAAAGAAATGGGCCAAGCACAGTGATTCACACCTGTAATTCTAGCACTTTGGGAGGCTGAGATAGGAGGATCACTTGAGCCCAGGAGTTTGAGACCAGCTTGGGCAACATAGTAAGACCTCATCTCTACCAAAAAATAAAAAATAAAAATAAAAAACCAGCCAGACATGGTGGTATGCACCTATAGTCCTAGCTACTCAGGAGGCTGAGGTAGGAAGATCACTTGAATCCAGTAGTTTGAAGCTACAGTGAGCTATGATTGTGCCATTACACCCCAGCCTGGGTGACAGAGGAATATCCTGTCTCTAAACAAACAAACAACAACAACAACAAAACAAACAAATGAAAACAAAAAAAAAAAAAGAAAGAAAATAAGAGAAATCAAAAATATAAAAAATATTAAAATAGTACTTCTAGAGATGAAAAATACAACAAGCTGAGTTGAAAAATACATTGGATGGGAATAAGAGCAGATAGGACCCTACAAATTTAAAAAAATCAGAAAAGAAAACATACTAGGCCAGGTGCAGTGGCTCACACCTGTCATCCCACACTTTGGGAGGCCAAGGTGGAAGGATCATGTGAACCCAGGAGTTTGAGACCAGCCTGGGCAACATAGGGAGACCAATGTGGTGGTGCACACCTGTGGTCCCAGCTACTCAGGATGCTGAGGTGGGACGATTGCTTAAGCCCAGGAAGTTGAAGTTACAGTGAGCCATGATCATGCCACTGTACTTCAATCTGGACAACAGAGCAAGACCCTGTCTCAAAAAAAAAAAAAAAAAAAGAACCATACTAAAATGAAGCAAAGAGAGAAAAAAGATTGAAAAAAAAATGATCTTGTTCCTCAGTGACTTAGTGGACAATGTCAAGTGGTCTTGTTTTACAAGTAATTAGACATGCACAACATGTACACAATGTACATATAATTGAAGTCCCAGAAGTAAAGGAAAGAAAGGAGGAAGAAGGAAAAAATAATGGTTGATAATGTTCCAAATTTGACTAAAAATGTAATCTTAATTATCCAAGTAGCTCGACAAACCCCAAGCAGGATAAAAAGCAAACAAAAAGGCCGGGCGTGGTGGCTCACGCCTGTAATCCCAGCACTTTGGGAGGCCAAGGTGGGCAGATTATCTGAGGTTGGAAGTTTGAGACCAGCCTGACCAACACGGAGAAACCCCATCTCTACTAAAAATACAAAATTAGTCGGGCATGGTGGCATGTGACTGTAATCCCAGCTACTCGGGAGACTGAGGTAGGAGAATCGCTTGAACCCAGGAGGTGGAGGTTGCAGTGAGCCAAGATCGCGCCATTGCACTTCAGCCTGGGCAACAAGAGTGAAACTCTGTCTCAAAAAGAAAAAAACCCACACAAACAAAAAATCCCCTACACCAAGACAAATAATAACCAAATATTGAAAACTAGTAATAAAGAAAAACTCTGAAAGGCAGTCAGAGATTAAAAAAAAGACACTACCTACGGAGAAACTAAGATAATAAAGAATGGGCCGGGCGCGGTGGCTCACGCCTGTAATCCCAGCACTTTGGGAGGACAAGGCGGGCGGATCACGAGGTCAGGAGATCGAGACCATCCTGGCTAACACAATGAAACCCCGCCTCTACTAAAAATACAAAAAAAAATTAGCTGGGCGTGGTGGCGGGCGCCTGCAGTCCCAGCTACTAAGGAGGCTGAGGCAGGAGAATGGCGTGAACCTGGGAGGCGGAGCTTGCAGTGAGCCGAGATCGCACCACTGCACTCCAGCCTGGGCGATAGTGCGAGACTCCGTCTCAAGAAGAAAAAAAAAAAAGAATGACCGTAGGTTTCTCATCAAAAACTAAGCAAGCCAGAAGGCAACACTACAATATCTTTTTTTTTTTTTTTTTTTTTTTAGACGGAGTCTCGCTCTGTCACCCAGGCTGGAGTGCAGTGGCGCGATCTCGGCTCACTGCAAGCTCCACCTCCCTGGTTCACGCCATTCTCTTGCCTCAGCCTCCCGAGTAGCTGGGACTACAGGCGCCCGCCACCAAGCCCGGCTAATTTTTTTGTATTTTTAGTAGAGACGGGGTTTCACCGTGTTAACCAGGATGGTCTCGATCTCCTGACCTTGTGATCCGCCCATCTCGGCCTCCCAAAGTGCTGGGATTACAGGAGTGAGCCACCACACCCAGCCAATAAAAGAACTTTGAAATACAAGAGACAAAACCTGATAGAATGAAAAGGAGAAACAGACAAATCTACAAGTGTGCTTGGAGATGTCAACGCTGCTTTCTCAGTATTTTTTTTTTTTCTTGAGGCAGTCTCACTCTGTCACCCAGGCTGGATTGCAGTGGCGCGATCTCAGCTTGCTGCAACCTCCGCCTCCCGGGTTCAAGCAATTCTCCTGCCTCAGCCTCCCAAGTAGCTGGAATTACAGGCGCCCGCCACCACGCCCAGCTAATTTTTGTATTTTTCTTTTTTTTTTTTTGAGACGGAGTCTTGCACTGTCGCCCAGGCTGGAGTGCAGTGGCACGATCTCTGCTCACTGCAAGCTCCGCCTCCTGGGTTCCCGCCATTCTCCTGCCTCAGCCTCCCGAGTAGCTGGGACTACAGGCGCCCGCCACCGCCCAGGCTAATTTTTTGTATTTTTAGTAGAGACGGGGTTTCACCATGTTGGCCAGGCTGGTTTTGAACTCCTGACCTCAGGTGATCCACCTGCCTGGGTCTCCCAAAGTGCTGGGATTACAGGCGTGAGCCACCGCGCCTGGCCCTACTTTCTCAGTAATTATAGAAGTAGACATAAAAGTAAACACTCAAGACATAAAATACTTGAGTAATCCTACCAACCAACTTGATCCGATTGAATTTATAGAACCCACCCAACAACAGTAGAATACATATGTTTTTCAAGTGAATAGAAAATATTTATCAAGATAGACCATACCCTGGGCCAAAAAAATAAGTCACAATGTATTTGAAAGGATTAAAACCATACAGAGTATGGCCAGGCATGGTGAAATATGGTGAACCCTGGCCAATATGGTGAAACCCCATCTCTACCAAAAAATACAAAAATTAGCTGTGTGTGGTGGCCTGTGCCTGTAGTCCCAGCTACTTGGGAGGCTGAGGTGGGAGAATCGTTTGAACCCAGGAGGTGGTGGTTGCAGTGAGCCGAGATCGAGCCACTGCACTCCAGCCTGGGTGACAGAGTAAGACCCTGTCTCAAAAAATAAAATAAAATAAAACCATATAGAGTATATCCTCTGACTATAATGTAATTAAACCCAATAACAGAAAGATATGTGGAAAATCCCCAAATATTTGGAAATGAAATACACTTCTTAATGACCTATGGGTAAAAGAAGAAATCACAAGGGCAATTAGAAAATATTTTGAATTGGATAAAAATAAAACACAATATAGCAAAATCTGTGAGAAGCAGTTAAGCATCCAAGGAAATTAAGAGTATCAAATGTTTATAGTGGAAAAGAATGAAGATCTCAAATCAGTGATCTATGTTTCCATCTCATGAGACTAGAAAAAGAAAAGCAAAGTAAACCCAAAGTAAGCAATGGGAAGCAAAAATAAAGATGAGCAAAATAATTAGAGAAGACCCCCTCACCAGCCTGGGCAACATAGCAAGACTCCAACTCTACAAAAAAATTAAAAAAATTAGCCAGGCATGGTGGCATGTGCCTGTGGTCCCAGCTACTCAGTAGGCTGAGGCAGGAAGATCAGTTGAGCCAGGAAGGTTGAGGCTGCAGTGAGCCGTGATCCTGCCATTGCACTCCAACCTAGGTGACAGAGTGAGATCCTATCTCAAAAAAAAAAAAAAAAAAAAAAAGAGAAGAAATAAGCCCTCGACAATAGGGAAATCAGTTACTCTAAAGCCAATTATTTGAGAAGATAATATTGAAAAACTTCTAGTCAGACTGAACAGAAAAAAAAGAAAGAAGACACACTTACCAATATCAGGAATGAAAGAGGAAGCATCACTACAGATGGTACAAGTTTATGGCAATAAATTCAATAACTTGGAAGGGAAAAATTATTTTGAAAGGAAGACTGATGTTCACTCAAGAAGAAATAACCTGAATATTCATTACAATTATTAAGGAATTAGAATTTCTGATTACAAACCTTTCCACAAAGAAAACTCCCAGCCAGATGGCTGCACTAGTGAATTCTATCAATCACTGAAGAAAGTAATAGTACAAACTCACATAAACTCTTCCAGAAAATAGGAGTAAATACTTTGCAACTCCTACTATGAAGTCGGCATTATCCTGTTTCCAAAACAAAGACAAAGATATTATAAGAAAAAAAAAACTGTAACCAATATCCCTCATAAACAGAGATGAAAAAAGTCCTTAACAAAATATAAGCAAATCAAATTTAGCAATATAATAAGAAAATAATAAGGAAAATGCATCATGCTCAAATGGGGTTTATCCCAAGAATTATGCAAAATTTGTTTAACATTCAACAATTGACATTGTTTATTTATTATATTATTCAACCAGAAAAAGAAAACAATATGATCATGTCAATAAATACAGAAAAGCATTTGACAAAATTCAACACACATTTTTAATAAAATGTCTCAGCAAACTAGGAATAGAAGGGAATTTCTTCAATGTAATAAAGAATGCTTATGAAAAACCTTCACTTAATAACATAGTTAATGGTGAAGACTGAATGTTTTCCCCTAAAATTAGAAACAAGAGCAACATTGTCTTTTCTTGCCACTTCTATTCAATGTTGGAATAACGGCCAGGTACAATGGCTCATGCCTGTAATTCCAGCATTTTGGGAGGCTGAAGTGGGAGGATCACTTGAGTCCAGGAGTTCAAGACCAGTCTGGGCAATATGGCGAGGCCCTGTCTCTACAAAAACAAACAAACAAACAAACCCAATATTGTACTAGAGGTCCCAATCATTGAAATAAGGGAAGAAAAGTAACTAAAAGGCTTCCAAATTGGAAAGGAAGAAGTAAAATGATCATTATTCAGAGACAACATGATTATCTATGTAGAAAATCCAAAAGAAACTTTTAAGAAGCTACTGGTACCAAGAAGGATGTTTAGAAACATCACAGGATAAAAGGCCAATATACACATATCAATTGTATGTTTATAAACTGTACTAGCAACAAGCAACTATAAACAGAAATTTAAAACACAGTACCATTCATTGTATCATCAAAAACATGAAATACTTACGGATAAGTTTTGCAAAATATTTGCAAGACCTAAACTTGAGCACTTAAAACTATAAAATATTGTTTAGAAATTTTTAAGAAAACATACATAAATGCAGATATTTTCCATGTTCATAGATCAGAAGACTGAATTTTTAAAGGAAATTTTTGTGGTTTTATTGTATCATAAGGCATTGAAACATCTGAACAAATCAATGTCTGGGCGGTGAGGCAGCTGCTTTCTCCTTCACTTCTTTGGGTTACTAAAGCAACCTGTCAGTAGATTTAAAAAAACAAACAAACAAAAAAACCAAAAACTAAGGACAACCTTTTGCATTACTTAAGCCTTTCCAAGGCACGCGCTGGTACAACACAAACTTCTCCTGTCATATGTAACTAGTCTAGCGTCCAAACATCATGCACAACACCTCGGTGGCAGCAGCGCACTGCGCCCACTCCCGCCGCGGCCCTGCTTATTTGTGCATGATATTTGGAGCATCTGGAGGAGTAGGAATAGTATTGGGAAGAGAAGGGAGGAGGAAACAGCATTAGTGCCTGGCTGAGAGGAGGTCAGCCGAAATTGTGCAGGGCAAACCTGAACATGTCATTGGCGCAAAAGCCATCGTTGATGTTCTTTAATAGGAACATCTGGTGGAACCCCTTGATGGGGTCTTCATCCGCCTTAAGCTGGCCCACAACCACGCCGATAATGCAGCTATCTGGCGTGGGCTGATGGTCCTGCGCCGTGAGGCTGTTCTGGATTTTCTGGAAGGGAAGGCTAGACAACTTCTCCACAGCGGCAGCTTTCCCCTGGAACTGTCGTACTTCCCACGTAAGGCATGAAGCATCAATGTAAATTGCGCCTAGTTGCGTTCTATCGTTATCAAATAACTGGTAGTAATGTTGATTGAAGCTGGATCCAATCGGCTCCCAAACTGGCTTGTCTCCCATTCTTGAGCGTCACCTGGCCTCGCGGAGACCTGAGGGGCTGGCACGACGGTGGCAGCGATGGCAGCAACCCAGAGTGGTTCTGAATATTAAGATACCAGTTTTCAAGCCGGGTGTGGTGGCTCACACCTGTAATCCCAGCACTTTGGGACGCCGAAGGGGGTGGATCACCTGAGGTCAGGAGTTCAACACCAGCCTGACCAACATGATGAAACCCCGTCTCTACTAAAAATACAAAAAACCAGCCAGGCTTGGTGGCTGGCGCCTGTAATCCCAGCTACTTGGGAGGCTGAGGCAGGAGAATCGCTTGAACCCAGGAGATGGAAGTTGCAGTAAGCCAAGATAACACCATTGCACTCCAGCCTGGGCGACAAGAGCAAAAACTCCATGTCAAAAAAAAAAAAAAAAAAAGAGATCAGTTTTCCCAGAATTAAAACTATAGCTTCAATGCAAACCCAATCAAAACCCAGCAAGATTTTTGTAGAAATTTACAAGCTAATTCTAAAACTGATATAAAAATATAAAGAACCTAGAAGAGTCAAAGCAGTTTTTAAAGAAAACAATATTAGAAAGCTTTAAGACTTACTACAGTAATCAAGACAGTGTAGTGTTGCTGTAAGGACAGACACATAGATCTGTGGAACAGAATTGAGATTCTAGAAATATAGTTTCTTAGGTTAGGAATTCAGAGGCAGCTTAGACTCGTGGTTCTAGTTCAGACCTTCTCCTGAGTTTGCACATCAAGATGTTGGCTGAGGCTAGTCACCTGAATGCTTGACTGGGACTGGAGGATCTACTCTTAAAAATGGCTCACTTACTTGTCTGGCAGGTAGATGCTGGTGTTGGCATGAGGCTTCAGTTCTTCACCACATAAGACTCTTCATAGAGTGGCTTGAGTTTCCAGCTGACTTCCCTGGGTGAGTGATCTAGGACAGATCAAGGTAGAGAGCAAGGTAGAAGCCAATGTTTTTATGACCTGGTGTTGTTAACTTTTACTCCCTAATTTCTGCAAAATTGTATTGATTACACAGGTCAACCAAAGAAATCAATGCAGTGGAAGAGGACTACACAGAGGCCTGCATACAGGTGGTATTCATTAGGTGCCATCTTCAATTCTAGCTACCACAGGTTCTAAGGTAACTTAATGGGAAAAGGGTAGTCTATTCAATGAATCATGCTGGAACAATGGGATATCCACACAGAAAAAAATGGACCTCAACCTTTACCTCACACCATATGTAAAATTTAACTTGAAATAGATCATAGGCCTAAACATATGAGCTAAAACTATAAAACTTGTGAGAAGAAAACAAAGGAAAAAAAATCTGTGCAAACCTGACATAAGGCAAAAGATTTCTTAAGACCTCAAAATCACAAACCATAAAAGAAAATGATTATTGGATTTCATCAAAACTAAAACTAACTCTTTGAAATGGTTGTGAAAATGATGAGGCAGCCCGCACGCGGTGGCTTATGACTGTAATTCCAGCACTCTGGGAGGTTGAGGCGGGCAGATCATGAGGTCAGAAGTTCGAGACCAGCCTGGCCAACATGACAAAACCCCATTTCTACTAAAAAACACAAAAATTAGCCAGGCATGGTGGCGCACGCCTATAATCTCAGCTACTGGGGAGGCCAAGGCAGGAGAATCGCTTGAACCCAGGAGGTGGAGGTTGCAGTGACCTGAGATCATGCCACTGCCCTCCAGCCTGGGTGACAGAGCAAGACTCTATCTTGAAAAAACAAAAACAAAAACAAAACAAAACAAAACAAAAAAGCCTGGGTGTGGTGCTTCATGCCTGTAATCCCAGCACTTTGGTAGGCCAAGGCGGGCGGATCACCTGAGGTCAAGTGTTCAAGACCAGCCTGACCAACATGGAGAAACCCCATCTCTACTAAAAATACAAAATCAGCCGGGCATGGTGGTGTGTGACCATAATCCCAGCTACTTGGGAGGCTGAGGCAGGAGAATCGCTTGAACCTGGGAGGCGGAGGTTGTGGTGAGCTGAGATCACACCATTGCACTCCAGCCTGGGCAACAAGAGTGAAACTCCGTCTCAAAAAAAAAAAAAAAAAAAAAAAAAGAGAGAGAAAAAGAAAATGATGAGGCAAGCCACAGACTGTGAGAAAATATATGCAAAACATAAATAAGGGAGTTATATCCTAAATATATAGAAAACTTTTACAGCTCAGTAATATAAAACAAATAACCTGATAAAAATGAGTGAAATATTTGAACAGACATTGCACTAAATAAGATATACACATTTTTAAAACGAACACGTCATAAGATGCTCAACGTAGTTATTTGAGAAATGAAATTTAAAAATACAGTAAGGTACCACTGGGCACCCACTAGCATAACTAAAATTAAAAAGACTGGCAATACTAAAAATTGGTGGCTATGTGGAGATGACTGGAGCTTTCATATACTATTGGTGGGAGTGTAAAATGCTTCAGCCACTTTAGAAAATAGTTTTGCAGTTTCTTACAACATTAAAAATATATTTTCTGATATGACCCACCAATTCCATTTCTATATATGCACCCAAGAGAAATGAAATCATAAAGTCACACAGAATTGAACAAATATTCCTAACAGCTTAATTCAAAATAGCCCAAACTGGGAAAAAGTCCAAATGTCTATGGACAAGAGAAAGGTTAAACAAATTGCGGTACAACCAGACAATGCAATATCAGCAATAAAAAAGCTGGGCGCGGTGGCTCACACCTGTAATCCCAGCACTTAGGGAGGCCGAGGTGGGTGGATCACCTGAGGTCAGAAGTTCGAGACCAGCCTGGCCAACATGGTGAAACCCCGTCTCTATTAAAGAAATACAAAAATTAGCCGGGTGTGATGGCGGATGCCTGTAATCTCAGCTACTCGGGAGGCTGAGGCACGAGAATCGCTTGAACCCAGGAGGCGGAGGTTGCAGTGAGCTGAGATCGCGCCACTGCACTCCAGCCTGGGCGACAGAGCGAGACTCCATCTCACACACAAAAAGGTAAACTACTGATCTTTCCAACAATAGGGAGGGGTCTCAACAACATTAAGCTAAGTGAAAGTCAGACACAGAGCTCATAGTGTATGATTCCATTGATATGAAACTCCAGAAAATACAAAAACATAATCTATAGTAGAAGAAAGCAGTCCGGCGGTTGCCTAGAACTCAGGTGTGTGGGATGGGGTGAGTAGAGGGACACAGGGTAGTCTGGGATGACAGCACAAGGTAATTTTTGAGGACATGGAAATGTTCTGTATCTTGATCATGGTAGTGGAGTGTGACTGTGTCAAAATATGTATCTAAATATCCACTTAAAGTGGGTGCATTTTATTGCATGTAAACTGTACTTCAACAAAGTTGAATTTTTTAAAAAGTAAGAAGGCATAGCTTTCCACCGAGCTTCAATTTGAACAAACAATATCTGTAGCTTTTGTGCCTTCCCATGTGTACACCCGCAGGACCCTGGGCCTTCCTGCGTGGAGACTTTCCCGGGTGCCACAGGGCCCGGCATTGAGAGGAATCCAAAGTTGACACCATTAGCCCGGGTGGACTGCGGGCCGCGAAGCCGGCGGAGGAGGCGCGAGTTTAGTCACAGCTGCAGGCCTCCGCGGTTGCAATCCTGCCGCGAGGGGTTGCTGCGCACCCAGAGGCCAGAGGTCCAGACGACAGACTCCAGACACGTCCTTCGCACCTGCTCCCGGAGGACCCCGAACGCCGCGCCCACTCGGCGGAAGCCGCCGCATCTCGAACCTGCGTTAATCGGGGTCGGTGGGACCGACACGATGGACGCGGGCCACCGCGGGCCACCAGGCCCTGGGAGCGAGAGAGGAGCCCGGCGGGCGAGAGCAGCTTAAGGCATGCGCCCGTCGCGGGGGTTGGGAAGGAGAAGCCTCCGCCGGGCGAGAAGACTTGCGAGAAGACCCCTCCCAGCCCAACCAGGGTTAGGGACGGGTGACCGGCAAGGGCCCGTCGAGTTTGGCTGATCCGCGCTGGGGCTCAGCCCTCTGCCTTCCTTCGTGGAGTCGCCCGGGGAGTCAGGAGCAGTGGCGCTGCCTCTCGCCTTCCTCCCAGCCCCAGGGCTGGCCCCTCACTCGGGACCGACCCGGTGCTCGGAATCGCCCACGAGCCTCCTAGGCCCCACCGCACCCCTCTGTCGCCCACAGAGGCGCATTTTGTGGACACCGCCCATGACAGGGAGCTCGCTCTCTTGGAGACGCTCGCTCTCTTGGAGACGCAGCCCGCCCCCGCAAATCTCCTGCGGACTCCAAGGCTCCGGGAGGGACTCGCCCAGGCCCTCCCTATCCCGCCGCCCGGGCCGGATGGTCCTTGATCGATGCAGCTCAGCTAATCAGAGGGAAGGAGAGGAGGGGACGCTCGCAGCGACTTCGTTTGTTTGTTTGTTTGTTTTTGAGACGGAGTCTCGGTCTGTCGCCCAGGGTGGAGTGCATTGGCGCGATTTTGAATCACTGCAACCTCCGCCTCCCAGGTTCAAGCAGTTCTCCTGCCTCAGCCTCCCTAGTAGCTGGGGTTACAGGCGCCCGCCACCACGCCCGGCTCGCAGCTGCCTCCTTCTGAGTAAAGCAGGAGGAAGAGTCCCTGGGAGTAACTGTCCAGCCTGGGGCGGGGCGAGTGTGCGGGGCTTGGGGGTTAGGGGTTGTGGGGAGTGTTGGGCGGAAGCTGGCCTGGGAGAGCTGCAGTCCGCACTCCTCACCCCGGAGAAAAAGCTCCCTCCCGAAATCTTGCACACACACTCTCAGTCTCCCGGACCCAACACGTTCGCGCGCACACACCCCTGCAGCCTACCCGGGACCCACTGTACCTCCCTCTCACACATCTTCGAAATGACTAGTATCTACAATTGCAACCAATGTTTTTCTATTATTAACTTAGTTAAAAGATTTTTCCGGAGGGATTATTGATGTCGGCTTACCAGCAGCTTAATCTTTTAACAATCAGTAACTAAAAGCAAACAACGGGCCGGACGCGGTGGCTCACGCCTGTAATCTCAGCACTTTGGGAGGCCGAGGAGGGCGGATAACGAGGTCAGGAGATCGAGACCATCCTCGCTAACACGGTGAAACCCCGTCTCTACTAAAAATAGAAAAAAATTAGCCGGGCGTGGTGGCGGGCGCCTGTAGTCCCAGCTACTCGGGAGGCTGAGGCAGGAGAATGGCGTGTACCCTGGAGGCGGAGCTTGCAGTGAGTCGAGATCGCGCCACTGCACTCCAGCCTGGGCGACAGAGCGAGACTCAGTCTCAAAAATAAATAAATAAAAGCAAACAACGTTTGCAGTCTCATTGACTGGTCTCCTGCTGCCCAGCTAGTGCGTGTGCGCGGCGGCGGAGAGCCAGAAGAGACGTCCCCAGGTGGGAGCGACGGAGAGAACCTGGGCCCTTCAGCCTTGAAGGCTGTCCCAGGTATCACTCCCAGGAGAAAAAGTCAACGCTCCAGTCCTCTTGGCTATCATGTTTCCTGCCCAGTACTTGGCGAGAGCTTACGAGTGGAATGGAACTCGGCAGCCGCTCACGCTGCTCCTGGTTTTTGGACCATCGTCTTTGGGAACTCTGGGAGTCCCAGAGCTGCCCCGACTGGTCCCGTGAGTCTAAGCGAGTCACCTTTTCAGCATCTGCCTTTCGACCCTCGCTGAAAAACCCATCAGAGGACATGCTCCTCACTCGCGCTCCCCACTATGGCCTAGGCTCTGGCTGGAGCACCAGGCTGGGTCTGGGAATCCACGTGCAGAAAAAGAAGTTAAAGAGAAACTTGATCCTGGGCCAGAGTGAAAGGAAAGACCAAAGGCCCCCAAATCCCTGGAAGCCAAAGGGCAGGAATAACTTATGAGAGCAGATTCCAGCTCACCCCACCTCAGCAGCCCCTCTCTCCTAGGTGGTATGGCCTCCTCTCTTTCTCTCGAATTCCAGGACATGGGTCTTCCAGAATTGCCACAGTCCATCTCCAAACTCCTCTTCCAGCCTTTCCTCACAGTTGACCAAGATTCGAATGGTGGCCTCTAAAAAAAAAAAAAAAAAAAAAAAAAAAAGGAACCAAAAGGTGCAGTAAGTGTTCAGTGTTTGCTTTTGTGTGAATACAGCCGTAATAGGGACTTGAGTAGAGGGGTTACAGGCCGTGGAGAAGGCAGCATGTTGGGATTCTGGGCCTTCAGAGTCCTTCAAACAGCACATAAGCAGGTGCATGGGGCCAGTGCTGCCACCCATTGTAGCCAGATCGTGGGAGAGAAGAAAGCAATCATCCATTAAGGAATGGAGAGCCCAGAGTTGGAAACTACCCTCATCCTCCTCCTTCCCCTCTCTGCACCCTCAGGCAAACACCACTTTTGGCCCAAGGGCTTATTATTTCTTACCTGGATAATTGTCAAAACTTCTATTTTATTGCCCAGGCTTCAGTTTCACCCACCCATCGGGTCTTACAGCTTCATCTCTAAGGTGGCAATCTGCTTCTGCCCTTGCCCTTGAGCCCTTGCGGGGTTCTCCATTGTTTTCAAGATAAAACTCAAACTGTACAGCAACCAGCTTCTTTCTGAGCTCAGCCTTGGCCAACTTTCAGCCTCATCTCTGCCATCTGTCCTTACCTCTTGTACTCCAGCCATTGCTAACTGCTTACCTGAATTTGCCTCAATTGTTCTTTACAAATGCTTTTCCCTCAGCCTTTGCACTCCTTTCCCTCCAACACACACACACACACACACACACACACACACACACGCTTTTTGCCTGGCTGATTCCCACTCAAATTTAAAGACCTTCTCATGGCCAGGCGCAGTAACTCACGCCTGTAATCCCAGAACTTTGGGAGGTCGACGCAGGCGGATCACTTGAGGTCCAGAGTTCGAGACCAGCCTGGCCAACATGGTGAAACCCTGTCTCTACTAAAAATACAAAAATTAGCAGGGCTTGGTGGCACATGCCTGTAATCCCAGCTACTCGGGAGACTGAGGCAGGAGAATCGCTTGAACCCAGGAGGTGGAGGTTGCAGTTAGCCGAGATAGCGCCATTTCACTCCAGCCTAGGTAACAAGAGCAAGACTCCATCTCAAAAAAAAAAAAAAAAAAGACTCCCTTAGGATGCCTTCCTCATACTGGATTTGGTTTCCTCTACCCCCATTCCTTCCCCAGAGCAGGGAGGAGACACCTCTGTCACAGCACTTACTACTCAGTCTATCCCCTGATCTTCACCCCTTACCTAAGCACTAATTTTGAAGTGTTTGGACTCTGGACAGCCAGTCCCCAAGGAGATGACCAGAACACATCTCATGGGTGATGGAGGGATGTGAGTGTTACAGCTGAGCAGACCTGGGCTCAAAGTCTTGTATTCCTTGTCTGTAAATTGAGAATAGTAATGCCTATCTTATGGAATTAGTGTGAGAATTAAATGAGACAATTCACATTTTAAGAGTCTGCTCCTCAAATGTTATTTACTATGTGCTTTTTCCTGGTCCTGGACTCCCAGCCCATGAGAGAGCTATTGAATGCCCTCAGACTTTCTTTCCCCTCTGAGCATCTGCATCTGTAAACTGGTATTAATAACACTTACCTCACAAGTTCCTGTGGGAATTAAATGATTCAAGATATGTGTAATCAGTTTGTTGAATTACAATGACTTGGGTCTCAAGCCGGAAAAACTGTTTTTTGTTTTTGTTTTTTTTTTAAATCACACCTTCACCTTTTTTAAAACTTTTAAGTTCAGAGGTATAAGTGCAGTTTTGTAACACAGGTAAACTTGTGTCATGGGAGTTTGTTGTACAGATTATTTCATCACCCAGATATTAATCCTAGTATCCACCTCTCCCTCCTCCCACCCCTGACCCTCCCCAAAGCCCCAGTGTGTGTTCTTTCCCTCTGTGTGTCCATGTGATCTCATCATTTAGCTCCCATTTACAAATGAGAACATGTGGCATTTGGTTTTCTGTTCCTGTGTTAGTTTGCTAAGGATAATGGTTTCTAGTTCCATCCATGTCCCTGCAAAGGACATGATCTTGTTCTTTCTTATGGCTGCATAGTATTCATGGTGTATATGTACCATATTTTTTTAATCCAGTCTATCATTGATGGGCATTTAGGTTGATCCCATGCCTTTGCTATTGTGAATAGTCCTGCAATGAACATTCATGTGCATGTGTCTTTATGGTAGAATGATTTATATTCCTTTGGGTGTATACCCAGCAATGGGATTGGCGGGTCGAATGGTATTTCTGTTTTTAGGTCTTTGAGGAATTGCCACACTGCTTTCCACAATGGTTGAACTAATTTACACTCCCACCAACAGTGTGTAAGTATTCCCTTTTCTCCAAAACCTTGCCCCTACCTGTTTTTTGATTTTGTAATAATAGCCATTCTGACTGGTGTGAAAAGGTATATCACTGTGGTTTGATTGGCATTTCTCTAATGATCAGTGAAGTTGAGCTTTTTTTCATATGTTTGTTGGCTGCATGTGTGTCTTCTTTTGAAAAGTGTCTGTTCATGTCATTTGCCCACTTTTAATGTTTTTTTTTCTTGTAAATTTGTTTAAGTTCCTTACAGATGCTGGATATTAGATCTTTGTTGGATGCATAGTTTGCAAAAATGTTCTCTCATTCTGTAGGTTGTCTGTTTACTCCGTTGATAGTTTCTTTTGCTGTGCAGAAGCTGTTTAGTTTATTTACATCTCATTTGTTAATTTTTGCTTTTGTTGCAATTGCTTTTGGTGTCTTCATCATGAAATCTTTCCCATGCCTATGTTCTGAATGGTATTGCCTAGGTTGTCTTCCAGGGTTCTTATAGTTTTGGGTTTTACATTTGAGTCTTTAATCCATCTTGAGTTGATTTTAGTATAGGTGTAAGGAAGGAGTCCAGTTTCAATATTCTGTATATGGCTAGCCAGTTACCCTAGCACCATTTATTGAATAGGGAATCCTATCCCATTGCTTGTTTTTGTCAGGTTTGTGGAAGATCAGATGGTCGTAGGTGTGTGGTCTTATTTCTAGATTCTCTATTCTGTTCCATTGATCTATGTGTTTGGTTTTGTACCAGTGCCATGTTATTTCAGTTACTGTGGCCCTGTAGTATAGTTTGAAGTCAGGTAGCGTGATGCCTCCAGCTTTGCTCTTTTTGCTTAGGATTGCTTTGGCTATTCCACACCTTCACCTTTAATTCCAACATGTGGACTCATTTCTGTGGTTCTGGATGAAATCTTGGGCAGCTTCTGTGTATTTTTCTGGTTACTTTCAGGTAATAGTCCTGGTCACTTCCATGAATAAGAAGAGGGAAAAAATAATTTGTTAATATTTACCTTACAGTAGTCCTCCTTATCCTCAGGGGATGCATTCCAAGAGCTCCAATGAATGCCTGAAACCAGGGACAGCACTGAACTCTGTATATATAGTACTATGCTTTTTCCTATACATACCAGTGATAAATTTCCATTTATAAATTAGACATAGTAAGAGATTAACAACAAAAATAAAATAGAACAATATTTTGAGAGAAATATCAATATTTTCAGACCATGGTTGACTACAGGTAACTAAAACCGTAGAAGGTGAAACCACAGATAAAAGGGGACTATTGTAATATATTCATATTAGTGTGAGAAAAAATACTTTTAACTACTACAGTCCTCATTTCTATAACTGGTCATATGGTCATAGCTGGTATTTTTAACTTCATTCTGTACTATTCAGTCCGTATTCCCTTTGCTTTCAGCAAACACTTCACCTAATACAGTCGCTGAATGATAGCTCTGTCACATAATTTACTTGTGTATAATTAACCTAGGCAAATAAATTGCCTTTTAAACCCACAGAGCCCAAAGCTATGGGGCTAGAAAGCAAAAATTTCTCTAGTGGATCACTAGGAGTAACAATGAGAGGAGCAATTTCCACTTCAAATCCTTGATTTTCAGACTCATGAATCCTGACTATGAGAAAAACAGCACTATATACTGGTCACTGATTCAGGGCATCGTGGAAGACATTGCATCAGCCCTGCCCAGTGTTAGCACTCAGGTGGCATTGTGCCTGAGCCTCAGAAAGATCATTCTTTTTAGGCCATTTACTCCAGGGCAATCAGCACATTGTAAGACCTGTGAATTCTATGATCATAAGCCCATTGCCATGTTTTATTTGTTGTAAGATGAGTTCCCTGGTAAGAAGCTATGCTTAGTGGAATACTATAACAATGAAAAAGATATTCTGTAAGTTGGTGTTTTTGTCAGCAGCATGTGGACTGGGAAAAGAAGTCCATATCCAAAGTGAGTGTCTACTAGGAGAAGTGTTGCCTCTCTTGTGATGAAAGTGTTCCAATGTAATCAACCTGCCACCAAGTGGTGGCTATTCAGTCTGGGGAATACTACCTTCTTCAGGTTTCAGTGTTGGTCTCTGCCCTTGGCAGATTGGACACCCAGCAGCGGCTATAGACAGATCCAATTTGATGAGTGGAAGCCCATGTTGCTGCGCCATGCATATCTTCTACCCTCGCCACCATGTACACTTTGATCATGAGCCACTGGCCAAAGACAGGGATGACTGGAGGAAATGACTGGGGAAAGAATGTGGCATCTTAGTGGTCTGATTATTAAAATCCTCCTCTACTGAAGTTGCACTTTGGCGAGCATTCATGTAATACATGAATATTTTCACACTTTGTGTCAGCTCATGACAGTTCATTTGCATAGTTCTTCTCCAGACTTCTTTATCATCAGTTTTCCAAATGTGTTCCCTCCAATACCCTAAGTATCAATAACCTGAAAGTCAAACTTTCAGCCACCCGTGGCACACACACACAATTTGTGGCTGCATCTGGGGTTGGCCTGGGTGTTTTGGTTTCTGTTGGTCAGAAGGGCCAGGAGTTGCTATAGATGTGAAGTGGGGAAGAATTTGTGTGTGAAGTGGAGGAGCGTGTGTGTGTGTGTGTGTGTGTGTGTATCTGTACCTCTGACTATCTCTCCTTTGTACTGCTCAGAATTCTGTAGAATGGTGGGATTTTCCTTTACCACTATCATTTAGGGTCTTCTATGAGTGGGGCAGCAGTGCTGCAATTATCTTCCATATGGTTGATAAACCACTGAGGAAGGAGATTGAAGGTGTAGTGCTGGCCCTACCAGTTGAAAGTAAACTGCTTCGGTGATCTTTCCTAACAGACATAAAGAATAGGCTGGGCGCGGTGGCTTATGCCTATAATCCCAGCACTTTGGGAGGCCAAGTGGGGTGGATCACCTGAGGTCAGGAGTTCGAGACCAGCCTGGCCAACATGGTGAAACCCCTGTCTCTACTAAAAATACAAAAATTAGCCAGACATGGTGGCGGGCCCCTGTAATCCCAGCTACCCAGGAGGCTGAGGCAGGAGAATCACTGGAACCCGGGAGGCAGAGTCTGCAGTGAGCCGAGATTGTGCCACTGCACTCCAGCATGGGTGACAGGGCAAGACTCTGTCTCAAAAAAATAAAAATAAAAATAAATAAACATTTCTTTACTCAATAATAGGCCATTAGTTGCATACCAGGTACCAAAACCATCTTTGCTCCAGTAAAGAAACCACATCCGGGCTGGGTGCAGTGGCTCACATCTGTAATCCCAGTACTTTGGGAGGCTGAGGCAGGCAGATTACTTGAGCCCAAGAGTTCGAGACCAGCCTGGACAACATGGCAAAACCCCATCTCTACAAGAAATACAAAAATTAGCCAGGCATGGTGGTGCACACGTGTAGTCTCAGCTACTCAGGAGGCTGAGGTGGGAGGATAACCTGAGCCTGGGGAGGTTGAGGCTGCAGTGAGCCATGATGCCACTACTGCACTCTAGTCTGAGTGACAGAGTGAGACCCTGCCTCAAAAAAAAAAAAAAAAAAAAAAAGGAAAAAGAAATCACATCTGGAATAGAGGCTGAAATTGGAGCCACCCTGATTAAGTTTGTGATAATCTACTGTCATTCTCCAAGATCCATCTGTATTCTGCAAGTTGAAAGAAGATATGGTAGAAATCACTACTACTACATCTTTCAAGTTCTTATGGTGACAGTAATCTCTGGAACAAAATTGCTTTGGGCTTACTATTTTGATAGGTACAGGCCATTCTAAAGGCTTCCACCTGGCATTTTCCACCACAGTAGCTCTCATTGCATGAGTCAGTGGAATTTCCAATATGAGATGGAAAATAGGAGTGACTCTTCTCACTGTCATCCCTAATGATTCACCATTAAAATGTTACTTCCTGATCCCAAGACTCTGGGCCCCACTGATTTAGTGGTATTGGGTTCTAAGAGAAGAATGTCTCCACCATGGGGCACAACAGTGACTTCTATTACACTGAAGTCAAGACTGGCCATTTTGGTTTTCAGAAATTTCACCTCTGGCGCTACAGGAAATAAAGGTTTCTTTCTTTTTTTTATATGGTTTTTTTTTGTTTGTTTTTTGTTTTTTGTTTTTTTTTTATTCTGGGACGGAATTTTGCTCTTGTTGCCCAAGCTGGAATGCAATGGCGGGATCTCGGCACACTGCAACTTCCGCCTCCCAGGTTCAAGTGTTTCTCCTGCCTCAGCCTCTCGAGTAGCTGGGAATACAGGTATGTGCCACCACGCTCAGCTAATTTTGTATTTTTAGTAGAGATGGGGTTTCTCCATGTAGGTCAGGCTGGTCTCGAACTTCTGACCTCAGGTGATCCGCCCACCTTGGCCTCCGAAAATGCTGGGATTACAAGCATGAGCCACCGCGCCCAGCCTTATGATGATTTTTAAACTTTTATTTATGTATTTATTTACAGACAGAGTCTTACTCTGTCACCCAGGCTGGAGTGCAGTGGTGCGATCTCAGCTCACCTCAGCTTCCTGGGTTCAAGCGATTCTCCTTCCTCACTCAGCCTCCCAAGTAGCTGGGATTACAAGCATGTGCCGTGACGCCCGGTTAATTTTTGTGTTTTTGGTAGAGACGGGGGTTTCACCATGTTGGCCAGGCTGGTCTCGAGCTACTGACCTCAGGGGATTCTCCCGTCTTGGCCCCCCAAAGTACTGGGATTACAGGCTTGAGCCACTGCGCCCAGCAGAATGAGGGTTTCTTTTAAGGCAATAATAGAAGCATCCTGCTCCTGTAATCAAACCTTGAGCTTGGCATTTAAAGTCCTGAGCTCATCATTTTCTTCCTCCACATGTTTGAGTACACTTAGAAGCAATCAACGAACACTCCTTTGCTCTCTATTTCCATTAAAATGTTCAGTGGGGGCAACTACTTGGCCAGCCAAAGACTTGCCTTTAAAGACGTTTGTATTACAGGTGACTACAGGTGATAATTCATGTACCTCTCTTGCCACTGCATGCCATGATTTACCAGTGTCACCTATACCAATGGTAATAGGATCATTAATGCCTTTCAATCTAACCAGATCAGTTCGAAATTTTTATCCCTAATGTTCTATTCCTCTGGAGCCATTTCCAATACCTACTTGATGTTTATGATTGATACTAATGGTATCGGTCAGGGTTCCATCAGGGAAGGAGAAACACTAAGAGTGTTGTGTAATAAGAGATTTATTATGGGAGGGTGGCTTTACAGAATTGCTGGAGAAACTGGGAGAGTAAAGGTTTGAATGAAGAAGTTGGAGGACCAGAGAAAAGCCACTAATCAAACTTTCTGGACTCAGGAATGCCAGCTGCTGGAGCAGGATCCTAGAGAGGAGAAGTTTATGAAAGTCTATTGCCTCTGTATCTGGGGTTGGTCTGGGCTTTTCAGTTTTTGTTGGTCGGAAGGGCCAGGAGTTGCCAAGTAAGGCTAAATGTGGAGTGGGTGAGAATAAGTATAACCTGGAACCTGCTGACACTTCTAACCTATGACAGCCTTCAGAAAGTAATTGTGGCAGCTGCTTCGCTTCTCTGCCTTACAAATCATTCACAAATTAATCTTTTGGCCAACTCTAAACCAGAACCACGCAGGGGATGGGATTCTGGGAAATGTAGCTCCAGCTTACCCAAACTGACACAATACAAAACTACCACATGCCATTTACTTAGCTGCTTGATATTGAATGAATTATTTGATGTCTATGAGTCTCTCTAAGTCTCTTTCCATCTCAGAGTCTGGGCATTATCTTGTGTGAGAGGATACTTTCCTGGATTTCTGGAAGATGCCCTATTGCTGGGGATCCCCTGTTTACAAATCCCTTGATGTGGGTGATGTCTCCTTCCACTGGCCACTTATGACTCCCTCTCAGACTCCTGGCTTCGGTAATCCCTCCCTAGCTGGGTTCACCTCTCTCTTCCAGGCAGCCCTCTTGGGCAGTCCACTTTTGGCCTGTGGAAAACATGCAAACATCGCGCTCTGCTGAGCTCTTGGGGGCAGCTCACTCTCAAGGTGGTCCTCTGGACTCTCTCCAGAGCAACCAGCCAGCCATAGCCACTCGCCTTCAGATTATTTTCAGGTCTGAGTTCCTGGGTCCCATACGCTCCAATGGATTCAAGTCAAGCTCTTGGAGTTCTTCTCTGGAACCCCCTCTGAAGTGGCTTACAGTAAGAAAGAATCACACCATTGGCCAGGGTGGAAGAAAGTGACAACTCTCTCCAGTCAGATCTTCACTACCGCCTGCTTTTCAACCTTAGTTCTTAGCCCTTTCTCATGCAGTCTGGAGGTGGGTAACAGCTATTCATCACCCCTTTTGCAAGTCTAGCATTTTGATTTAGAATGTGGGAGGAGTTTAGTATAGTTGATAGTCAATTTTATTTTACCTGATCTTTAGGGCCTCTGTCCGAATTTTGAGATGGGAAGAGTCCCATTTAATATATGTTTGACACATGGTAGAGTTTCACTAATAGAAGCTACGGTGTATCGCCAATCACCCAGCCTTGTGGTCAATCTAGCCTTTTAAAAATGGCTGGAATCCACTTCCTCTAGACCAGACTGAAGGGGAGTTTGTACCCTCATGTATGGTTTGAAAGGTAGTTGCTTGGTCCTCCTTATGCCCAGTCTACATATCTATTTTAAATAGAGTGTTTAGAGCCATATGAGCCCAGTAGCTGCTGTGCCCATGCACATGCCTAGACTCACGCTTGATGACAAATCACAAGTCCCAGGAAATCAGAAACCATCTTAGCTGCTCACATTGTGGGGAAGAGGGAAGTGAGCCTTCCTCTGTTCTGGAGTCCATCTCAGCCATAGCAGGAGGAGTGGGAATGTGCAGTTGTGTGCTGGGTTGTGTGCTGCCAGTGTGCCCTGGGCTGGCACCTGTCTTGATGAGTCAGTCTCTGTGCTAAACTGGTTTTTATGTATTGTGAATATTGTCCTTGCTTGTAGGCATGGAGATACTCAAATCCACAGACACACAGAAACACCAGCAGCAAGTCCGGTCTCAGTGGCTCACGCCTGTAATCCCAGCACTTTGGGAGGCCTAGACGGGCGGATCACGAGGTCAGGAGATCGAGACCATCCTGGCTAACACGGTGAAACCCCGTCTCTACTAAAAATACAAAAAAAAAATTAGCCGGGCGCGGTGGTGGGCGCCTGTAGTCCCAGCTACTCGGGAGGCTGAGGCAGGAGAATGGCATGAACCCAGGAGGCGGAGCTTGCAGTGAGCTGAGATAGCGCCACTGCACTCCAGCCTGGGCAATAGAGCGAGACTCCGTCTCAAAAAAAAAAAAAGAAACACCAGCAGCATACATGCACACACAATTACATCTTCACACATGGGTGCACATGCAGTTATTTTCCTTAAGCTTAAAAGCAGAAGTTACATGAACCTGGAAAATATGAACTGAACTGATCTAGGGTGTGACAGCATATTAGGGAAGCATCTGTCCTGAAGTCTTTCTCTTGGCTTCTTAGTCTTTACGTCTTCATTTCTTTGCTTGTTAGATATCACAGGTGGCACTGGAAGGGATTAAAGCAGGCAGAGGCACAGCCTCAAATATATATATGTATATATATCCCTAAACTCAGGAAAACAATGCAGAGTCATCATTTCCAGATTGCAAAAGTATGTTGAGAAAGATTCAACTAAAACACCAAGGCATCAGTTGGCAAAATTTTTGTACAAAGGCTCAGATAATGGGCTGGGCGTGGTGGCTCATGCCTGTAATCCCAGCACTTTGGGAGGCCAAGGCAGGTGGATCACCTGAGGTCAGGAGTTCGAGACTAGCCTGACCAATATGATGAAACCCCATCTCTACTAAAAATACAAAAATTAGCCAGGTGTGGTAGCGTGTACCTGTAATCCCTGCTACTTGGGAGGCTGAGACAGGAGAATCGCTTGAACCCGGGAGGCGGAGGTTGCAGTGAGCCAAGATTGCACCACTGCACTCCAGCCTGGGCAACAAGAGCAAAACTCTATCTCAAAAACAAAAAACAAAGGATTAGATAAATATTTTAGACTTTGTGATCCATATGGGCTCTTCAAAATGACTCAACTCTGCTGTTTAGTATAAAAATAGTCAGACAGGAAGACACAAATAAGCATAGTTAAGTTCCAATAAAACTTTATTTACAAAAAGGCAGCAGGCCAGATTTAGCCCATGGGCTTTAGTATGCAGCCTGAAGAACCCAGAAGCCATCCAAGTGGCTTCGCTGATCTCTCTAAGGTTAACAGGGGCTCCATTCTGTCTCCTTGAGAAAGGATAAAAATCAATTGTTTTGGATGTGGCATCAGTTCTGTTCTTATTATTTTGTGCTGTGCATTGTGTTCTTCTGAATGAGTGATCTCAATCCCTCTTTTTTGTTCCTCCTGCCCTCCTTCTGTGTATATATCTCTCCATGTTTCCCATTCTTCATTCTGTTCCCTTGCACTCGCAAGGTTGATTGACTTTAGAATGGGACACTTTCACATTCATCCTTGTTAAAATCCCAGCTTCTTTTCAGGTTCCTCATCTAAACTTGATGTGTAGTAGTAGAAAGAACACCGTCTGGATCACTGGACAGGACACATCAACAGCTTGCTATGTGACAAATCACCTAGCCTCTCTGAGCCTCCCTTTTCTGTCAAATGAGGGAGTTGGCTAACTGGTCTCTAAAATCCCTTGCAAGCTGGGTGTGGTGCCTCACACCTGTAATCGCAGCACTTTGGGAGGCTGAGGCAGGAGGATTGCTCGAGGCCGGACGTTCAAGACAAGACCAGTCTGGGCAACATAGGAAGACCCTGTCTCTATTCTACAAAAAAAAAAAAAAGGATGTGGCAGCACATGCCATTAGTGCCAGCTACTCAGGAAGCTGAGGTGAGAGGATTGCTTGAGCCCAAGAGGCCAAGGCTGCAGTAAGCCATGATTATGCCACTGTACTCCAGCCTGGGCAACAGAGGGAGACACTGTCTCAAAAAAAAAAAAAAAAAAAAAAAAAAAAAAAAAAAAGAAAGAAAGAAAACATTAAAATCCCTTCTAGCTGTAAGCTTGTGATTTTAGGAAGTTGCAGCCTCAATCCAGGCAACTGTCTGGGGACCGTTAATTAGGATGTCACTCATAGGCCTCAATGAAACTGCTAGGATGCCAACAGAAGTTAGCCACATGATCTCCTGTGGTTGGTAACCTTCCTAAGGCCTTCACAGCTGAGGACAGTGTGGGTACCAGCTAACTTCAGGGACTGAGATTCCAATCCAGTAAGGGGAGAAGAGGAAGATAAATGACTCCAGGAACCCTATGTTCCAGGAAAATTAATTTGCATTTTTAAACTGTAGCTAAAAAACGCACATAAATATTGATTCAGTTGGAAACAGGACCCTAGGATGCTATTGTGGGGGAGGTGGGACACTTTCCCTTCTCCATCAGACCCTCCTATGTAGGGGTCTTCTGGCTATATAAAAGATACCCCTCAAGGCCCACCAAAAAAATATATGAAAAGGTAAGGAGGAAATGAAGGCTTGAGGAGTTAAAAAAAATGAATTAGGAGTTAGCAAATTCCAGCATGTGTCAAAGGAAAGAGGTCTTCTCTGTAGCAGGGGTGAGGGAGGTCAGGGAAGGTTGCAGAACCCAGACTTTGGCTGAGGCAGAGGCTGGCAGTGGTTGGCAACTCAGGAGAGAGTTTGTATAGCATGATCCCTGCTCTCAGGCTCAATCCCCAGCTCAGAGCCCACCAGCTTGTGGATGCAGCAGATGGGCAGGGGGCTCGAGCCCTCTCCCTCCTTCCTGGACACAGTCTTGAGGGTGCAGAATGACTGGAGAAAAGCCCCTATTCTGGCCTCCAGGAGAACAGGCTGTTATTGTCTGACTCTGCTAAAGCTGTCTCATTTGTAGCCTAAATAATTCACTCACCAATCTCTCAAGAAGCATTAGGAGAAAAACAAAACCTGACCCAGCCCTCATGCTCAGGTTCCCATTGCACAGAAGTCAGGCAAGGAGGCTGGGAGGCAGTCCCACACTGCAGAGATGGCCTGCCTTCAAAGGTTCATCAGATTGGCATCCTTCTGAAACAGACCCAGATTCTGTTTCTATACAGCTAAGACTTGAGCTATTAATAAGACTAGCTTTTGTATATTAAAGATATTTTAAAACAAAATGAAACAAACAAACAAACAAAAAATCAACAATAAAAACAAAGAGTATGCAACAGAGACTGTATGTGAGCTGCCAAGCTTGAAATATTTACTATCTGGCCTTTTCCAGAAAATGTTTGCCAATCCCTTAATCCATCCCCACCCTCCATCCTCCAACCTTAAAGGAGGTAATGACGATCTTCTTCTTTTTTTTTTTCTGTCTAGCCACTATTTTATTTTATTTATTTATTTATTTATTTTAGTATTTATTGATCATTCTTGGGTGTTTCTCGGAGAGGGGGATGTGGCAGGGTCATAGGAAAATAGTGGAGAGAAGGTCAGCAGATAAACATGTGAACAAAGGTCTCTGGTTTTCCTAGGCAGAGGTCCCTGCGGCTTTCCTTCTGCAGTGTTTGTGTCCCTGGGTACTTAAGATTAGGGAGTTGTGATGACTCTTAAAAGAGCATGCTGCCTTCAAGCATCTGTTTAACAAAGCACATCTTGCACCGCCCTTAATCCATTTAACCCTGAGTTGACACAGCACATGTTTCAGAGAGCACAGGGTTGGGGGTAAGGTTATAGATTAACAGCATCCCAAGGCAGAAGAATTTTACTTAGTACAGAACAAAATGGAGTCTCCTATGTCTACTTCTTTCTACACAGACACAGTAACAATCTGACCTCTCTTTCTTTTCCCAACATTTCCCCCTTTTCTTTTCGACAAAACCGCCATCGTCATCATGGCCTGTTCTCGATGGTCACTGTCTCTTCGGAGCTGTTGGGTACACCTGCAGAAAGGCTGTCACTTCACACTTGGAAGATTGCACAGCGGCCAGGCAGAGGCGCTCCTCACTTCCTAGACGGGGCGGCGGCCGGGCAGAGGCGCTCCTCACTTCCCAGATGGGGTGGCGGCCAGGCAGAGGCTGTAATCTTAGCACTTTGGGAGGCCAAGCCAGGCGGCTGGGAGGTGAAGGTTGTAGCGAGCCGAGATCACGCCACTGCACTCCAGCCTGGGCAACATTGAGCACTGAGTGAGCGAGACTCCGTCTGCAATCCCAGCACCTCGGGAGGCCAAGGCGGGCAGATCACTCGAGGTCAGGAGCTGGAGACTAGCCCAGTCAACACGGCGAAACCCCGTCTCCACCAAAAATACAAAAACCAGTCAGGTGTGGCGGCGCGTGCCTGCAATCCCAGGCACTCGGCAGGCCAATCACGGGAGTCCGAGGCAGGGAGGTTGCAGCGAGCTGAGATCATGGCAGGAGAGGGAAGAGGGAAGAGGGAAGAGGGGAGAGGGGAGAGGGGAGAGGGGAGAGGGGAGAGGGGAGAGGGGAGAGGGGACGATCTTTGACCAACTCCCTACCTACCCCACCCCATGAGCCCACCATCGGCAGAGATTCTGAGTTGTGAGTTCTGATATTTACACTCTAGTAAGAAGCTGGCACCATTGTTCACCCCATTGTCAAAAACAAGAAAATAAACTGGAGTAGGGCAAGAAAAGGGGAATATCAGTCTTGGTTCTACTGAGCAGGGAGGGAGGGAGAAGCTGAGACTCAGCCACAAACTATCATCTGATTTGTCTTTCTGAGGGTCAGAATTCAGCATCGTCCAGGTGGGTCTCTACTGACACCCCCCTCCCTAAGGCCTTGGTGATCTCAACACCCACAGTCTCAGAGGCTGCAATTCTCTTACTGATGAGATATCTAAGTAGCCCATGCCTCTGAGTCCCTGAAGCCTATGTGTCATCCCTGAGCCATCTAGTGTCAGCCTGACTGCACTGACCTTTAATTCTAAACGGAGGCTCTAGCCTTCCACCCCTGCTGCCCAGCAGGGGCCTTTGAAAAGAGAAGACTCTAACCAGTTCTACATCCCACCCAGAATTTCTCCTGGAGCCAGACCTTCTGAGAATCATAGCCCAAAGACCCCAGAAGAGATGGGTCAGAGTGGGCAATGGAGATGCCAGCTGAGCCCCAGCTGTAACTGAGTTGAGTGACCTCTGGGTGTCATAAGGCCTGCTTGAAATTTGGAGGATGAGAGTAGAGTGGAGACCAGATGGTCCCACATCCCGGTGTGTGGATATTCTGGATTATTTCAGACAGGAGAACAGTGACCTTAGTAAAAGTCTCTGCTCTAGCATCTCCCAAGAAAAATGTTGCTGCTGTCCAGCCTGTACTTTGCTGGTTCCAGTAACTTGACATAAAATTAACATGGGAGGCCTACGTTGGAATCCTATTATTCAGGCTAGTGGAAAGTCATCAGTCTTAGAGGTCTGGGAGCCCAGGCTATGAGATCTTGGGCAAACTGCCTCACCTCTCTGGAGCTGCTTCCTCATCTGTTAAAATAAGCAAACAAACAAAAACCTGAGGTGCTTGGATGGAGATGATTTTAAAGTCCTGTCCATCCCATACCCAATGAATGGCCCATACCTGTGCCAAAGATTTGGGAAGTTATTTGGCTTTATTTTTACTTTCCTTCCGCAAGTCAATCCAATCCCATCCAAATGAGATACTGCTGGTCTGGCATAAGGGGAGAGTGTTTTCCTGCAACATGTTAACAGCTTGCTGGGGATTCAGAACTGATGCGAAAGAGGGAGGTGGTGGGTGCTGAATGTGACCTCTTGTTTCTATGCCCTGTGGCCACAGGGTATCTGAAGAACTGTGGGAATCTCATTCCCAAACCCCCATCATGCCATAGCATGTGGCCCAGAAGCCGCAGTCTGGTATCAAGTACTTTAACCTAAATTATCTAAATTGTCTGTCATCAACTCTCCAATTCAACTGGACATTCCTTAAGGGCAGGAATTGTGTGTTGACCTTCGTGTCTCCAGAAAAGCCCAGCTCCACATTAGGTATGTGATTGCAGATCCATCCATATCTGCTGAGCAGCTTAACTGAAATGCCCCGGAAAGACTGATGCTGCATTTGACATGAGGCATGTAAGTGAATCCCCATCTTTCCTGGCTGATGACTGGATACCATTCTTCAGTTCACGGCTCAGTCAAGCCTTTCTTGTCCAGGCCGTGACCCCCAAGAGCTATCGTGTGACCTGGTGAAGAAGCGAGAGGGTAAGGTTAGAGAAGGGAATGCCTATTCCATTCCAGCATGCCAGAGACTACCCAGAATATGCAGGTCACTTAGAGGACATTGCTGCCAATCCTCTCACCCTAAAGCAGGCCGGAATGGGAAAGCATGGCCTGGTGACCCATGCAAACATACGTCAGACAAGCCTCCCCACTGTTTGCTTCAGAGTAGCTACCCAAATTGCAAGCACTTCCTTACAGGCCACAAACCCAAACCTATAACATGGTGACAAATGTCACAAGCTCTGTAGTGGGTCTCATTCTCTTCTGATCTTAAATATACTCAGAATGGCTGTCCCTCATCCCTGCCTCCGGATAGAGAGAGGATGCTCTACTTTAGAGCCAAACTTTTTCTTGCTGTAGCTCCTTTTGTTGTGTGCTCTGTGAAAATGGTTGCTCTCTTCAGAAGCCAAAGGCTGCCTTTCCTTCTCTATTTTTTTTTCTTTTTTTCTTTTTTTGAGATGGAGTCTCACTCTGTCGCCCAGACTGGAGTGCAGTGGCATGATCTCTGCTTACCGCAACTTCTGCCTCCTAGGTTCAAGCAATTCTCCTGCCTCAGCCTCCCAAGTAGCTGGGATTACAGGCGTGTGCCATTATGCCCAGCTAATTTTTGTATTTTTAGTAGAGACGGGTTTTCACCATGTTGACCAGGTTGGTCTTGAACTCCTGACCTCTTGATTCACCCACCTCTGTCTCCCAAAGTGCTGGGATTACAGGCATGAGCCACCGCACCCAGCCCTCCTTCTCTATTTTCTTATGTGTTTGCTTGTTTGCTGTGTGTGGTGGGAGGGAAGGAAAGCCAAAGGCAGAACCCTGGCTTGCCCTGCAGTGTCACTCTTCTGTACCAATGGTGACGGCAGAGCAATGCGGCTGATTAGCCATGACACACATGGAGCTGCTAACGAGTTTGATAAAAAATTTAATTACCCCTTGTTCTGTGGAGCAGGCAGCAAACCATGAAAATAATAATCCTCTTGGGTGCTGTGACAGTGGACAGAGAAATCTGACTAGAGGAGGGTAGGTATGAACTGTAGGGAGTCAACAACAGTGGGAATGGGGTGGGGGTGGGGGATGGTCACGGCAGAGGTGAGTGACAGAGTGACTACTGTACCTGGAGCTCAGGTAGAAGTAGCAATTCCTCCCTCAATTATCTTATAATTTTTCCCATTCTCGACTATGTTTTTTTTTTTTTTTTTTTTAATATTTCAACTTTTATTTTAGATTCAGGGATTACATGTGCAGGTTTGTTACATGAGTATATTGCATGACACTGAGGTTTGGAGTGCCATTGATCTCATTACCCATGTAGTAAGCATAGGACCCAATAGGTAGTTTTTCAGCCCTTGCTCCCCTCCCTCTCTCACTGCTCTGGTAGTCACCATCGTCCACTGTTCCCATCTTTATGTCCATGTGTACCCAATGTTTAGCTCTCAGAAGTGAGAACATGTGGTATTTGATTTTCCGTTGCCATGCTAAGTCCCTTAGGATCATGGCCTTCAGCTGCAACCAGGGTGTTACAGAAAACATTATTTTTTTTATGGCTGTGTAGTATTCTATGGTATATAAGTGCCACATTTTCTTTATCCTATTCAATGTTGATTGGCACCTAGACTGATTATATGCCCTTGCTATTATGAATACTGCTTTGATGAACATACAAGTGCATGTGTCTTTTTGGCAAAATGATTTATTTTCCTTTGGGTATATACCAGTAATAGGATGGCTGGGTTGAATGGTAGTTCTGTTTTAAGCTCTTTTTTTTTTTTTTTTTTTTTTTTGCTGCTCTAATATGTTGTTTTTTTTTTTTTAAATTATACTTTACGTTTTAGGGTACATGTGCACATTGTGCAGGTTAGTTACATATGTATACATGTGCCATGCTGGTGCGCTGCACCCACTAACTCGTCATCTAGCATTAGGTATATCTCCCAATGCTACCCCTCCCCCCTCCCCCCACCCCACCACAGTCCCCAGAGTGTGATATTCCCCTTCCTGTGTCCATGTGATCTCATTGTTCAGTTCCCACCTATGAGTGAGAATATGCGGTGTTTGGTTTTTTGTTCTTGCGATAGTTTACTGAGAATGATGATTTCCAATTTCATCCATGTCCCTACAAAGGACATGAACTCATCATTTTTTATGGCTGCATAGTATTCCATGGACTATGTTTTTATAGGCCTGATATTTTCTGGAGGCAAACTAATTCCAGGCAGACAGGAGGAAACCAGCGTATATGGACATCAAGAATCTTCCCAGGACACACTGGATTTCAAGTCCTGACCCCCCTAACTCCAGTCCCCAGTGAGAACAGACCTGAGAGGACTGTCTGTGAATTTCATGGTTCACGATCTCACCTTGGGACACTGACATCCTAGACCTCCAAGGCTCCTGTGCCCCCTTTTCTGCCCTTGGTAGAGAGGGAAGGGGAGGGTGGGATGAGGTGCCCACCCAGGGTACCTTGGTGGTTTTGACTTTGTGTCCACTGCTGCAGCTCCATCCCGACAGGTCCGGGAGCACCTTACACTCCTCCCCCGGCAGGCAGGGCTCCATCTGACACCACCATCTCTGCAGGACGATGGAGGCTGTGGGAGCAGGAGGCGGAGTGCAGCTCTAGGGTCTCTACGAGCACAGTGGGCAGCCAAGAGCAGGTCTGCGAATGAGGTGCACGTTTCCACACACCCCTGGCCTTGAGCCATGCATTTCCCTTGTCTTTCCCCTACTCCAGGCTGCCCAGAGAGGCAGTACTCAGCCTGAGGCCTGGGGACGTAACCCTCTCAACTTTAATCCCACCGATCCCTGCATCTCCCCAGACAGTGACGGGTGAAGGCAGGCAAAAATGTCTCTAAGGTGACCATGTCACTAGCATCGATGCACAACCAGTATACTCCCTCTGTGGTGTGTGAGCAAGGGTGTGAGTCGTCTGGAGGGGTCTACAGACCAGGAGTGCATAGCTGGCATAGCTGGTATGCGCGTGACACAGTGGGCATGTGTATGGGGTGCCAAATGAGTGTTAGGGTAATGAGTGTGGGTGTGAAGGATCACACGTGTCCACATAGGAAAGTGTGAGAGAAGGGCTGAGAAGGAGAGGAGAGTAGGCTGAGACAGCCAGGGGAAGGAGCAGCAGGGGAAGGAGCTGGAGGAAGTGTGTGGGGAGAGGAGTGGGGCTGTGTGAGGGAACGCTCCTGTGTGTGCAACAGGCAGAGGGCACGTGAGTGTGGGAGGCTGTGCGCATAACAAGAGCTTTTCTCATCTATGACACAGGGATGGCCACGTCTGCCCTCTTCTCCCAGAGGGGGCCCCACCATTTGAGACTGCTCATGAAAGCCCTGAGACGGGTATGAAATTGTATCCCCAGCAGATGGCGAGGCCTGAACAGGCCTCCTTATGGCTCTGCTCAGGGCCCTGCCCGGGTCCTGGCCTCTCACTCACCGTCCACGCAGGAGGGCTTTGCCCGCGTGGTGCCGGCCACCTGGCCAGAAAAACAGGAGCATTTCACCGTCTGGGAGCGCTCCTCGATGCGGTTCCGGTTGCAGCAGCGGTGAGCCGCAATCACCTCGCAGGTGCCCTGCTGCACAAGCACTGAGGGGAGCCGCCCAGGATCAGACGCCCAACACGCCCGACCCCGCTCCCTCCCGCCCACCCGGGCTGGCCTCCAGCCCCTCCTCCCTGCTGCAGGGAGGGCTATGGAAGAGACTGCCAGTGGCAGGGGAGGAGGAAGTGGATGAAATCTTCCCGCCGCTTCACAGAGCTCCTATTCTTCCTCCCTCCCCTGTGAGGCCTGTGCTCTTCACCCTTTGGCAGAGCACGGCCCCTGGGCAGAAGACAGAGTCCCGCACCAGCCCCGCCTCCCCAGCTTCCTCAGGGTGAGGGCAAGGGCCCCAGGGCTTACAATGCGTGGGGAGGATCATCCGCTTACACAGGCTTTAGCCATCCCAGAAGGAAAACCATAGAATTAGGCCAGGAGGCTAGAGATAAGCCCTCACCCGAGGGCCTCTCTCACTACAGAACACCTTCCAGCCTGGAAGGAGAGGTGAGCAAAGGGTCTGCCCAGACCTTCTCTGGGGCGGGACAGCTGGGGTGGGCAGAGATTCCTGGGTAAAGAGCAGAGGAGGAGCCGGAACCCCTAGAATCTCTGGATTTTACTCTGCCTGGGAGACCTGCCTGCTATGGAACACGGTGGAGTGGTGTCCAGCTCCCCAGGTGTCCTGGGAAACTCCCTCCCCGGGCCCTGCCACCTCCTCCAAACCTGTGGCAGTGGGAGGCTGCAAGGCAGCCAAGGTCAGGTGGGTCCACAGCCAGGCCAGGCACAGTGCCAGCAGCCAGCCGCCCGTGCTCCAGTTCCGCTCGACCCTCTCACTCATCCTGCGGAGAGAAGCACACATTCTGCTCAGCTCCAGGCAGAAGCTCCCCTGTGCACCTGGGCACCTTCTCTGTGCCACACACTCTGGGAGGCACAAAGATGGGGAGGAGGCACACCTTGTCCCCAGGCATCTTTCGACCTGGCACAGAGTCATGCAGGCAGTAGTGAGTGCTGCAGGAAGAAAAGGAGAGCCTTTGGAGGAGACAACATTTAAGAGGCATCTTGGAGGATGAACTAGCTATGGGCCCATGGAGGGTCGTGACATGGGAGGGACAATAATACTGACTCCTACTCTTTGAGTGCTTGGTTCCAGCACTTCACATGCACACTCTTGAATTCTTCACAACTGTCCTACAAAGCAACATTATTATTACCTGTTTTACAGATGAGAAAACCAAAGCTCAAAAAGCTAGGACATAACCTAAACAACCATCAGTAAAAGACTGGCTGAATACATCGTAAAGAGTCTGTACAAATGCAGTCCCATCCAGATAGCTGTAAAAAAACCAATGGGGAATTGCTTTATGTCCTGACACATGCAGTGATCTCCAGTGATAATCCACTGTTAAGGGGGAAAAAAAGCAAAGTGTAGAATGGTGTGTATACGATGTGTATAAGGCAGGCCAGGAGTGGTGGTTCATGCCTCTAATTCCAGCACTTTGGGAGGCCAAGGCAGGAGGATCACTTGAGGCCAGAAGTTCGAGACCAGCCTAGGCAACATAGCAAGACCCCATCTCTACAAAAAATTAAAAAATTAGTCAGGCATGGTGGTGCACACCTATAGTCCCAGCTACTCCAGAGGCTGAGGTGAGAGGATCAGGAGTTTGAGGCTGCAGTGATCTATGACTGTGCTACTGCACTCCAGCCTGGGCAACAGAGTGAGACCCTAGCTCAAAAATAAATAAAATAAAATGTGTATAAAGGAAGGATTATCTATGTTGCTCAGATATGCATAAACTAGCTTTGAAAAATATATTTTAAAACTAGTAATATTGTTTGCCATCCAAAAGGGAAACTGGTTGGTTGGGAGATGGAGGTAGAAGAGAGACTTTTTCTCCTGATTTATTTCTTGCTTTTTGAGCTGCCAACCACGGGAATGCAGTAGCACTTCAATTTAAACAGAATTTAAATTTAAAAAGGAAGAGGTGAAACCGAGGCTAACAGAAGTCAAATGACTTGCCCAAGGCCAGGCAGCATGTGGGTGGAAGAGTTCAGAGCCTAGAAGCCTGCCCTCTGCCCACTGCACCACCTTGCCTCTGTTCTCTTCCCCTTTCCTTTTCCTCTTTCATCGTTGATGGTTTGGGCCTCCCAAAGCTACCCTGAAGGGTAGGCTGGAAATGGAGGGAATCCTAAGGAAGCAAGAGGCACAGAGTAGCTAGGAGCTGCCCAGCCATTGAAGGGAGCAGGAGAAGTCCCAGGATGCAGCAAGGCCAAAAGCTCAGGGGTGAGCCTGGACCACTGCTGGGCCCCCACAAGTGCCAGTGCAGCTTTGGGAATACCAGAGGCCAAACCAACTGCTAGGACCCAGTTGCTCCTCAGATAGGGTACTTGATCTCTGTCCACCCCCGCTACTCCCCATCTTCAATGTCTCCCCACTTACCTTTTTGGGGATCTTTCAGTTTCTGTCTGTTCATCTGCTGTCCTCAGACTCACTCCACCTGGACAAGTAGGAAAGATTCATAGGGGGTTGCAAAGGATAGAGGGAGCCGATGGCTCTGCAGGGGGTGAAGGAGAACCTGGGAGAGGGCAAGGGGGTGGGCTGGGCACTGAAGTTCAGCCCAATTCTGAAGCTGTTCTCAGGTGCCAGGGCAGGGACAGTCTCTTCTGGCCTGGGAATCTGGAGGGGCTCTTGCAGACTCTGGGATCACACAGGGTGGTGAGCCTGAGAAGGGTGGCCTGAGGGAGTTTCTCTATCCCAAGAGTGAAGCAGGGTGATGGTAGGGAGGGGTCTAAGAATCACAGCTGTCATCTCTCTGGCCTTGGGAGGGAGCTGAGGGTCAAGGAAGGAGCAGAACCTGACAGATTCCTGCTGGAAGAGGCACGTGGGAGATACCTGAGGCCCTGATCCTCTTTGCTTCCACCTCCTACCCACTATGGCACCTGCTTCCTGGACTCACATGGAGCTGGCTTGGCTTAGCATCCCTTGCCCCCATTCCCACACCAGAGGGCTGGAATGGGGACACTCCAGGTCCCTGAGCCTTTGAAGGCCACAGCCTCCAATAGCTTTCCATTTCTCCCTAAGAACCTCTCTTCCCTCACCTCTCTAAAGGGAGGCAGAACTGAAACATATAGGATGGTGGGGCCCCGGAAGGACAGAGACCCCTGAGTCCTAGCTCCTAGGAGCGAGAGCATAAGGGGAATCTGGAGGAACACAGAGAAGAGGTGCCAGTTCCCAGGGGATGGGTGTGCTCCCTGGGCTGAGCTTCCCACTCTTCTAGATGTGCCTCTTTCCTGAGTAGAGATCTCTTCTCCCTGCCCTCCAGGAACCCTCCTTTTGACCATCACAAATGCAGCTTTGTCTTCTCTCAGGTGATCCTATTTCCCTCTGAGCTGCAACATCCTCCAATCCAACTCAGGCATCTCTCCTAGGAACCCCAAGGCCCAAAAGACCTTGGTGGGGTGGGGAGCAGAGGGGTGGGGGTGTTCATTTGGGCTCTCATCCCTGGCATTCTATTCCCTCCCTCCCTGAAACAGCTGGACATAGAAGCTTCTGGGATGTGTTTTTCGACTTCCATGCTCCTGCCTCAATTTCCTAGCCTATTTTTCCTAAATCCCAATCCAGGGGTTTAGTGAGGCTGAGTTAGCAGCCTGCATTACAAGGGTTTGAGGATGTGAACCACAAGAATCTTCAACCTTTCTTCACCTTCTCTCCCCACAAACCCCCCTAACGCCTACTCATTCCTCCACATTCTGAGCCCCCACACCTGGGACCTACCTGGTCCACGGTGATGCCCACTGGTTCGATCTGCTGGCCTGAAGTCTTCCTTGCCACTGAGCCAGGGACCAGCACTCCGAAAGACAGACTTTGGGAGGGAGCGGCCAGCTTGGGTGCTGTCTAGTCCGGAGCCCTGTCCCCTTCACCAAGTTGCTGCGCCCCCGGGACAGCGGGGTTCTGGTCAGGTTGGCATCATCCGCAGGGCGGGCCGGGCTCTGGGCACAGGGGAGCTCTGGGCCCGGCCCCGCCAGCTCTGCAGAACTCAGCCGGGTTTTTTCCAAGGTTCCTGCCGGCAGGCCGGGGAGCGCGCAGCCGCCGCCGCAACCGCCGCCTCGCCCCGGGCTACCCCCGCTCCTCCAGCCCCGCGTGGGCGCCGCCGCCTCCTTCGGGACAGTGCCAGGCGCTCGGCTGAACGGATGGGCACAGCCGAGACGCAGCGGCCCCTGGCGGCCGAGGGCAAGAGGAAGGGAGAGAGGACATCCGGCACCCGCAGGTTCAGTGAGGATGGACACCTCCGTGGTGGCAACTCAGAGGAGGTCCCTCAAAACCCTGAAGGTCTTGTGGCCCCCAGTGCCCTGGCTCAGGGGAGGTGGAGGTGCTGGGGGGAAAGGAGCTGGGAGTGAGGAGTGATTGACTAGACCCTCAGGGTTTTTGAGCTTTGAAGATTGCAGAACTGCATTGTCCAATACGGTAGCCACTAGTGGCATGTTGATATTTAAATTTAAATCTAAATTAATTAAATAAAACTTAAAATTCAGTTCCTCATTAGTAGGCACCATATTTCAAATGCTCAATAGCCACACGAAGATAGGGACTGCTGTATTGGACAGAGCAGATGTAGAACATTCCCGTCAGTGCACAAAGTTCTGTTCAGCAGCACTCTTCTAGAATGATATTTAGGAGGGAATAGTAAATATCTCTTCCTCTCCCAGGAGTGGTGCTCTCAGGGGCTGGGAGGGCTAGAGGAAGTATGAGGGTGTGGGCATTAGGCAGGAGGACAGTAGTAGGCTATGAATGGTCCCTATGGATGTTAAGTGTGAATACCAACATGGGAACCAAATTCTGAGACCTAGTTTCTTGTTTCTCTTTCTTTCTTCCTTCCTTCCTTCTCTTTCTTTCATTCTTTTTCTTTTCTTTTTTATTTATTTATTTTTTGGGGACAGGATCTCATCACTCTGTCACCCAGATCTTGGTTCATTGTAATCTCCACCTCCTGGGATCAAATGATCCTCCCATGTCAGCCACCTGAGTAGCTGGGACTATAGGGGTAGTCTGTAGTGCACTACCAAGCCAGGGTTAATTTTCTGTATTTTTTGTAGAGACAGGGTTTTGCTATGTTGCCCAGGCTGGTCTTGAACTCCTGGACTCAACTGATCCATCCACCATGGCCTCTCAAAGTGCTGGGATTACAGGTGTGAGCCACCACTCCTGGCCTGAGACCCAGTTTCTTTATCAGAAAAATTGTAATGTAATTAATTGCAACTGAATAATTCTTTACAGAGATCTGTTTTGGATGCGAATGTATTAGACAAATGAGAGGAAGTGGTGTTCTGTGAATTTGAAGGGACTTTCCTCTTAGTTTAAGAGGCCTTTGGGTTTAGGGTGATGTGAAGGGGAGAGACAAGGCAGAAGATGACCAGTTCTGGGCCCTGAGCCACCACTGTGGCCTGAGATAAAGGGGCCTGTCTTGAGGCTGTCCAGTCCCCCTCCTTGGTTCAAGCTTCACACTCCCCCAGCAGGGCCAGCCACTAAGCAGAGTCTCACTCTTCACAGAGAAAAACATCCCACAAGTCTGCTTCTTCATACCCCATCCCCTTTTCTCTCTCACTTTCCGCTGCCTCAGGGATGAGTAGAGGTGATGACCTCACCAGGTTCTGGGGCAGTCTGAGGATGGAGGAGGCATAATGGTGCCAGGAATAGGAGGTGAGAGGTTCAGGGAGGAGGAGCCTTAGGATTAGGCCATGGCTGGGGGCTGTTCTGGAGCCCCAGGGAGCTGTTATTCTCCCTGCTGATCATCTGGTGCTGGGGCTGGGGGGGTCTCTTGGCTTAGCTTTGCGGACAGCTTGCAGCCACACCATGGTGGGTGCTAGAAAGGGCAGGGAATAGGGAGCTGGGTGACACGAAGAAGTGGTAAGTAAACTGTCCCAGAAACACTGAATAATAAAAACAACCAGGAGTTATATTTGTTTCTTCAGTTGCTGGCTTGCTGCTGCTGTTATTTATCTGAGAGTTGGTTCCAGTTTTTCTCAAATAGCAGGGGAAAACCTATAGAAGCAGCCTGTTCTTTGTCCCCGTCTTCTTTTGCTGCTCTATTTGCCTTGGGGTCTGTTTTTTTTCTCTCCTGTGACTTCTTTTCCTCTGTCTCTCTCTGCCTAAAGCTCAGGTGTAACAAAGCAGGCATAGTAAGTCTACCAACCTGAAGGACCACTGTGGGATCTTTATTTGGAAGCTGCCAAGAAAGTCATCCCTTCTGGGGACACAGTTTAGCCTGGGGAACAAAGTGGTATGTGGTCAGGAAGCACCTGGCCGACAGAGCCCAGAAAAGTTCCAGCCGTGAACTGGGTGCCGTAGTCCCTGATGGCTACTTCCAACTTGCTTGAGGGCCACAACGGCGTTGTCCCCATTTGAGATGTGTGGATGGGTGGTGTCTGTGGATACCTAGCGATCAACTTTCTGATAGGAGGTTTAGAGACAGAGCTCTTGTGGCATCAGGTCAGTACCACCCTCTCCCAGAGGGGAGAAGTTAGGAAGAACGGGCAGCCAACCAGGCATTGGGCTCTGTCCTGGTCTTCCAGTGAGTGTGCTTTTACTCTTCTTAGGCAAGGGCTTAGCCTGGCCTCTGTCTCCCCCTGGCGGTAGACACAGAACTTGCTCAGCATTCCCGGACTGCTCTCAGCCCTGGCCCTAAGAGAAGGATGGGAGGGGAGGAACCCCCACTCCTCTCTCTGCCATTGATCTCCTTTCTAGCCCTTCCTCCCTGATCCGGAGAAGTAAGCTTGGTTCTTAAGACAGAGCAGGTTTGAATGTCAGGAGGCCGACATAGGTGTGAATCTTTCACTTGACCGTGTGACCTCCTGGGGCAAGTCACGGTAAAATGACAGGAAGCGTCCCGTCCTGCCTCATCCGTGAAACTGACAGAAAAAAAACCATCTTGAAGGATTGGTGTGCAGTATAAATAACCTAATACTGTATGGAACGTGCTTTGTAAAGGGTCTAGTATGCAGTACTTCTTCAATAAATAGTATTTGTTATGTTGTTATTATCCTATTAATAGCTTGTCCTGCTGTGGTCAGGGAAGGTCTGCATTGTGGGAAAGACCTGGGTTCTGAGAGAGAAAGGAGGGTGGGAGTAGCAACCGCTCTCCCAGATCTAGAGGTGGTCTTCACGGGGAACAGCGCATCAGGAGCCCAGGAATCTACCCCGGCTCCTGATTCCGGGGTGGTCGGCTGCAGCCTGCGTCATTAATCCCGCAACCCCACCCGGTACCAGCTTGCCCGCTCTCGCTCCAGCAGCCCCATCCAGAGGTGGTGTCACACCTGGCGCCTCATACCCAGCGGCTCCCAAGCGCCTGTTTTGCTCTGAGGTCATTAGCTCCATGGCTCTCTGGGCTGGCTGGCCACACCGAACCGAGAGCGAGGAGACCGCACCCCCTTGTCCCTCAGCCCCCGTCACAATGGAGACATTCTAGCTGTGTCTAATCTAGCGCACGGCTGAAATAAGGTTTCCTTCTCTCCGCCCCCTTCCCACAGCAACAGAACCTACCCCTAAGAAACGGAGGCGGGGCCAAGCCGGAATGGGGCGGGGCAGAGGCCGGGGACCCGTGGGCCGGTTCCTGGGGTGGCCCAGAGCAAGGGCAAGTTTCGCCCGGGACCCGCCCAGCTGGCCGGGAGCCAGTAGCAGGGAAGGGCCGGCTGGCGCGAGCACCGCCCACGCGGAGCCATGGGGGCGGGGCCTGGGCGGGGGCGGGGCCGCGGCCGAGGGCGGGGCAGGGAGGCAGCATGCTAAACCGGGTGCGCTCGGCCGTGGCGCACCTGGTGAGCTCCGGGGGCGCTCCGCCTCCGCGCCCCAAATCCCCGGACCTGCCCAACGCCGCCTCGGCGCCGCCCGCCGCCGCTCCAGAAGCGCCCAGGAGCCCTCCCGCGAAGGCTGGGAGCGGGAGCGCGACGCCCGCGAAGGCTGTTGAGGCTCGAGCGAGCTTCTCCAGACCGACCTTTCTGCAGCTGAGCCCCGGGGGGCTGCGACGCGCCGATGACCACGCGGGCCGGGCTGTGCAAAGCCCCCCGGACACGGGCCGCCGCCTGCCCTGGAGCACAGGCTACGCCGAGTGAGCGCCCCCTGGGGCACCCAAACCAGGATGGGGCTCCCACCCCTCTCCCCAGCTCCGCATCCCCGGCGCTAGGACGCGTTCCCCACGCCGCGTCCGGGCCAGGAGCTCCCTTTTCCGTGGACCTTTGCTATCCTCTGGTCTTCGGGCCGCACCCCCTCCCAACCCATTTTCCAGTGGGGGGCAGCCTGTGTCACCTTCTTCACGTCCTTCCCGCTCATTGACTGCCCTCGCCCACGCCGCCTCAGGACCCTGTTCTGCCCCAGAGCCCGGAGGGCGGAGAGCCCGGCGAAGGATGAGTTGGCCAGTTCCCCGTCGCGGCCCGGCAGCTTAAAGGCTAAGGGAAAAGGGGTTTCACGAAGGAGCGGGGTTCTTTTTAATAGGGGACATAGCGGTTGGGAAGACTCGCTCACCCGCTTCCCGGCTCCAGCGCCCCAGTTCCCTGTCCCTCTTACCGTAGTTCCCCTCCCCCTCCACACCCAGAAATAGCCCGCGACACCAGGAGGCCGCCAGCTTCCCCAGGAGCGGGGAGGGGGACGCCCGGGGTAGAGGAGGGTCCCATTTAGATGCCCTTCAGCCTGCCAACTCGTGCTGGCCTGGCAAAGAAGCGGACCCCCTGCCCGGAGCGGCCGGCTGGCCCCCGGGCTGTGTGTATTTTAAATGCATCTGCCGGGAACGCAGAGCACCGAGGGAGATGGGGGCGCTCAGTTCGCTGAGGAAGGTGGCTGGTGGCCCATGGACCCACCACCACCTCCCTTAGCCTCCTGTGTGGGAGGAGTTTATGGGTATGTGGCTCCTGCCCAGTCCAGGTGGGCTTTCACTTCTACTCTATTTCAGTTCCTCTTTCCCGATCTGGGCTGGAGAGCTTCCTCATTGTTAAGGCAGCAGAAACTTTCGCTGGATGGTTTTAGGATAAGGGTGGGTGTGCCCATGAGGATGAGGTGCTGGGGACAAGGCACTGGGAGAGTTGATAGTGGTTGAGGGTGGGATGTAGGGTCTAGCTAGCAGGGAAGTAAAACTTCTGCTACCAACTAGCCCCTCCCCCAGAAGCACCACTAGGAATGCCTTTTTCTTTTTTCTTTTTTTTTTGCCAGGGATGGGGGAAGTGAGGCAGGCAGGGGACATAGCGGTTGGCCAGAAGCTCCTGCTGGCCTTTCTGTGAAGTGGTAGGGCTGGCCACCCAAACAGTACTCCTTACACCTTGCCAGCCCTCCCTTCTCCTCCTCCCTCTGGCCTGGATCCCAGGTGGCTGTGACCTTTCTCAGCTTGGCCAGCGGGCGCAGGAGACGGTGTGTGTCTAAGGTGGGGGTTATTCCAGGACCTGGTCTGGTGTCCAACCTGATGTGGTCATTCTGGCCTGGCAGGGTCATCAATGCTGGCAAGAGTCGGCACAATGAGGACCAGGCTTGCTGTGAAGTGGTGTATGTGGAAGGTCGGAGGAGTGTTACAGGAGTACCTAGGGAGCCTAGCCGAGGCCAGGTAAGACCCATCCCCTTTCCCAGAGACACAGTGACACCTCTCCCCAGGGACTCAGGCCTCTGGTTTTAAATCTGAGCCATGCGGAAGACCTGATGAACTCACTGGCTATCTACCTTCTGGCACAGAACCTTTACCTGGTATTCATCAGTTAGATTCTACCATGTAAGCATGAATGTTACTTTCCCACCTAAAATGTAGAGGCTCACATATTTATGGATGATTTAATTGCCAGTGCTGAGTTTTGGATCTGTTATCCTCTGAGTTTGGGTTTTTGAGCCTTTCCTTTCTCTTGACACATACGAAGCCTTATGTGAATAAACCTAATTTGCCTTCAGTAGCAAACACTGACCTCTCAGATGTTTGTATGGATGCCCAGAGTCTTGTTATTCACCTTGCATAACACACACACACACACACACACACACACACACAAACAAAACTCACCTCCAACTTTTCCTCCACCAGGGACTCTGCTTCTACTACTGGGGCCTATTTGATGGGCATGCAGGGGGCGGAGCTGCTGAAATGGCCTCACGGCTCCTGCATCGCCATATCCGAGAGCAGCTAAAGGACCTGGTAGAGATACTTCAGGACCCTTCGCCACCACCCCTCTGCCTCCCAACCACTCCGGGGACCCCAGATTCCTCCGATCCCTCTCACTTGCTTGGCCCTCAGTCCTGCTGGTCTTCACAGAAGGAAGTGAGCCACGAGAGCCTGGTAGTGGGGGCCGTTGAGAATGCCTTCCAGCTCATGGTGAGTGGGTGACCTGGGCCAAGAGCCTGCTAGGCAACCACTCTGGCCAACTCTGTGTGGAAGCCAGAGGGGGTTACCCTGAGAACCCACAACACCTTTGAGAGCCTGAGCAGAGCTTGGTTCAGAGGGGAGGGAGAAGGGGCAGTTACACCCCAGTCTTCCCTCCTGTCTTCCAGTGTAGCCTGGCTGGGCCAGTTGATTTCTACGGGTGGAGGGGGTAGGGGGAGGGTGACTGTGTGCTGGAACCTCTCCTTCTACCCACCTCTGACCCTTCCTTATGTGGCAGGATGAGCAGATGGCCCGGGAGCGGCGTGGCCACCAAGTGGAGGGGGGCTGCTGTGCACTGGTTGTGATCTACCTGCTAGGCAAGGTGTACGTGGCCAATGCAGGCGATAGCAGGTATGGGGGAGGGGGCTCCAAGGTGGCGACAGAGGGCCACACTCTCTGAGTTGGGGGAATACAGGAGAGTAAGGTGGCAGGGGTTAAAAATCAAGATTGGAGGGAGTCAAGAGGGGTGACAGACATAAGGAGTGGCCTGAAATATCCATTGGGTGGGGTCAGGGGCAGATATGGGGGTCTGGGTAAGAGATCTGAAAGGTCATTATGGAGAGGGCCTGGTCTTTCTGGAATTTTTCATGAGTGGGTCTGAAGAGAACCAGGTCCCAATTCCTTTTCTTTCTTTGGGCAGGGCCATCATTGTCCGGAATGGTGAAATCATTCCAATGTCCCGGGAGTTTACCCCGGAGACTGAGCGCCAGCGTCTTCAGCTGCTTGTAAGTAGGAACCAAATTCCCTACCCCCATTCTTTGTCGGGTCTTGTGCCTCCCTGCACCCCATGGCCCTGAGAACTCTCACACCCCCACCACAGGCACAGAAAGCACTTTACTGGGAAGGCCGCTGTGTGGACTATGGAGTGCGGGGCTGAGCCGGTGGGAGGTTGCAGCAGGGAGGCTGCAGCACTGGGCTGGTCCAGTGCTCCCACTGTGGCCCCAGCTGAGGCAGGAAGTAGAGACTGAGGTGGGGGAAGGAAACAGCAAAGGCCCCTGAAAGGCAGTCCGGCTTAGTGCCTAAACGCATGTGGCTGTGGAGCTGGAAGCCCGGGATGCATCCTGGTCTGAGTGCTTTGCTAATTGTGTGACCGGAGCAGTTCCCTCCCTTAACCTCTCTGTGCATCAATAGTTCCTGCCTTAAGGGCTGTTGTGAGGAGTAAATGAGTTAATATTTGCTAATATTAGAATAACGTGTGGCACATGGTAAACTCTGTTTAAGGGTCTGCTGTAGTCAACGTCATCTGTGTGCCACCGTGTGCTGTGAGCATAATGCCCCCTGGCTCTCTGTTCTGATCATCCCCAACTCCAGGGCTTCCTGAAACCAGAGCTGCTAGGCAGTGAATTCACCCACCTTGAGTTCCCCCGCAGAGTTCTGCCCAAGGAGCTGGGGCAGAGGATGTTGTACCGGGACCAGAACATGACCGGCTGGTAACACTTCCCTCAGAGCTGGGGCCCGTTCCCATGGCAACACAACCAGTCCCTCGCCCGCAGCAAGGTGGAAGCTGGAGGCTGGGAGTTGGGAGGATGTGGCCCTTCTAAGGGGTTTGTGTGAGGGTATGCAGCTCCTAGGGGAGAGGGGCTTTGATGCCTGGGTGATGCCTCCTCTACTCCCCCCTCCCCAGGGCCTACAAAAAGATCGAGCTGGAGGATCTCAGGTTTCCTCTGGTCTGTGGGGAGGGCAAAAAGGTAAACTCCATGGTAGAGGTGGGAGAGGGGAGGAGGACCTATCACAACTTGTCTAGGGAGGTGGAGGTTCTACCTGAGGGTAGGGGTGGAAGGGATCTTTGGTTTCAGAGAATCTAGCAGAGGACTACAGTGGCACTCCCTCCTCATTTCTTTCAGGCTCGGGTGATGGCCACCATTGGGGTGACCCGAGGCTTGGGAGACCACAGCCTTAAGGTCTGCAGTTCCACCCTGCCCATCAAGCCCTTTCTCTCCTGCTTCCCTGAGGTGAGCCCCTTAAACCACACCTTGCCTTCTCTGGGAGTCTCAGGCCAGCTTTCATCTGCAGTCCCTTTATCTCCAAGCTCCCTGTCCAGCAAACCCCACACCTCAATCCTCTCTGCCCTTTTCTCCCACCAGGTACGAGTGTATGACCTGACACAATATGAGCACTGCCCAGATGATGTGCTAGTCCTGGGAACAGATGGCCTGTGGGATGTCACTACTGACTGTGAGGTAGCTGCCACTGTGGACAGGGTGCTGTCGGCCTATGAGCCTAATGACCACAGCAGGTAGGGGCTGCATGGCATGGTGGTAAGGGGATGGCATTGGTGAAAGAAGGGTCAAAGGGAAGCAATGCTTGGGACCCCACATGTGGGCCTGTGTATCTGTCTTCCCACATACATGTTGGTACATGAATGTGCATGTGTGCTCCTGGCAGGTATACAGCTCTGGCCCAAGCTCTGGTCCTGGGGGCCCGGGGTACCCCCCGAGACCGTGGCTGGCGTCTCCCCAACAACAAGCTGGGTTCCGGGGATGACATCTCTGTCTTCGTCATCCCCCTGGGAGGGCCAGGCAGTTACTCCTGAGGGGCTGAACACCATCCCTCCCACTAGCCTCTCCATACTTACTCCTCTCACAGCCCAAATTCTGAAGTTGTCTCCCTGACCCTTCTTTAGTGGCAACTTAACTGAAGAAGGGATGTCCGCTATATCCAAAATTACAGCTATTGGCAAATAAACGAGATGGATAAAGGTGTGTGTCTGTATTTGCTTTGACTAGAAACTGAAAGATAAGAAGAAAGCTCTGTGGGGTGGTGGAAAGAGCACCAGAACAGTTCTAGAAATGTGGTGTCCCCCAGGTTCTTTATTCCACCCCCACTCTTTCCACTCCACGCATTTGCTGTGAGTGTCATCATCCACTTCTGTGGCCTCACCCATCTGCCCAGACCCTTCCTGAGCTTTAGACCCACACATACCAGTCATCTCCCGAATGTCTCCTGGATAGCCTGCTGGCACTTCAATTCAAATACCTCAAACTAAATTCACGACTGCCCTCCATAGCATGTTCCTTCTCCTGGTATATCCCCTCAATGGGCACCAGCTCTGCTGCTCCAGTTAGAAATCTTGGAGTTGGTCACCCTTGGCTTTCATTTCTTTCTCATCAAGGTAATTGATCACTAAGTATTGTTGACTATAGACCTTTAAAAGTATTTCTCTACTTATCTCCATCTCTCCCCGCCTTCAGTCACCACCACCTTTTACTATATTGGCCTCCTAAATTTAGTGGCTCCTTATTGCGCCTAGAACAAAATCAACACTCAACTCCTGTGCATGGCATATAAGGACCTTCATGATCCAGCCACTGCTTCCTTCTCCAGCTTCATTTTTTACCACCACCACCAACTTCCTGGGGTTTGCATAACTGTGGGCTTTTAGTAGCTCCAACTTATTCAAAATCTACTGCTGGACACGGTGGTTCACGCCTGTAATCCCAACACTTTGGGAGGCAGAGGTGAGAGGACTGCTAAGCCCAGGAGTTTAAGACCACCCTGGGCAATAGTGAGACCCCATCTCTACAAAAAAATAAAAAATTAGCTGAATGTAGTGGTGAGTGCCTGTGGGAAGCAGTTAAGCATCCAAGGAAATTAAGAGTATTGCTTATAGTAGAAAAGAATAAAGATCTCAAATCAGTGATCTGTTTCCACCTTAAGAGGCTAGAAAAAGAACAGCAAATTAAACCCAAAGTAAGTTAAGGGAAGCAAAAATAAAGATGAGCAAAATAATTAGAAAAGGCCCCTCACCAGCCTGGGCAATATAGCAAGACCTCATCTGTACAAAAAATACAAAAATTAGGTGTGATGGTACACGCCTGTAGTCTCAGCTGCTGGGGAAGCTGAAGTGGGAAAATCATTGGAGCCTGGAAAGTTGAGGCTGCAGTGAGCTGAGATCTTGCCACTGCACACTTAGGCAACAGAGACCTTGTCTCAAAAAAAAATTAAAATTAAAAAAATCTACACATCACCTTATCTTGAGAACTTCACCTGTTGTTCAGGACTGGGTATCGCACAGCCCACACATGCCCACACTACAGCAATGACCTCCGGTATTGTAACTGTCTACATTAGGAGTCAGTAGGGAGTAGGAATTAAGAACAGGGGCTCTAGAGTTCAGCTGTTTGGGTTCTAGTGTCAGACCCAGCACTAGCTCTGTAACCTCTCTGAACCTCAATTTGCTTCTCAGTAAAATGGAGATAGCTACCTCATGGGATTCTTGTAGTTAATGTATGTGGACCCAGGTCCATGTAATATGGATTCAATAAATGTTAGCTATCTTGAAATTGCATTCCTCATTTAGACTCTAAGTTGTTTGAAGGCAGAAATGGATCTTCCGAACATAGCTCTCAGTTCACCCTCGAGAAATGTTCATTGAGTCAGTTAAGAGGCCTGGGGCCAAACTGCTGCGGACCTGTTTTCACATTTGTCAAATGTCTGGATTGCACTTCAGATATTTAAAGTCTGTATGACTCCTAACATTCATTCATTCATCAAATATTTGTTGACAACCTATTATGTGCCACTCACTCTGCTAGACAACGGGGGAAGGGACAGGCTGGAGGAGCCCGTGAGGTAGCAGGGCCAGACCACCAGTTTGGAGCCAGACAGGCCCGGCTGTGTGAATTCTTGCTGTCACAAGTCAAAAACAGTTGTGTAAGCCACTTGATTTCTCTGAACCTCAGCTTCTCTATGGGCAAAAGGGGATGGGTATATTTTCCCCAGAGATCTGTGATGAATATTGAAAGGGTTAAGCTGTGTAGTGTCCCAAGCACAAGCCAATGAAATGTTGGTGGACGTCCTCATTCTACTCCCACCTCCTCAGCTCCCTTACAGGGAAAGGAGATACGCGTGTAGGTAAATATCCTATGCGCCAAGTCAGACCTAGGAGTGGGAACAGAATTCACAGCTGGGATCCAGAAGCATTTCTAGGCGCACCCTTTGAGGAGTAGGTAGGAATTGGACTCCTGGAAATTCCAGGCCCAGGGAAGAAAGCGAATTGTGAGGAGGAACGGTGGTCTGGGTCTGAACGGCTCTGAGAGGTCTTCAAGTTTGGGGGATGACGTTGGGCTGTACGATCCTAGGAACAAGAGGGTGGACATCTCCCCCCAACCAACACACCCGCGCCGGGCCCTGGGACCTCCCGGCGGATACCCTTTCCCAGTCCCGCTTCCCGCGAGGTCCCAGGTGCAGCAGGAGCGGGTGGCCGCTTGGCCACAGGAGGGCAGCAGCGGCCCTTCCTGACCCCACCCCGAGCACCTCTTAACTTTCCCGACGCCGGTCCTCCCCTAGGGGATTGAAGGCTGGGCAGAGTCTGAGTCCACCCGGGTCGTGCTCCCCCCGCTCGCCCGGCTCCTCCGCAGTCCAGGAATCTCCCCGTGGCTCTCCCCGACCTGGAGGGGTGGACGCCCCTGGCCCCCAGTCCCCGGCCTGCGGAGGGGGCCGGTGGCTGCGGCCCTGCGCGGGGCCGGGGCGGGCCGAGCCAAGGGCCGCCCCCGGCCGACCCTCCCCCTGCCGGGCCCGCCCTCCCCGCCGCGGCGCTGGAGGAGGGCGGGGCGGGGCCCTGGGGTCAGTCTGAGCCTCCGGCACCGGCCGCGCAGCTGGAGGCGGCGGAGCGGAAGGTACCCTGGGCCGGGGCTGCGGGCGGTGGGGCGTCTTGGGAACTCGTCCCCAGGAGAGCACTTTCCCTTCCTCGCTGGCCCGGAGATCGGGGCCCGTGCGAGGAGGGGCTTCGGCCTGGGCGTGGACCCCGTTCCCTCCAAGCGGAGTCGGCATCCGGGCTGGGCGGTGGTCGGACCGCGTCGGCCCCTCCCCGGGCTGCAGCGAGGGGGCCCGGACCTGCCGGCAGGGGCTCTGGCCTCCTGAGGTCCGAGTCGGAGCCCCTTCCCTTCTCCTCCCAGCTTCCCGGAACCTGCCCCGCCGGGCGAGGGGCGAGGGAACTTCAACTCAGACGCCCCAGCCCCCAGGGTGGGCGGCCGCAGGGGACCTAGAGTGGGATGGGGTGGGAATTCCTCCAGGCCAGGAGGGAGGTATGGCGGGAATAGGGGCGGGATGTGACCATTGGGGCCTGCCACTGCTCGGCAGGGTCTGGACGCCGCCCTGGACGGTTCCTGGAGCCCGCTTGTGTTGAGGATAAGGGAGATGGGGAAGGATCCAACTCTGTGTGTGTGTGTGTGTGTGTGTGTGTGTGTGTGTGTGTGTGTGTGTGTGTGTGTGTGTGTGTGTGTGTGTGTGGTGTGTGTGTGTGTGTGTGTGTGTGTGTGTGTGTAGAGAGAGAGAGAGAGAGAGAAAATGAGATTGAGAATCCTCCTTCTTCATACTCGAACCAAGAAAGAGTATCCTGGGGTTTGGGACTGGGATCCCGAGGCCGAGTCCCGCCCTCACTCTGGTTTTAAAGTTGAGAATGCAGTATCTCTTGGTATCTCCAGAACGGATTCCTTCCCTAGGTGTAGGGTGGGCCGGCAAAGTCAACCGGCCGCTCTGGATCATCTGGGAATTCAAGAGAGCGATTGGAGAGAGGTCTGATGTAGCCACACTGTCTTGTCTTGGGGAAGGCCCCAGAAGTTCCAGGCTCCATTCCAGGCCCTGTGTGGGGCTCAGTTGCCCCTCTTAAGGGGTCAGTGGGACAGTCCCTCTGGGGCTGCCTCTCACAGGGAGTTGTCCATGCCATCTTGGCCTTGGGCCTAGTGTCCTGGCCTGGGCTGCCTGCTGTTCTGGCCCAATCATAGCCTGGAGGGAAAGTCTTCTAATTGGGCTGGAGGCTCCAGGTCCCTTAACGCATGCCTCAACCCCGGGTTTCTGTCCTCTGCCTCCCACCACTCTGGTGCCGTCTGAATTACCCTGCTGGGGGGACAGCAGTGGCATACTCATGCCTAAGTGACTGGCTTTCACCCCAGTAGTGATTGCCCTCCATCAACACTGCCCACCCCAGGTTGGGGCTACCCCAGCCCATCTTTACAAAACAGGGCAAGGTGAACTAATGGAGTGGGTGGAGGAGTTGGAAGAAATCCCAGCGTCAGTCACCGGGATAGAATTCCCAAGGAACCCTCTTTTTGGAGGATGGTTTCCATTTCTGGAGGCGATCTGCCGACAGGGTGAATGCCTTCTTGCTTGTCTTCTGGGGAATCAGAGAGAGTCCGTTTTGTGGTGGGAAGAGTGTGGCTGTGTACTTTGAACTCCTGTAAATTCTCTGACTCATGTCCACAAAACCAACAGTTTTGTGAATGTGTCTGGAGGCAAGGGAAGGGCCACTCAGGATCTATGTTGAAGGGAAGAGGCCTGGGGCTGGAGTATTCGCTTCCTAAAGGGCAGTGTGAGGTGGTGGTGGGGTGTGGGGAGTAGAGGCGTTCAGTCAGCCCAGTTTGACAGGATGTGGGACTGAGAGAAAAAGCTAGGTTTGAGGCTGAGATCAGGTTACCGTCGCTTTCTTAACTGCTCCCTGCCTGGTTGGTGCTGGGACTGGCCCTCATTTGTCTCTTCTTTTGGGGCTCCTCCCAGCCCAGACTCTAGCCCCCTCCCCCTTCCCAACAGCCTTGACTTCATCTCAGCTCCAGAGCCCGCCCTCTCTTCCTGCAGCCTGGGAACTTCAGCCGGCTGGAGGTCAGTTCCCCTCCCCAGGGAAGGAGGAAGTGAGGGAAGCTGCGAAGGTGTGATGAACTGTGCAGATGCTCGCTGTGTGTGCTGGGGGTGGGGGACACATGGAAGCCCGGGAAGCTGACTCCTTGCCCTGAGTCACAGGGAGGGGTGGGCAGGGCATGCGGGTGAGCTGGACTGAGGGAGGAAGGGGCTGTTCCAGAGTGGGTGGAGGTGATTCCCTGGTGGATTCTTCTCAGTCACTGTGCTGTGGTAGATGTGTGGCTCCCTACAGTGTGGTCATTGTCCCCTGCCGGGGGCTGAGTGACCCAGTGTTGCTGGCAGGCCTAGGAGGAAGGGGGGAGGAAGGCAGCCTGCCCAAACTCGAGCTGTGGGCATTGCTGGGACTGAGCCTCCTTTGTATTACTTGGGGCTTTGGGGACCGGGTGGGGTGGACCAGGGAAGCTGGCTGGCTGCTACCCCTGTCCTCTGTCTGGGTTTCCCTGCTTCTGCTCTCCCTCCTGCCCCTGAGGTGACATGTCGAAGAGGCACGACTTTGAGTCACACAGTCCTGCTTTGGGTGCTGTCCCTGCCCCTTATAAGCCACAGCTCTGAATCTGTCTTAACCTCACTGAGCCTTAGTTTCCTGGTTTGTCAAAATGGAAAGTGCACCATCTACCTTCCAGGCATCTGGGTACCGAAGGAGATAATTCCTGCCAAAATGCCCGACAGAGTGCCTGGCACCTAGGGGCTCTATAACTATTCTTCCTTTACCCACCTACCACCTGGTAGCTGGTTCTGCTACTCTGGTCCTAGAGAGGGACTCCTCATTTGTGACTGGACAGGTATGACTTGTGCTGAGGGACAGTCTGTTCTAGATTGGACCTTAGAGATTATTAAACTGTAAATGCATCAAAATCCTGGTAACCAATGAAGTCTGACTCGAAACCCTGATGTGTGAAGTAGATAGAAGCTTGCTCCCTGGACGTCCCGCATCCCTGAGCAGCTCTCTAGCTACCTGGAGTCCCCAGGTTGGCAAGTGGATTAGATTGAAACTCATGTTTTCCAGCTCCCAAGTGGGGTCATCATCTACCTCCCACCACTGTATTCTAACCCATCGAGGGAGACCTGTCCCTGACCCAGAGATTAGGAATTTCAAGCTCTGTTGTCGCACAATTGGTGTTTTGCCAGAACATGCCTGAGCAAGCCCCCTGTCCCTTTGCTAGATGCCTCGGTTTCCAGGGAGGTTTGGGGGCCCTAGAGAAGTGTTTTTGGACTTAATGGCTTTTCCTCAAATCCCCAATACGTCTTTCCTGGCAGCCCCACCATGGCTGCAATCCGAAAGAAGCTGGTGATCGTTGGGGATGGTGCCTGTGGGAAGACCTGCCTCCTCATCGTCTTCAGCAAGGATCAGTTTCCGGAGGTCTACGTCCCTACTGTCTTTGAGAACTATATTGCGGACATTGAGGTGGACGGCAAGCAGGTGAAGGCAGAAATGCCCTTCCCACCCCACCCTGAGACCCCGCCCCCCAGTCACTGAATGACCTAGTATGTCCTTCCCCATTCCTACCCCTGTCTTTGCTTCATTCTCCCTGCTGGAACCAGTAAAAGTTAGGAAGTAAATCTGCAGTCTTAAAAAACCTGGATATACTTTCTGGTTCTCCCACAGACTGGCTCTGTAACCTGGGCCGAGTCCCTTTGCCTCTGGGTTTAAGCTCCCCCACCTGCAAAATGGGGATGATGGTAAGACCTCCCTCAAAGGGTTGTTGTGAGAATTAACCAAAATAATGGTGCTCACAGTGGCAACTCAAGGGTCAAACACGTCTTAGATTTCTTTAACAAACTGACCTAATTTATGTTGTGGGACAGTGATTAATATAATGCCTGGTGCATAGCAGGTGCTCAAATAAAGAAGTTCAGTGAGCCCGAAGGACAGTGGTTTCAGGGGACCTTTGGGTGGCAGGGTTGGGGCCCTCAGGCCAGCTACTCACTGGCCCTGTGTGTCAGGTGGAGCTGGCTCTGTGGGACACAGCAGGGCAGGAAGACTATGATCGACTGCGGCCTCTCTCCTACCCGGACACTGATGTCATCCTCATGTGCTTCTCCATCGACAGCCCTGACAGCCTGGGTGAGGGGATTGGAGGGAGGGGACTGAGAACCCCTTGGAATCAGCCAGAGGTCTCGTGCCTTGGCCTGTCTTCAGTCATCTTCAGAGGTGGGGGTGGGGATGCAGGGGAGCACTCAGGCCCTGTTGGTCTCCTTTACTGTGGTAACTGGCCCTCTGAGGGCATACTACTGTTGAGGTTTTGAGCTGTGAAAGGGACCATCATGCTGAATGGCTTCTAAGACTGCTCTGGGAAGATGAGGGCCCCCCCAGGGGAGCTTTCTAGCTTAAGTGGAGGCACCGACACCTGTTGGTGCATGTCTACACAGAAAACATTCCTGAGAAGTGGACCCCAGAGGTGAAGCACTTCTGCCCCAACGTGCCCATCATCCTGGTGGGGAATAAGAAGGACCTGAGGCAAGACGAGCACACCAGGAGAGAGCTGGCCAAGATGAAGCAGGTGGGTACGGCTGCCAGGCTGGAGCCCCTGGGGAAGAATGCACCCTCTGAGGGGTTGCAGACGGGCAAAGGGAACTTCTCTCCAGCTACTGCCGTGTGTTAGGGGAAACAGTAATATCTCCTGGTGAGGGAGGACCCATAGGGTTGTGTCTGATGAGGTATCAGAATGAAGTGACTTGTCCAAAGTCACTTGGCATTTTTATTTATTCCAGTTAATTGTCCATTCCGTTCAGAATTGGGACTATTAAGATGATTAAGAAAATCTGCCCTCGGGGAGACAGCTTATGTTTCACTTGGGATACCCAGGCTGTGCCATCAGAGTGCCCCTGGGGGAGGTGTAGGGATGTGGATGCGGGAATGAGGGCAGGCATTGTGTAAGTGGCTGGAAGAAGGGATGTGAGAGCTGGCTTATTCAGGGACCTGTAAGTGGCTCTCTAGCCAGAGGACTAGAGTTTATTAGAGAAAGCTGTCAGGATAAGAAATGCAAAGATAATTATGGCAAAGTTTCAAACTGGGGAGATGTTAGGTCTGTGTGTTAGAAAAATAATTCTGACTGGAAGAGAGTGAGGATGGAGGCAGAGCAGTCAGGAGGTGGGAGACGCTCATTCAGGCAAGAGAACCAGGGGCTGTGTGTGGGAGGAGGTGGGGCTGCATGGGAATGGAGGGAGTAGACTGGAGGGATTTTTGGATCCCTGGCCACGAAGCTGCCCAGGGTAGCTGGGGCCTGGGCGCTTTCTGGGTCAGGGCTGGAGAAGGAGGCATTTGTTCCAGCTGCTACACTTATGGGTGAGGCAGGAGAGGTTCATGTAGTCAACAGCTTCCTTTGACCCCTCATCTTATGTCTTCTCAGGAGCCCGTTCGGTCTGAGGAAGGCCGGGACATGGCGAACCGGATCAGTGCCTTTGGCTACCTTGAGTGCTCAGCCAAGACCAAGGAGGGAGTGCGGGAGGTGTTTGAGATGGCCACTCGGGCTGGCCTCCAGGTCCGCAAGAACAAGCGTCGGAGGGGCTGTCCCATTCTCTGAGATCCCCAAGGCCTTTCCTACATGCCCCCTCCCTTCACAGGGGTACAGAAATTATCCCCCTACAACCCCAGCCTCCTGAGGGCTCCATGCTGAAGGCTCCCATTTTCAGTTCCCTCCTGCCCAGGACTGCATTGTTTTCTAGCCCCGAGGTGGTGGCACGGGCCCTCCCTCCCAGCGCTCTGGGAGCCACGCCTATGCCCTGCCCTTCCTCAGGGCCCCTGGGGATCTTGCCCCCTTTGACCTTCCCCAAAGGATGGTCACACACCAGCACTTTATACACTTCTGGCTCACAGGAAAGTGTCTGCAGTAGGGGACCCAGAGTCCCAGGCCCCTGGAGTTGTTTTCGGCAGGGGCCTTGTCTCTCACTGCATTTGGTCAGGGGGGCATGAATAAAGGCTACAGGCTCCAACGTGTGTGGCAGCTTTCGGTCTTTCCCTCTGGGTGCTTGGTGTCCCATCTCTTTTCATGTCCAAGTTGCTTGCCAGCCTGGCCCCCTGTCTACAAAGCAGGCCAGTGGCCAGCAGGGTGGAGTCTTAGAGCAAAGGATGAGGTCATGCCTGGCTCTGGGCCAAGGAGGCGGGTGAAGGGAGTGGTCTGTAGCAGGGGGCTAAACTTAGAAACCTGTGGGTGGCTTCCCTGCCACCTCCCACTGGGTTTCCTCCCCCGAGTGTGGGGGCTGGGTTCCTCTCCAGCTGGGAGGGGATGTGACCCTCAGCAGGGCTGAAAGTCCCACCCTTCCCTACAGGGTCAGCTTAGGGGCTCAGGAAGCTGGGGCCAGGCAGAGGAGACATTATCAAGGCTTTTGCATAGAACAAGATTTTGTTTTCAGAGTTTTCTTCCTTCCCCTTCCCCCAATTGTTAGCAGCTTGATGTGTCATTCTCCCCAGCAGGGGAGGGGGTGGAATGGCTTGGGTTGTAAACTCCCTCCCCCAGCCTTCCTGTCCCTTGGAGGGGCAGTTCAGCTGGGTTCTGGTTCAGGGTCAGGCAGGCAGTTAAGGCTTGGCTGGTGCGAGAAGGCTGGGTGCTGTGTCTTCAGAGCTCATTCCTCCACTCTGGCTCCACTTGCAGAGACAGGCCCCCTTCACCCTCCCGCTCCTGGGGGAGGTAGTCATGGCTGTGGGGCCCTGGAAAGAGAGAAAGTACACTGTGTCTTCCTTACCACCTCCTCTGGCACTGTCCCCACCCTGGCCCAGCCATACCTGAGGTAGAGGGGCTGAGCTTGCTCAGACCTTGCAGTAAATTCTGTCCCTGTTGCAGGTCCAGTTTGGCAGGGAAGGGACACCCGGTATACCCTCCGTTTTCTTTACAGAACTCCAGGAATCTGTGGGGTACAGAGGAGTGCCAGCAGAGACTGGAGGCTAAGCCACGGTCCTGTCCCATCTGAGCTGTACTTGCTCAACCTCTGGATGTCATTTAACTTATAAATACAATAGTGATGCTGTGAAAATGGACACATCTGAGGATTAACTGAGCGATAAGCAAGCGCTTAAAAAAGATCCACCTGCCCTAGGCAGGGGCTGTGGCCACTAAGAGGGAGAATGGGGTGGGAATGCTCACACTTTCCAGTCAGGGTCATGGCCCAGGAGAAGGGGGTTCCCCACGATGATGAGCAGGGCCTTGGCCCGGGTCACAGCTACATTGAACCTCTGGAAGGAAGAAGTGGTGTGGTCATGGGAGGGAAGAGCCCCGAGAATGGAAGAATTCCTGCCACCCCGACCAGCCCTCAAACCTTGGGGTTCTTAAGGAAACCCAGATTAAAGTCCAGATCCAGCTGCACAAAGCTCTGGCTGCTTCGCACGGTGGAGATGAGGATGACGCTTCGTTCTTGGCCTTGGAATTCTTCTACTGAACCCACCTAGTGGGGAAAGAGGCAGGGCCTGAGACCAGCCAGGGGTGTCAAAGGGGTGCCCTACCCCAGGGAGCTTGCCTTCCAAGGAGGGTACAGAGAGGTCACTGGGCAATTGTAGATCAGTGAGTGAACCAGTGCTGCGACACGGCCCAGGGAAAGGGGATGGGAGGTAGGCTGTGGAAGCTGAAACATGAAGGTTGAATCCTGCTGAGGGCTGGGGCCTGCAAAGTGTTCTAAGGAAAGAAAACAGCATTGCAAAGAACACGGGAACTCAGAGCAGTGACTTTCAAACTTTCCTGAAAACAATCACTAAGTATCTGTTAAGAATATACAACCCTGGGCCCTAACCCGGACCCCCGATCAGAATTTCCAAGAGAGAGGCCTGTAAGTCTTAGAGCAGTGTTTTCAACCCTGGCTGCATATTAGAATCACCTGAGAAGCTGTAAAAACTACCAGTGCCCTGGCTCTGCCCCGATAGCTGTATGAGCTGGTGGGTGGGGCCCTGGCATGGGGGCGGGGTATTAAAAGCTCTCCAGGTGATTGTTATCTGCAGCCAGTGTTGAGACCAGAACCTTAAGAGAGAGGCTACTGGGGGTGGGGGTGGCAGCATCACATGACAGGCCACGGAATTTGGACTTTATCCTTAGGGCAGAGGCCTCAAACCTGCCTCAGTCTAAGAATGACAGGAGGTGTTTGTTAAACATGCAGGCTTCCTGATCCCATCCCAGACCCTTAAGTTGGAATCTCCAGGAGTGAGAGGCTCAGGGAGAGCTCGAGCTCTATTCAAGGCAGCAGGGGTGGGACGGGGACGTGGGCTGGAGTGGAAGCTTGAGGAAGTCTCTGGAAGTGGGCAAGTGGGGGCACACGGAAGGCAGGGAGTGACTGTGGAACAGCATGTCACCTTCAAGTCCTTGATGTCATCCAGTCCTCGAAGCTCCCTGTCAAGTTTGGTGATGCAGTAACGGATTTTCTCCACCTGGAAGGAGGGGACAGGTGCCTTTCTCTCGTGCCATTAACCTAATGCAAGAGGGAGCCTGGCAGGAGGCCAGGGAGCTGGGGAACAAAGGGAGGCGGCAGCTGACCTTGGTGCTCTTCTGAGATACGGAGCCAGCAGAGGCCTAAGCTCCTGGAGCCTCTGCCTAGTGGTCTGGATATTAAGGAGGTACCATCTGGGGGAGGGGCCCCACCCTTGCTGGTAACTGAGGACCTGACCTGTTTCCGGTACGGGGAGATGACGCCCACACTTCGAGGGCTCAGGCGAGCTTTGCCCTTCTTGGAGGAGGGGGCCAGGAGCAGCTTCAGGTAGGAAGTCACTGTGGCAGCCTCTTCAGGGTTGAAGAAGGATGGGCTGTTGCCTTCACGCTCATCTTTGCCCATTACGCCGTGAAAGATGATGGGAAAGCCCTGGACATGGGGTCGGGGGAAACCGTCAGCCAGACCACCCTCCCTCTATTCCCTCCCTTCCCAAACCCTTCCAGAGAGTAAGAGATCCTAGGCCAAGGTGACAAAGGGAGGGGCTGCACCTTCAGTGGGAGGGAAGTCAGGGTACAGGGGTGGGGCCTGCCCTGCTCAGCCTCACCTGTCGAGGTAGGCCCGCCCAGCGGCAGAAGCGTTCTCGATCCACGACATCAGCACAGGCCTGCAGCTCCCCTTCATAATAGAGCTGGTTAGGAATGTCCAGGATGGTGGGATGAGACCTGGGAGGCCGGAGGAGGAAAAGCAAGACCAAGGGTCAGATTCCCTCTGCCCTACAGGGGCTCCGCTCTACCCACTCTGGGCCCACACACAATAGCCTGCTACCCCGCTGGCTCCCTGGATAGCAGGACACTCCTCCATAATATCTGCTGCCAGGCACTGTAAACCACAGAAAGCAGAACCAAATATAGTTCCAGAGAGCATCTAGTCCAGGGACTCCACAGACCCATGACATTTAAAACTAAATAATTAGGGGCCCATTTTCAGGTTTCAAATTTACCAAGGACAGTACGAAACCAAATTCTCCTTGACTATCACGTTATTTGATGAGACCATGTGTTAAATCAAAAAATATAAGCAGTGATGACACAATAACTAACATTTATTGAGCTCTTAGTGACAGCATAAAACTTATCTAAGCATTTTAGATGGCTGAACTCATTCACTAAAAGTATACAGCTCTTTAATTTGAATAACAATAGGTTTATGAAAAAACTGTATCTTCCCTATTTTTCTTTCTTTTTTTGAGATGGAGTCTCGCTCTGTCACCCAGGCTAGACTGCAGTAGCGCGATCTCAGCTCACTGCAACCTCTGCCTCCCGGGTACAAGCGATTATCCTGCCTCAGCCTCCCAAGTAACTGGAATTACAGGTGCCTGTCACTATGCCTGGCTAATTTTTGTATTTTTAGTAGAGATGGGGTTTCACCATGTTGGACAGGCTGGTCTCAAACTCCTGACCTCAAGTGATCGGGGGTGGGAGCCTGACCTACCTTGGCCTCCCAAAGTGCTGGGATTACAGCCATGAGCCACTGTGCCCGACCTCCTCCCTATTTTTCTTATCTCTCCTTGGATTGCCTGAAAACTTCATCTGGGACTGGTACCAGACACACCCTAGCCTCTAGGAACCACTGACCACCCCCTAAGATGCAGATAAGCTGACTGGTGTAGTGTGAAACCACTGGCTAAGTCACGCAGACAACAAGCAGCAGTGCTGGGGCTAGAAAAACCTCCTGCCTTCCAGTTTAGTCTTTCTGCATCACACAACCTCTGAGCAACAGGACTGACAGCAAGCCAGACTCTCCAGTGGGGTCTGCATGCAGGATGTGAAAGCATAGGATATGGCAGGGGAGGCAAGGGCATGGGAATACCTGTAGTTGCGGAGCAGCTTGGTTATGAACTGGGGGTCATAGCCATCAGGGCCCTTCTTGTACAGGGAGTTGTAGGTGAGCAGCCGCTCCAGCAGTGAGTATCCCAGTCCATGCTTCTGGGTCAGTGGGGAACGCAGCACAGGCCCCAGCTGCCGAGGGTCTCCTGCCAGCACCAGCTGCCCTCCTGGATCACCTGTTTCCTTTACTTCCATCAGCCCTGGGAAGCAGAAGAGGTGTGGGAAGAAAGGTAAGTGGTGCAACCTCTCTGACCCACACAGGGTGTATACCTGCAGCCCCACCTGAGTCCCTCACCTGCTATAGCTACCAGACTCTCAGGCTCCATGCAGTGGCCAGCCTCATCGATGAAGATGTGTGTGAAGTGATCAATGGGAAACTGGGCCGAGACCAACCTGGGAGGTGTCAGGCCAGGCAGGGGTCATATCCAGGCACCCAACTACCAAACCTGAATGCTTTCCCAGGCTGGCTTCTCAGCACCCACCACCCCACTCCGGAAACCATTCTTCCCCATTTCCCCAGCCCGGTACCCCTTTAATTACACTTACGATTCAGAGACACACCCACACACACTCCCCACCTGCCGGCAGTGATGAGGGTGGTAATTAAGACCCGGTATTCCTGCAGCTTCTTCTTGGCGGGAAATACATACTCCCCCTTCTTTGCGTCCCAGTTGCAGCAGGGCTGTGGATTGTGAAGGGACCAGAGGAATCAGCTTGGCTCCACTCATTCCCACCGTGATTCTGGCTGTGGGTACCCCCCCTCAAACAATTATTTTTATTTTTTTTAATTGAGACGGAGTCTCGCTGTCCCCCAGGCTGGAGTGCCATGGTGTGATCTTGGCCCACTGCAACCTCCGCCGCCTGGGTTCAAGCAATTCTCGTGCCTCAGCCTCCCGAGTAGCTGGGGCTACAGGCACGCGCCACCATACTCAGCTGATTTTTTTGTATTTTTAGTAGAGACGGGATTTTGCCATGTTGGCCAGGCTGGTCTCAAACTCCAGACCTCAGGTAATCCATCTGCCTCGCCCCTCAAAGTGTTGGGATTACAAGTGTAAGCCACTGCACCCAGCCCCCCAAATGTTTTATCCACCCCCCTCACTTACAGACAAACTGAGGCCCAGGGAGGGGTCCTGTCCAACCCAAGGTCACATAGCAAGTATCAGAATCCAGGTCTCCTAGCTTCCTCGCCTCAGTGTCTGCCCTGAGAGCCTCCCCGGCATTTGCCATTCTTTGGCCCTCTGCACTTCCCTAGTACCTTGATGTCCTCAGGTACCATGCGGATGTCCCTGCTGGGGGCCAGGAGGCGGTAGATGGAGCTAGGAAGGTGGACCCGGAGCCTTTGACAGAGTAGGTCAGCCCCTGAGTTGGATGGAGCGCAGGCCAAGATGTGGGCTTTGGGCAAGTGCTTCACCACCTGAGATGCAGATAAGCGCAGTGTGGGAGGCAGGTTCCTGAGACTCAGCCGTACCCAGGCTGGGGCAGGGCAAGTCTATGATGACTGAAATGTGAATGGTGACTCCAAGATTCATGCAGTGCCCTACCCGTACAACAGTGCTCCACAGCCACATTTACCCTAACTTCCCACTTCCCCAATCCCCACCCTTTTTTTTGAGACAGAGTCTCACTCTGTCACCCAGGATGGAGTGCAGTGGCACAATCGCACTGCAGCCTCAAGTGCCCAGCTATTTTTCATATTTTTCATAGAGATAGGGTCTTGCAATATTGTCCAGGCTGGTCTTGAACTCCTTGGGCTAGTCTTCCCCAAGTGCTGAGATTACAGGCATGAGCCACTGCACCCGGCCCCTACCTCTCTTTCTGATGGCTGCTTAGAAGCAGGAGCATTTCGGGAGTGGGAAGGAACTAGAATCTGGGGACAACTGCTTGGTGCTGGGGGAATCAGAGTGCAGGCCCCAGGTTTGTGCTCAGACCCCACCTGCTTAATTGCCTCCACTAACGTGACAGTCTTGCCGGTGCCTGGAGGCCCAAAGATGATGTAGGGGGCTGGACGGGTGGTGCCCGTAACAATGTGCCTCATGGCCTGCAGCTGCTCTGGGTTTGACTCCAGACTCCGGTCGTACAGCCTGGCAGAGGGACCAGGAATGTGAACTTGAAGTCATCCAGTGACCCAGAGGCCTCCCTGACTCCACCCCCTGTGCCCACACTCCAAGTGGCTCCAGAAGCTCCCTGCCCACAGTCTCACTTGAGTTTCACATCTGAGGGCAGCAGCGGGACGTCCCGAGGTGCCACAGGAAAGAGCATGGGCCACAGCAGCCAGCGCCCTGTCAGCTCCAGGGCACGGTGCTGGACTCGCAGCGGCTGGCGGTTGAAGGTAAAGTTCACCTTGAAGGTCAGCCCATCCACAAAGCGGCTCAGGAGGCTTTGGGCAGAGAGAGGTGGTAAGAGTTTGTTGGGGCAGGGGAGGTGGGCAATAAAGGGCCAGAACTTTCTCCACCAACCAGTGTCCCAACCCCTCTTTCCAAGACCTCTATGCAAGTTCTCTAGAAGAGGAAGCTGCCGTAGCATCTCAGGGTACCCCTGAGGAAAAGTCTCCTGCTCTGCCCCGGGGTCTCATTTATCTCAGGGAGAAACACTCCTCCTCCCCTGGGGTCAGAAGTCTGTAGACCCTTCCAGCAGCTCAGGGTTCCCCCAACACCCACCTCATGGAAAAGCTCAGCTTGACACGGTCCAATTCCACCTTGTGCACAAAGCCCTTATATGTGATGGGGTCCTCCTGGTGTGTCTCCGAGGACAAAAGGGCAAACAGGTGGTCGCCCCGTAGCACTGAGGGGCGGCTCTCAGTCACTCCAGGAACCTATGGGGTGTGAACACAAGCAAGCTTCTGTCCCAGGGATGGACGCTGGAGGGCCCAGCCCCCAGGTTCCCCAGACCTTTAAGGGACAAGGACTGAGACTGGCCTTCTAACCTAAGACTCAGGGAGTTATGCTATCCCTGCACCCCTCTTTCCTTTCATACCAGCAGGAGTCAGGGGAAGAGGAAGAAGACAAATCCTCCGAAGCTGCCCAGAGATGCCGAGCCCAGGAACCCGGAGCCTCCAGTGCAGCTGCCCTCTTGGCCAGCTCAGTTCCTGCTCTGCCTATAAAAATCCTGTTCATCAGTTAATCGGGTTGCTAAAAAAATAATTAAAAAAAAAAAAAAAAAAAAACGGACCAGGCATGGTGGCTCACGCCTGTAATCCCAGCACTTTGGGAGACTGAGGCAGGCGGATCACTTGAGTCCAGGTGTTGCGAGACCAGCCTGGCCAATGTGGCAAAACCCCATCTCTACAAAAAATACAAAAATTAGCCAGGCGTAGTGGGGCATGTCTGTGGTCCCAGCTACTTGGGAGGATCACTTGAGCCCGGGCGGCGGGGATTAAAGCGAGCCAAGATCATGCCATTGCACTCCAGCCTGAGCACCAGGGTGAGACCCTGTCTCAAAACAAAAACAACAACAACAAAAAACTTGTTCAAAACTCACTTCCTGCAGTAATCTTTCCTTGAACAAACTCACCCTCTAATTCCCACCTGCAATTGTGTGTAGAAATCCATTCTCGTGTGTAATTTTGGGCTTATATGCACACATTGAAAATCCAAGAGCCAGAAAGAGCTCTAAGAATTATCCAGTCCAGCTCTGTGCTTTTCAGATAAGGGAACTAAGGCTTAGAGAAAGCCAGGGACTTACCCAAGGTGGTAGCAAAGCCTGGACTAGAACCCAGATCTTCCCCATTTCCCTGCTCCAACACATCTTTGGGCACAGGATGCCCACCCTGCTTCTTGCGGAGCCCTGGGAACCACTTCAACTTTCCTCTTGTTCTGCCCTGCTGTCAGGAATAGTTCTGCCCACAGCCTCTAGCTTGGCTGGCTTGAGCCCACCCTCCTCACACTCAATCTGAGCCCTGACCTCCAGCGTGAGCAGCCTGGGGTTCTGGTCCACAGGGTCCCAGGTCATGGGCACCGACTCCAGGTCATAGTGCCGGATATCATGCTCCATCTGCAGTTCCTCCAGGTGCAGCAGCAGCCGCAGCTTCACCTCATAGTTCCTCCACTTCAGGGCTGTCTCCAGCTGGGCCCTGGAAATGATGGTTGGGAGGGGTGAGTGGGGGCAGGAACAGGATGGGCCAGACAACCCCTATGCCCAGGAGTATCCACCTTCTCCCACCTGAAGCTCTGGAACTAGCGTCAAAAAGCAGAGAAGACTAGAGGGATACAGAAGTGGATGAGAGTCAGAGGCCCTGAAGAAGGAAGCCTTGGCTCCTGCTTCCTTGGATGCCCCTGCCCCCACCTCACCCGACTTGCATTTGCATGGTGGCTCTTATGGCCAGAACATTCTCCTCCAATCCTCTCATGACTCCCACCCTCACCTCATTCAAATGTCCTTCTCTGTTCAAACATCACTACCTCAAACAGGCCAGGACTAACTGGCCTTCTGCAAAGCAGCACCAACCCATTCCCTAACCCTGCTTTAGTTTCAGTATAGTTCTGTTCATCTTTTTTAGAGACAAGATCTTGCTCTGTCACCCATGCTGGAGTGCAGTGGCATGATCTGGGCTCACTCACTGTGTCCTCAACCTCCTGGGCTCAAGAAATTCTCCCACCTCTGCCTCACAAGTAGCTGGGACTACAGACATGTGCCACCACACTTGGCTAATTAAAATTTTTTTTTGTAGAGACAGAATCTCACTATGTTGCCCCAGGCTGGTCTTGAACTCTTGGGCTTAAATGATCCACCTGCCTCGGCCTCCCAAAGTGCTGAGATTACAGGCATGAGCCACTTACACCTGACCTGTTTAGTTCTTCACAGCACTCATCACTCCATGAAATTGTAACAAAAATGCTCATTGTCCCCCATTAAAATGAGCCAGGCCTTCATTTGACTGGTTCACCTTGAATGGTGCTTGGTGTATGGTGCGTGCTCAGTAAGGGAATGAATGAATACAGCCTGGGAGGCTGAGGACGGAGGTGCCAGGGCAATGCAAAGAAGCCAGTAGGTAAAAGACGGGAGAGTGCGGGGTGCAGAGGGATGGTACTTACTTGATCTCTGCGATCTCCTTAGGGGCAGTGAAGATACTTGTTCCCTGAAGAAGCATGGGGAGCAGCTGCCTGAGGCGGGGAGGTGGGTAGTATGTCCCCAGCGCCATACTTAACTCCAGGTCATAGCCCTTAGCGCTGCAGAATCGAGGGAAGAAAACACAGAAAACCCCTCACCCTCCAACACTCTGAGAACGCCCCTCTGGGGTGGATGCACAAAGCCCTCCTGCAATCCTACTGCTGAAGGGAAGTCAGCAGCCTCGCTCCAAGGGTGGACTACTCTCATTTTTGGAACATGCGATACTTGGAAACCTTTAAAACTATTATCTAAGTAATAAATGATCACTAGAGAAAAAAATCAGGTAATAGGTAATAAGTAAATATCATTCTTACCATCCAGGAATAACCAATGTTAACTACCAGACTTTTTTCCCTGTAAGTTTCTGTTATACATATATAGTCAACAAAAAGAGCACAATGGTCTGTGAAGGTCCTATTATGTAGTTTGCTTTTTTTTCTTTTTTGAGTCCCACTCTGTTGCCCAGGCTGAAGTGCAATGGCGCAATCTCGGCTCACTGCAACCACCGCCTCCCAGGTTCAAGCAATTCTCCTGCCTCAGCTCCTGAGTAGAGTAGCTGGGACTACAGGCATGCGCCACCACACCCGGCTAATTTTTTTGTATTTTTAGTAGAAATGGGATTTCACCATGTTGGCCAGGCTGATCTCAAACTCTTGACCTCAAGTGATCTGCCCGCCTCAGCCTCCCAAAATGCTGGGATTACAGGTGTGAGCCACCACACCCGGCTAGTTTGCTTTTATAACTCAGTATTTTGTGAACATCTAGCAAAAACAAAAAGAGATGTCTACACATATCCTACGCTTCCATCCATATGAAGTATCCAGCACAGAGAAATCTACAGAGACAGGAAGTAGATGAGCAGTTTCTTAGGGCTGAACAAAGTGGGTGGAGGATAAAAGGGTGATAGCTTTTTGGGATAATGAAATGTTCTAAAACCGATGGTGGTGATAGTGTCACATATTTGTGAATATACTAAAAAAATTACTGAATTGTGTAATTTAAATGGGTGAATCATATGGTATGTGAATTATCTCAATACAGCTGTTTAAAAAAACAGAGATGTTGGCTGGGCACGGTGGCTCGCCCCTGTAATCCCAGCATTTTGGGAGGCCGAGGCTGGCGGATCACTTGAGGTCAGGAGTTCGAGACCAGCCTGGCCAACATGGTGAAACCCCATGTCTACTAAAAATACAAAAATTAGCCGGGTGTTGTAGTGGGCGCCTGTAATCCCAGCTACTCAGGAGGCTGAGGCAGGAGAATTGCTTGAGCCCAGGAGGCGGAGGTTGCAGTGAGCTGAGATCACACCACCGCACTCCAGCCTGGGCGACAGAGCAAGACTCCATCTCAAAACAAAAACAAAAAACAAAACAAAACAGAGATGTCTACAATGATCTGCCTGATAATGCATCACACAGGGACAATGCCTAAAACTGTTTTCACTCTGTCCTCAGATCTGCAGTTCATCTGCAACTTTCTTCCTTGACAGAAAAATTCTCTGAGACCCAGAAGAGTGAAGAGCCTGTAGGAAAAGGGCTCTGGCTCCCAGCTCTGTGCTCTTCCCAAAGCCCTGGCCCATGTGGTTGAGATACGAGCCCAGCCAGGGCTGAGTTGGAGGGAGGAGTTACCGGTCAGGTCTCTCTCCTTCCTCTATCCGATTGGTCACCACAGGGTTTCCGGTGATCCGGGTCCGCTTGAAGGGAGTCATGGGCTTCAGCTGTGCAGCCAGGGGGCTGTGGGCGACGGCAGCCAAGAAGCGGGCAATGTAGAATGTGCCGGCTCCTTCTGAACCCGACTCCCCAGGTCCCAGCAGCTCCCAGAGCACTGTGGCTGGGAAGTAGCCCACAAAGCTGGTCTTACAATGGACATGGAGTTCATAGCATTCACCTGGAGGAGAATGGATGAGTGAATGGGGGTAGGGACCCTCCCACCCATATCCTTATCCCGGACACTCCCCCAGGAAGCCCCATCCCAAGGCAAGAGTCCCATGGACAGTGACAGTGTGTTTCCCAAAGCATAAGCACTGCCTGGGACAAGCCCCTGTCCACCAGCTCTTTCCTTTGGAAACTCACTCACCGGGGCCCAGTGGACAGGGCAACTCCTGGTCTTCATTGTAGAAAGCAAACTGGGGTGTCCGGCAGAGTGGGAAGAGGTGAGTGAGGGTAACAGACTGGGTTCCGCCATTCCGAAGCCTCAGGGTCAGCACCTCTTTGCGGTTCAAATCCAGGCGGATAAGGAGCTGCCCATCTCGGGCTTCATGGGGCCCCTGGACTTCCACATCCACACCATGTTTCCCATGAAGATACTCAGCCCTGGGGAGAAGGGGAGTCAAGGGGGGGTTGGGGTGGGAGCGGTCTGACTGGGGAGTTACCCTGGGGAAAGCTTTAGGCTTGGGAGGCAGGCAAAGTGCCAGCTGTGCTTAGGAAACTCACCCCCTCCCAGCAGACCAGTTCCCTGCCCTTCCCCCATTCCCTGAAGGAGGGGGACTTATTCCCACTTGTGTAACCCACTCTTTCCTCACACAGATAGCCCCCTTCCCTCACACCCTGCAGACCTCCCCGTACACACAACATACAACACACACACACCTGTCATAAAAGATCTTGGCTAGCAGTGACTTGTGGTGTTTGCTGATATCTGACCCCAGCTTCATTCTCCTCTTTTCTGGGAACCGCACGTCGGCCCAGCGGTCGAGTCTGAAGAACCTGACCCGAGTCTTGGTGACGTAGGCCAGATTTGCAATCTTCATTCCATACAGCATGGAGGAGAAGCCAGGGGCGGGGGTCCCAAAGCTGCCAGAAGCAGAGGAGACTGGGAAGTGAGGGAAGGCAGGGCTCGAGGGAGGCAGGGCGGCGGGTGGGAAAGGGCATCGGAGGGTCACTCTGTGCTGGACACACCAGCCCTGCTGTGGAGCAGGATGGGGCCCAGAGACAGAGAGACTCAGGCTGGGGATCGGAGGAATGTTTAATGTTTTCAGGGAAGGCAATGGGACTTCCCAAGGCAAAATACAGTTGTTTTAAACAGTGGGTTCTGGATTGTTCGTTTCTGAGGGGAAAAGCCCAATCACAGGCTGCTGACTGGAAGGACTGAGGGAAGACAGAGAAAGACATAAAGTTCTTTTTGTGGGGGAAACTGTTTGGGACAGAAAAGAAAATACAAACAACCCAGAAGAAAGAGCTGAGGCTAAGGGGAAGCGGAATGATTTGATTCAGAGGGGTGGATGTGGGGTCCAGCCTGTTGGTGAGGAGAGAAGGGATCAGAGACAGTACAGATGTCCAAGTGTGTGGGCAAGGTGGCTGATCAGACAGCAGTTTCCACCCGAAGTCATAGGGTGCAGGTGGAACCCAAGCAGGAAGGGAAAGGATCCTTCTCCAGAGATCAAATAGCCTGGCTTTGTGCCTAGAGAAGGTGAAGACAGGGAAAACTGGTCAGAAGGACAATAACCTCAAGGCTCAGTGCCTGGAGTTCAGTTCAGTCAATTCAACAAACACTTACGGAGGCCTGTTATGTGCCAGACACTATGCTGGATGCTAGGGGTTCAAAGATGCTAGAAACTCAGCGCTTGCCTCGAGGAGCACACAGACTGAACATATACATTCCAGCGTGGTGCTTGGAGGGCAGCTCATCGGCCACAGAGGGGCTCAGTGCCACAGAGGGACACTGAGCCCAGTCTGGGGGCAGAGGAGGTGTCCATGAAGGCCTTCCCAGGAGGCAGCATAAGAACTGAGTCCTGAGGATGAGTGGGCATTACCTGGGCACAAGAGGGAGCGCGAAGTGTAAGCAGATGTGAGAGGTACGCAAGAACATGTGCAGGGAGGGGCAGAGGGGGGCGGCCCACTTGACAACTCTAGCCAGGTCAGCTCAGTTGACCTCACCTCTCAGAGCCTCGCTTTCCTCCTCTATAAAATTGGAGGAAAGCGAGACTTACCTCGTAGGGTTGCTGTGAGGTTTACATGAGATTTTGACACGGCAGAGAACCACTTAGCACAGTGCTTGGCACATAGGAGACCTCAGTAAGGGTGAGCCATGATTAGTATCACATACAGTTTCATTGTGCTAGAGTGAAATGCACAAGGAAGGGAGTGGCAGGAGGAGCAGAGGTGGGCAGGGACCAGATCATGGACAGTTTTGCACAACAGGCCAAGCCTGGACTTGACTCTGCATGTCTGCAGTCGTTTTCCCCGCTCTACTGATACCCAGGAGCCTGAGGACATTCCCACGTGCCACATACTTCAGGGACATATTCAAGATCTAGATGACTGACACCCTCCCTTAAAAGCAAATCTTTGTTTATGAGGACTATGGTAATTCCTATTTAACTCTTCAGGCTAAATCATCATGGTCACTCACTAGGGTATGTGATAAGATCATTTATGGTTATGAGTATTTTTCAGGTGCCTGCTGCCTGTAACTCTGCCCCTCTCCTTCACCCCAAGCAAATGAGACTGGTACAATTTGGAAAACATTGAATTGGCTATGATTTGTTTTAAAAAGGTAATAAATCATTCAAAAGCATAATAGAAAATGCTCAGTAAATGTTAGCTACTATTGTTAGTATTTATATTAGTAGAAATAGTAGTACTAATAGTAGCAGTAGTAGTAGGAGTAGTAACAACTTACTTTCAGCCCACGTCAGAGGCTACACTGTGGTTACAGAACCACTGCGGTTGGTGGGTTTTAAGCAGGGGAGTGGCAAGATCATATTTGCATTTCAGATCACTCTGGCATCAGGATTGGAGGATGGATTTGCTGGAGGCAAGACTGTAGGCAGGGAGACCAGTTAGAAGAAGGCCCTTGCAATTGTCCAGTTAAAAGATAACAAAGGCCTGAGCAAGGCAGTGGGTAGAGATACAGAAGAAGAGCGGCAAGATTCGCTAATACTTAGAATGTAAAATTAGCAGAAATTTGGTGACTGACAGAAGGGGGAATGAAGGCTGGGAAGAGGGATGAGTCTAGGATCCCCAAATCAATGGCCTGGCTTCTAGGACTATCTCTGAGATAGGATGTAAGACAAGAGGAGGAGGGGTTGGAGGGACTGACCATGACATTTGGATTTGGATATGATGCGTTTGAGATTCCTGTGGTCCAGAGGCAACCAGCTCCACGAGTCAGAAGCTGAGAACTCAGGCCAAAGTCAAGGTTACAGCCTAGTATTAGGGAGTCCCCAGGTAGTGGTTATAATCAAGGAAGTGTAGGAATCTCCCCAGGGAGTGTGAGTAGTTGAGAGCAGCTACTAGCACAACCCGGGGAGGAAGGGAAAACAAGAAACCCTCAAGAGAGAAAGGAGAATCAGCAAAGTCTCAAAATCAGGTATCAGGATCAAAAGCTGCTGAGGGGTCCAGTAATACAGGGACTGAAATCAGGAGATCATCAGTAACTTTCACAAGGGCTTCTTAGAGTCCATCAAAGTCCCATGGATCGAGGCACAAGCTAATGCCTACAGCAGCTATGCTTCACAGGTATCTTGATCCTTGCAGCCCTTTCAGACACCTGTTCAGTCCATTTTTGAGAGTCACTAGTGTAAGAATACTGCATGCATATCCCTCACAACGCTAAGAAAACAAAGTGCAACCTCCAAGAAAAGTGGCTCCAGGCTCCCAGATCAATGCTGGGCAGAAAGAGGGCTTTGTGGGGACTGAACAAACTGGGAAGTGCATGCCCTGTCTGAAGCAGGTAACTGCTTATCTTCGAACGGGGCCAGTAGGGAATGCAGGCCCCGGATGGCCAGATCTGACTTTCAAGAAAAGACAAAATCAAAATTTTAACATGAAACCTCCTATTTTTGAAAACCTGCATGGCACAAGGGCAGACAGAACTCATCTCTGTAAAATTTCCAAATTCTACTGCAGATGCTATCCCTAAATATTTCTCAAATTATTCTCTATGTCTCTCATCACTACCCAAATTCACCTAACATTGGTCTAGGTAACAGTCATACAAAAATTATTTTTAAAAAATCACAAACTTATTATATTCTTGTCGGAAAAAAGCCCCAATCCTTGTATTATACATGTAATCCTCTATATTTATTTTATTTTATATTTTATTTTATTTTATTTTATTTTATTTTATTGAGACGGAATCTTGCTCTATCACCAGGCTGGAGGGCAGTGGCACGATCTTGGCTCACTGCAACCTCTGCCTCCCGGGTTCAAGTGAGTCTCCTGCCTCAGCCTCCTAAGTAGCTGGGACTACAGGTGCACGCCACCACACCCAGCTAATTTTTCTATTTTTAGTAGAGACAGAATTTCACCATGTTAGCCAGGATGGTCTCAATCTCTTGACCTCCTGATCTGCCCGCCTCGGCCTCCCAAAGTGCTGGGATTACAGGTGTGAGCCACCGTGCCCGGCCGTAATCCCCTATATTTCTAAGAAAAACTTTCTAACCAAGACTGGAAACCAGCAGCTATAAAATAAAACTAGGTCAAGTGTGGTGGCTCATGCCTGTAATCCCAACACTTTGGGAAGCTGAGGTGGTAGGACTGCTTGAGCCCAGGAGTTTGAGACCAGCCTGGGCAATAGTGAAAAAAAAAAAAAAAAAAAGCCAGGCATGGTGGTGCACACCTGTAGTCCCAGCTACTCAGGAGGCTGAGGCAGAAGGATCACTTGAGCCCAGGAGGTCAAGGCTGCAGTGAGCTGTGATTACGCCACTGCACTCCAGCTTGGTTAACAGAGCTTGGGTAACCCTGTCTCTAAAAAAGAAAACAAACATTTCTGACTACTAAAAAATATTTTCTCTAGCAAAAGGTAATATAAACACATTCAACAGATAAATACCAGATAAATACTCATAATGCAGATGACAGGCAAAGGGCTAATTTTTATAATATATAAATTTTCTTACAAATTGACAAGATGAACAATTCAACAGAAAAATCGAATATTCAATTAAAAGAACAGATCCAGATGGCCAAAAGAGTATGAAAAACTGCTCCAAATGTAGAGAAATGCAAATTAAAGTATAAATGAGATATTATTTTATTCCCATTAGACTGACAAAAATGAACATAGTTCTAGCATATATTACTATAATGGGTATGTGGAAAAGTGAACTCATAAATTGCTGGTAGAAGAGTCAAGTATTGCCATCTTTTGGGAAAACAATCTGGCAACATCTACAAATATTTAAAATACAGGTATCCTTTAAAACCCAGGGACTGTCCGGGCACGGTGGCTCACGCCTGTAATCCCAGCACTTTGGGAGGCTGAGGCGGGCGGATCACCTGAGGTCGGGAGTTTGAGACCAGCCTGACCTGCATGGAGAAACCCATTTCTACTAAAAATAGAAAAAATTAGCTGGGCATGGTGGCAGGCACCTCTAATCCCAGCTACTCAGGAGGCTGAGGCAGGAGAATCGCTTGAACCCAGGAGGCGGAGGTTGCAGTGAGCTGAGTTCGCGCCATTGCACTCCAGCCTGGGCAACAAGAACCAAACTCTGTCACAAAAAAAAAAAAAAAAAAAAAATCCCAGGGACTGGGCATGGTGGCTCACGCCTCTAATCCTAGCACTTTGGGAGGCTGAGGTGGGAGGATCACTTGAGCCCAGGAGTTTGATATCAGCCTAAGAAACATAGCAGGTCCCTGTCTCTACAAAGAATTAAAAAAAAAAATTAGTCAGGTGTGGTGGCACACCCCTGTAGTCCCAGCTACTCAGGAGGCTGAGGTGTGAGGATTGCTTGAGCCCAGGACTTTGAGGTTACAGAGAGCTATGATTGCAGATCTGCACTCCAGTCTGGGCAACAGAGCAAGACCCTGACTCAAAAAATAAAATAAAATAAAATTTAAATTTAAAAGATAAAACAAAACCCCACAAAACCCAGTAACACTGTTCCTGGAATGTGTCCCATGGGAAGAAAAGTACCAATGTATAAAGACATATGTGCAAGGATACTTACTGCAGAGTCACTCACAGTGGTCAAGAATTGAAAATTAAACAAATGCCCATCAACAGAGTGAAAGGTGAACACATTGTAAGCACTCATACCGTGGGATATTATGCAGCCATTGAAAAGATGTACCACACCCACTCAAATGGCTAACATTTAAAAGGCTCACAATACGAAACACTGGTAAGGATACGGAACAACCAGGCCAGGCACAGCGGATCATGCCTGTAATCCTAGCACTTTGGAAGGCTGAGGTAGGAGGATCACTTCAACTGAGAAGTTCAAGACCATCCTGGGAAACATAGCAAGACCCTGTTTCTACAAAAAAATTAAGAAATTAGCTGGGCCCTTGAGGCTGCAGTCTGCCACAATTGTGCCACTGCACTCCATCCTGGGTGACAGAATGAGATTTTGTCTCAAAAAAATAAAAAATACAACAACCCAAACTCTCATGCATTGTTTGTTGGTCTGTAAAATGGTTTAAGCACTTTGGGAAAAGGTCTAATAGTTCCTTGTAAAACTAAACATATGCCTATCCTATGACTCAAAAATTCCACTCCTAGTTACATCCCAAAAGAAATTAAAATGTAAGTCCACAAAATGACTTGTATAAGATGTTCCTGGCTGGGCACGGTGGCTCACGCCTGTAATCCCAGCACTTTGGGAGGCCAAGGCGGATGGAACACTTGAGGTCAGGAGTTCGAGACCAGCGTGGCAAACACAGTGAAACCCCGTCTCTACAAAAAAAAAAAAAATTAGCCAGGCGTTGTGGCAGGCACCTGTAATCCCTGCTACTCAGGAGGCTGAGGCGGGAGAATTGCTTGAACCTGGGAGGTGCAGGTTGCAGTGAGCCAAGATCATGCCATTGCACTCTAGCCTGGGCAACAGAGCAAGACTCCGTCTCAAAAAAAAAAAAAAAAGATGTTCCTAGGAGCTTCATTCAGAAGAGCCCCAAACTAAAAACACTGTCCATAAACAGGGGAATAAATATACAAACTGTGATTTGGATTCATACAATGGAATACTACTAAGTGATAAAAAAGAAACTACTGATACATTGTGGATGAATCTCAAAAACATTACGCTAAGTGAAAGTTGCCTTACACAACAGTACATACTATATGATTCCATTAAATGAATTTCTAGAACAGGTACTGTCATGAAAAAATCAGAGCAGTGGTTGCTTCTGGGTGAGTAAGAGTGAGGACTGACTAGGAAAGGGCACGAGGGAGCTTTCTGGAGTGATGTGATGTTCTGTACCTCAACAGGCGTTTGCACACAGATATATGCATTTGTTAAACCTCACAGAACAGTACACTTACAATTTGAACATTTTGCTGTTTGCAAATTTTGCTTAAAGGCCCGGCACAGTGGTTCATACCTGTAATCCCAAAAGTTCAAGACCACCCTGCACAATATAGACAGACCCCATCTCCACAAAAAATGAAAAATTAGCTGGGCATAGTGGCACACGCCTATGGTCCCAGCTACTCAGGAGGCTGAGGTGGGAGGATAGCCTGAGTCTGGGAGGTTGAGGCTGCAGTGAGCTATGTTCATGCCACTGTACTCCAGTCTTGACAACGGAGCAAGACCTTGACTTAAAAAAACAAAAAACCAAAACCCAAACAACAACAACAAAAAACCCATGGCCGGGCGCGATGGCTCACGCCTGTAATCCCAGCACTTTGGGAGGCCAAGGCGGGTGGATCACCTGAGGTCAGGAGTTCAAGACCAGCCTGGCCAACATGGTGAAACCCCGTCTCTACTAAATACAAAAAATTAGCTGGGCATGGTGGCGCATGCCTGTAGTCCCAGCTACTTGGGAGGCTGAGGCAGGAGAATTGCTTGAATCCCAGAGGCGGAGGTTGCAGTGAGCCAAGACTGCGCCATTGCACTCCAGCCTGGGTAACAAGAGCAAAACTGTCTAAAAAAAAAAAAAAACCCATAAACAATTTTTTTTTATTTCTAGGCAAACATAACATAAATTTTGAACTCTAGCTGATAATAATCACGCTAAATAATTAATAATAATTTGTTGGAGTGAAGTGTACTGATGTCTGTAACTTATTTTGAAATGCATCAGGAAAATTAAGATGACTTGCTAAATGAATAGCGGGATGGATCTATGGGCAGATATGTGTAAAACGTTAAAAGAAATCTAGGTAAGGGTATGTGGATGTTCACTGTAGATTCATTTCAACTTTTCTTTATGTTTAAAATTTATTATAGTATGATATTGGGGAAAAAATCCCAACAATGCATTAGAGGTCTATGCCATATGCCTACGAGTGATTCCCATCACACAGTTGAGAGAGTAGGACGTGGATGATGTGAATAACATGATTCTTTTGACAGAGTCTTGGTCTGTCGCCCGGGCTGGTGTGCAATGGCGCCATCTTGGCTCACTGCAACTTCCGCCTCCCGGGTTCAAGTGATTCTCCTGCCTCAGCCTCCCGAGTAGCTGGGATTACAGGCGCCCGCCACCACGCCCAGCTAATTTTTTGTATTTTTTAGTAGAGACGGGGTTTCGCCATGTTGGCCAGACTGGTCTCAAACTCCTGACCTCAGGTGATCCACCCGCCTTGGCCTCCCAAAGTGCTGGGATTACAGGTTTGAGCCACTGAGCCCGGCCAAACATGATTCTTTTTAAATAAAACAATGACTAAAAAAACCACCCTGATTGATATCAAGAGGTACCTGAGTACAGGGCGGAATGTGGAAATGGAGGTTGGATGCCCATAAGGGGAGGGGTCCACAATAAAAATGATATGTGATAATGATCCCACGTGTGTAAACTTATGTAGGTGTGATATAAGCATGCCTGCAAAAAGAGATAAATGAACCGGGTGCAGTAGCTCACGCCTGTAATCCCAGCACTTTGGGAGGTCAAGGCAGGTGATCACCTGAGGTTAGGAATTCAAGACCAGCCTGACCAATATGGTGAAACCTCGTCTCTACTAAAAATACAAAAATTAGCCAGGCATGGTGGTTCACGCCTGTAATCCCACCTACGTGGGAGGCTGAGGCAGGAGAATTGCTTGAACCCGAGAGGTGGAGGTTGCAGTGTGCTGAGATCGTGCCACTGCACTCCAGCCTAAGTGACAGAGAGAGATTTAAAAAAAAAAAAAAAAAAAGAGATAAATGAAAAGGTGATCACCAAAAGTTTTTTTTTTTTTTTTTTTTTTTGAGACGGAGTCTCACTCTGTCGCCCAGGCTGGAGTGCAGTGGTACAATCTCGGCTCACTGCAAGCTCCGCCTCCCGGGTTCAGGCCATTCTCCTGCCTCAGCCTCCTGAGTAGCTGGGACTACAGGCGCCCGCCACCACGCCCAGCTAATTTTTTGTATTTTTAGTAGAGATGGGGTTTCACCGTGTTAGCCAGGATGGTCTCGATCTCCTGACCTCGTGATCCGCCCACCTCTGCCTCCCAAAGTGCTGGGATTACAGGCGTGAGCCACCGCGCCCGGCCCAAAAGTATTTTTAAAACATTTAAACAAGTATCTAACATAAAACATTAAAGCCCTTAATTCCCTTGCTTCCAACTACTTGCTTGATTAGGAGCAATTAATTAAACCCACTATTTGATGTATGTTTTTCCTGATTTTTTTCTATGCATATAAAACACAATAATGAGATGATACATGCTACACATACTATTCTGCAGCAGGCGTCTTCCCACCATGGATCTTCTCCCATAACAATGCTTTACAGAACCACCATGACCTTTTGAATGGCTACAAAAGATAGCATGTATGAATGCATCATGGTGTGTTTTTTTCTCTAGTGATAGACAAGCTGCCTGAAATTTCTGGCTACTCCTAATGTTACAATAACTATCCTTGCACACAAACCCTTGTACTTGTAGGCAAGTCTAATGGGATAAATTCCTTAAAGTACAACACCTGGGTCAAAGAGAATGAACCTTTACAACTTTGATAAGTTCTGCCAAATTGTCCTTTAAACAGGTTGTACAAATTTATGTTCTCACTAACAAGAGTTAGAAAATGCCCTTTTCCCAAAGCTCTAACATCAGAAATTTTCAATGTTTTAAATTTTTGACAATTTGATTACAAAAACTCCTATCTTTTTAAACTGTGCATTTCTCTGATCACCAATATAGTCAAGGATCTTTCCTTCTTTTATTAGTCATTTATATTTCTTCTGTGAGCTGCCTGATCATACCCCTTGCTCAATTTTCTAGGTTCCAGTTAACTGTTCTCCCTACCTCTGGCTTCATACCCCTACACTAGGCCACCCCCTATATCTGCAGAATTGTCATCAAACACAAATCTGATCTTGTTCCCTCAATTTACAACTCCATAGTCCACAAAATTAAGTCTTTAATATGGCACCTTCCAAGATCCTCCATAGTAACAACGATAATGCAAATACAATAACATCAACAGAAAACGTTTCCTGAATGCATTATCTCATTCAATCCTCAAAACAACCCTTTGAGGTAGTAATTATTATCATCCCATTTTAGAGAAAAAGAAATTGAGGTACACATCCTCAACCACACTTGGCCTCTTGTCAATCCATCCTTATTTCAGCCATTCCCAACTACTTGTATCACTGTGCCCCTCTGCAGACTTCTGTGCTGTGGACATCCTTAGCCTGCACTGCCCTGCCTTAGGCCGCCCCTGCTGTTTGTTGGGTGAACAATGGCTAATCTTTTTAGACCCAGTTCAGGAAAGGCCAAAAGCTAGAGGAATGGTATTTCAGCACATATGATCAGATTTGGAAGTGATCTTAAAGAGACATCTAGTTTCACAATCTATAGACTATGGATTCCAACTCCCATTAGCGGGTCAAAGCCAGGGTTTTTATAAAATTGAAATAAAATAGAATAAAAAATATCAGAGAGCAGGGAGTGAAACTATGTATTGTTTCAAGGGCAGGCATTGTTTTGTGAAGGTTGTGTATGCCAGGTCCCAAAGTAAAATGTGTTTTTTACTGTGGGTAGAGGTCCAACCACCAAGCCACTCTCCACGCCAGAAGCCAGAATGATCTTTCTAAATCTGATTACGTCAGACTCTTACTTTGAAATTTTCTGTGTTTTCCTATTTCCATTAAGATTAAAGACAAAACAAAACACCTCACAATGCCTACCCAGGGCCCTGCTGGTCTCCCGTTCTTCTGAGGTCATCCCAAGCCTTTGAAGGTGCTGTTCCTGCCTGTACACTCTACCCTTGCCCTTTACACCTTCTAAGTCCCATTAATCCTTCAAGATTCTACTCAAATATCACTTTCCCCAAGAAACCTCTGCCTAAGTTTCTTGATCTAGTCTAGGTTGCTAGACTAGGACAGATCTCCAAATTATATACTCTCAATGCATACTGGACTTTTCTGTACAAGCACTCATCACAACCGTAATTAAATAATTATCTAACTGCTGCCTCCTTCCTTAGTTAGTTGGGTTCCTTTTGTATATTTCTAGCAACTCACTTTTGCTTTGCCATTCATAGGAAGCACTCAGCCAGTACTTGTAGAAGAATGAGTCTCCTGTCCAAAGCAAGAATCATCTTCTCTCAGAAACCTTTTCGTGACATCAGTCCTTACCCCATACAATGGACTCCTAATCATCATCGCACTAATGAGGGGTACCACTTAACAAAGCCAGTGTAATATGCTAGCCACACAAATGCTTTGCCTAGGACAACTCATTTTGGTCTCTCACAACCCCGAGAGAAAGGTACTATTTTACATACTCTTACAGTTGGGGAAATGGAAAATTTAGAGAGTTGTTCAAAGTTAAATGCAACCACTAAATGGCAGGGCTATCTAAACACCATTACTAGCACCTATACTACTGTATTGCATTTGTTTGTCTACACATATCTGCTGCTCTTTACTAGATTATATTCTTTGGAGGCAAGGACCAAGGCACAGGCACACAGTAGAGCCTCATTAACTATATTTGCTAAATGAATAAAGGTAGGTGGGAAAAGGCAAGAGTTCAGAGCAGAGCACTTTATAACATCATAAAATAACCTAGCTGGAGAGACCTATCCCCTCTCAGTGTAGGAATCTCCTAGAATTCCTAAAGAGTGTGACTTGCTATACCCCCCGCTATATGGCCCATTCTCTTGTTAGTTAACTCTAGTTGCTAGTTCACTTAGATTCTGCAAGCATTTATTGAGCATCTACTACATACAAAGCTCTATGCTGGGGACTGCAGACAGATATAAACCTGACTAAAGGTAGAGGATCTAGCATTTGCGTGGCTAGCATAATACACTGGCTTTAGCATATTACAATGATTTGGTACCAGGAGGAGATGACCACGTGCCATAAAGCAGAGTGTAACGTGACCATAATACCAGGCTATACCCAAGGTATAAAGAATGAGCCATGAGAGCCCAGAGAAAAAGCAAGTAATTCCTACTGGGAAATGAAGGTTGACTTCACAGCATTCCAGCCTGGCTTTAAAGGATGTGTAGGCAAGTTCTTTAATCTGAACATACATTTCCCCAACATGATGAGGGTACAGAGCGGGGATAGTTGATGAAACCCGCTTCTGTCTTCTGGAGTGACACAGGAGTGCAATCTTATCCATTATAACACTCCAAAATAGTCAAGGATAATTACCTTGTACTGTCTGATTTTTCTATTTTTGAGGCAAATATTTCTGAGTTTCTTTCACTGGGTCTCAGGATAGAATATGAACCCACATAGAAGGCCTTTCCACCTCCTCTATGTACTAAAATTTTATCTCTTTCAAGGCTAAAGTCAATGCCATCTTCTCCATCACATCCCCTAATGATTACAGAGGAGTGGTATCTTATCTGCATAAACACAAGTGCATACAGTAAAAACTACTTTGGAAAATGCCTACATTCACCCATAATATACAGTATATCTGGCTTTCTGTATGCAATCCAACACAACCAGTTTTTCCCCAGTACTAAAACATACTATGTACCTTTGGTTTAGAGCTGACAAAGACTCTCCTTGATCAAACTTTTGTTAGACTCCCCTGAGCCCTCTTTTTGACTAGCCCTTGACCTTGCCTCCCCAAACCCTTCAGTCTTAGGCCCACCTAGTTCAGTTTTAGCAAGAATACTGAAGTCATTTTAGTGAGACTCCTCACCCTTGATGCATGACCACGCTTGATATCTGATCAAGTTCCTCATTCCCGCCTTTGATGTACAAGTCCTTGGTCTGCCTTTAACAAGAATCTTGTTAGGTCAGGTGAGCAAAAATCCTCCCACTCTTTATGACTCCTCTTAGTAATTTTCTATATATTGATCCCCTTACTCTGTTCATTGGTCATAAATCCCCCGCTGTTTTTGCTGTATTCGGAATTGAGCTCCAACTCTCTTCTTTCCTATTGCAATACCCTATTACCATAGCCTTGAGTCAAGTCAGCCTTACTGTTTTAACCAATTACTTTTTCCTTAACAGAGCCAAAAGAAGTAGGTGACTTGTTTCCTAGCCATGTTGTACTCTGTGGATATAGGTGAATTCACATACCTTAAGTGTTGATACCATGTGATGCAAATGCTCGCTCTTTCCTCCAGCATTTTTCTCTTACCATCCCTAGTATAATCCTCCATTTTACCATGTACTATCCTATATTGTGTACATGTATATTGCATGCATATCATAGCCTCTGATGCTCCTCTGGGATTGTGTGTTTTTCATCTTAAGAGTCCCCATAGTGTCCAGCATGGTGACATAAAACAGGGCCTCATCATCTTTGCCCCTTCTCAGATGTTGTTCAAGCCTGTTAATATCCCTCTCCAAATGTGATAACCATTAGTGAAAACGATATTCCAGACACGATTTCACCAATATGGAGAGTCTCTACCCTTTTCCCCCACCCCAAATCACACTTCTGTTAGCTCAATCTTAGACTTCAGCTGTTTTAGCAGCCATATCTCACCCATACTGGCCCTCTGGTCTGCTAAAACCCAAGGTCTTTTTCGGGAGGTCTGTTATTAAGCCCAGATTCCCACTACCTTATGTTTATTTGTACAAGTCTTTACGTTTACCCTTGTTAAACTGCTTCTTGGTTTTCCACGCAAGGCAGCAGCCTGTTGATAAACGTGTTTTTGAAGCACAATTCTGTGGTGTGACAGAAGACTCTTTGATTTTCACTTGGGTGGTAGCAGGAAAAGGAGACCAAAGAGCCTTCAGCCACAGGGTGAAAGGGAGCCTCCAGAAGGCTGGCTCTGCCCCTGGGTCTCCATGGAGAAGCCACAGGTGCTAATGGAGGTTTGGTACGCACGTAGTTTGTGCCCTTTTCTTCTTTCCAGAGCTTCCTGAGCTTCTCCCTTCTACCCTGGGCCTCTTCAGTTCTCCCAGATAGCGGACCCCCGAGGCAGCAGCGCCTCAACAAGGTGGCAGAGGTCCCTGTAAAGCCCGCGCTCGGGCTCGCAGCCCCCAACAGGCAGCCTCTAACCCGCGCTCCCGCGATGCCTGGGCCCCCTCTGGAGGCTCCCCTCCCCCACCGCGAGCGCTGTCCCTCAGCCCCCGCGAGCGGCGCATGGACGCGGGACGCAGCTCCCGGCCCCGGGTTCCGGCCTCCGGGGGCGCGGGCAGCGCGGGAGGCTCTCCGCGGCGACTTGGCGCAGGGGCCCAGCTCGGGCAGAACTGGCGGGCTCCGGGCGGCGCTGGTGGGGCGTGGGCGAGGCGCGGGAGGGGAGGTCTGCGCCGCCCCGGGACTGGCCTGAGCCGCTGGGGGAGCTGCGTCCCTCTGCGCCCCGGGGCGGGAAAGGTGGCCCTCGCGCGGGGGTCGTGGCAGCAAGCTGGGCCCGCGATTCGGGGCCGGGAGTGGGCCGGCCCGTACCTGATCTTGAAGTCGCGGTTATAAATGGTCCGCAGCCGCTCGCGATCTGTCTCCATGTCCAGTCCCCGAACGACCAGGAAACTCTCGAAACACTGGCCCGCCTCCCGGAGCTGCCGGCAGCTGAACTTACTGGGCATCGCGGCGGCGGCTGCGGCCCAGGCAGGAGGGTCCGTGGAAATGAAACTGAAAGTCGCCGCTGCAGCTGGAAGTTGGCGGCCCTGAGATGAGGGTGCAGCAGGAGGGAAGCCCCCTAACTCTGACCCCTGATCCTGCGGGCTCCCTTCTCCCCACCAGGCTTCCCTCCTCCGTTCTTTTCTTACCTGAGCTTTCCCTTCGGTTTCTTCGTCCTATCCCCTCCCCCTCTTCGCATTAACTCTTTCCTAAAGCGTCTGACCCCTCCCTCAGGGCCCTCCCCTTACCCCAAGCTCCCTCCCCTGGCTTCTAGCCAGTATCAGAACGTGGCTACCGCTTGGGGCCCTCTGAACAGCCCGGGAGGACCTCCGAGCCTCAGCCAGGGCTACCCTCACGCCCACCCTCCAGAGCCTCGGGACTCAGTGAAAAGCAGGAGAGCAAAGGGCAGGGCTGGGATCTAGGTCGGCTGCGGCCGGAATGGGGAAGCTCATCCAGCGCCTCCCCCAGCCTTCCAGGGACGTAAACTCGGGGCGACACGCCCCCTCCCCCATTTTCCCTTCTCGGGCTTTCAGACGCACGTAGTTGGCATAAGGGTCAAAGAAGTTTGGGGAAAAGAACCCAGTGTCTCTGAGATAAAGGTGTGTACGTGTGGGAGGGAGGGACAAGGGGCTCTGCCAGGATACACAGTAATTGCTTTTCTCTGCCACATCGGCTTATGTGGAAAGGCTGGTGACCGACCCTTACCCCTGAGCCACATATTTGGGCGCTTCGTTGCATTCCAGTCTGTATTGCTCTTTAATTTTTACTGGTATATAAGGTGGACCCTTATATTCATCAAAATACTAGCATCTTGAGCGTAAGGGACTGTTGTGTTAGGCAATAATAAGTGGTTAATAGTGACAGCATCAGTACCAAGAAGAGAACTAAAAGGGCAGTGTGCTTCAGAAGACTGTATAGACAAATTTAAGGGGGTGGGGCTACAATAACAAACCTTTGTATCTATTTTTTTCCCGCAGAATGAAATGACACACACACTAGAATGGGACAAGCTAAGTTACACTACAAAGTTTTAAATCAAATACATCACTTTCAAATAAATCAAAGCTAGTGTTGTTCTCCATAGTAGCTACCAGCAGGAGGCCACACACTCAATCTACGGAATTGAAGAAAGTCCAGAACCCAGGTCATACTCCAGCTGGGCTACCCGGTACCTTCTCTCAGGCCAACAACCAAATGAAGCCAGGAATAACAGGCTTTAGCAACAGGAAATGCAATGTCAGTGGGAACCAAAGCTACGGGGATGGGTAAAATAGGGCAGAGGAAAACATCTTACAAACTTATTATGCAAAGTAGAAGAAAAAACTAGAAAAGCAGCCAAAGATTTTACCTTTTTTCTCCCTCAATGTCCTGATGAGGTTCCAGAAGAATAGAGAGGGTGAACTCTTAAAAATTGCCTTGTTACTTACCATCTCAAAAACGTACCATCAACCGTACTCAAACTGAATGTCTGGCTCCATTCTGACCAGCAAATCTAAATCCCTATTATTCTTGGATACAATCTCCCTTCTTCTCTGGTCAGGTTTATGTCTTGGATGTTCTCAAAACGTACACAAAAGTCTGCAGTATAGTAAAACCTTGGGTAAAAAGTGTGATGCTATGTGGCTTTGTTTACAATGGAACTTCTCTAAACAATTTCATCCAGAAAAATCTACTTCACATGGGGTTCTAATTGTTATTGTCAGAGCTCTTTGAATCAGAGCAACTCCATCTTCAACAGGGACTGGGTAAAATGAGACTGAGACCTATTGGACTGCATTCCCAGGAGGTTAGGCATTCTAAGTCACAGGATAAGACAGGAGGTCAGCACAAGATACATGTCATAAAGACCTTGCTGATAAAACAGGCTGCAGTAAAGAAGCTGGCTAAACCCCACCAAAACCAAGATGGTGAGGAGAGTGACCTCTGGCCGTCAGATGTGAGATTTGTTTCTGTGCTCAGAGAGCTTATATATACTCTGTGCATTTATATATACCCTATCTGTTCAAAGAAGAAATTTAAGTTAGCTCAACTTAAACTACAGGACAATCCAGCTTTGTTCATATTTACCAATCTTCCTTTGATTTTTCACATAGTAGGTAGCTGAAAAACGAGACAATGGTCACCAGCATTTGGTTTACTTGGTAGTTTTATAGAAAATTGTAAATTCACAAGTTGGCATTCAAATATTTATCATTCTTTGAGTTTGAAGAGAATATGCCAAGTTTGCCAAGCATCCCATGAACCTAGATGAGTCCAGCACCGAAGTCTTAGACTATAAAAGAGAACAGGCACTGGAACTAGGCAAGCAATAGAGGGATAACCACTGAGGCTCAGATGAAAAAAGTCTTCAGCAGTGTCATTTCAAACCAAAATATAGGAGGGAAGCCTCACAAAAAACCCTTTTCCAGATGGCTGGGAAATCTTTGCCATAGCGTACAACAGGCTGATTTCAGCAGCTTGTGGTGATAAAATAGATACAATTCAAGCAAATATTCTGCTAAGGGAGGTTAAGAAGGGGGCGGAAGGGGGAGAGGGAGTGTCTCTGGCAGACTTGGTTAAGGAGGGTTGACTTCCTCCCGACTATACAAGTAACCAAGGCCTTTAGATAGTTAAGGGGTTAAGAATTTTTTAAAAAAGTCTAAGCTAAGGAATCAATGGGATAGCAGGGGCAGGATGAGAGAGTTAATAAATTAAAAGCAAGAATGTTTCAATCTATTTGCATTACAAATAGAATGGAATGCAGCTAAATATTCCTCAAAAAGGTGGGAATTTGAACTGGCCTTGGATGGAGTACTTGAAGCATAAAAACTCCCTCTGGTTTTCTTTTGGGAACCAGGATAAAAGCCTCTCCCACAAGTTTGTAGCTAGGCCAGCTAAGGAGAGGAAAGCAGCATTTCAAGATAACGCAATGTGAAATATTACCAAGTTTAAGGCAGGGATTCTTTCATTTCTACTTCTGCCTAGTGACTACAACTGTACTTGGGCCTTGCTTTCTGAGTGACAGGTACAGAAGACAACTACATTTTTCCCTTTGAAACATGGGTAGTCTTTGAGTGAAGAGCAGTATGATCCATAGACATTGCTCACGCTTTAAAAAGCTGTTCTTTGCAAATCTGTGGATATTCAGAGTCTATAAATAGTTGAAGGTAGAAACCAATTTTAGAAACCCTAAACATTCTCAACATAAGATCAAATACAGCTGAATATCTTACCTTGAGAACCAAGGCTGAAGCGATGAATCAAAAAGGAGAGACTCAGACAATTTTAGAACAAAACAGGTATATTTCTATTAGACTACCTGATACAGAAGATAGTGTGGTATGGATGGATAGTATGAAGGACAAATAATACAAATATATTTTATTGAAATAAACAAAAATGCATACACAGCTCAATGGGTCACCTGGAACAAACTTGCTTGACTATATTACTGAGCAGAAACAAAACGGAAGCACAAACACCTTTCTTTTTTTGACATGTATCTGGAGATAGGTAGGAAGACACTACTTGGTTTTTTAAAAAACTGACCTTCCCTTAAGGCCTGGTCATAGAAGTGTAAACAATGTAAATGAATCCACCATTACCAGTTGTCATATCATATCTATGTCACCTGTGTATTCTGAGATTACACACATACCTGCCAATATACCTGGGAAAGGTTATTTTATCACAGTTACACTTGAGTTCTTGGCAGGCAGGACTGAGGAAGAGTAATTTGAAAGAAGTTTTACATCCTATTTAGAAGAAATCACTAGTATTTCCTTAAATAACAGGTTACAATAGAAAGATACTGCCTGGAAGTTATCCTTTCACTTTGGTTCATTTTTAGTTTTTCTTTATGATTTACATAGCTGTTTAATTCATTTGCTTATAGTACAATCCTGCCATAAAGTATTAAAGCACAAGATACCTATTATTCCTTCAACATCTGCATTTTTCAAGTTTTATACTCTACATCCACAGTACGTCAGCAGTTCTTGAATGTTTAAAAAAATAAATGGGTAAAATGCTTCTAAAAAATGCAGATGTTTATAACTACAATGGTACTAAGATGGGAAGGAGACAATGAGAGAAGGGATAAAAGCAAACATGTTCATGTGCAGGGAATGTGGTTCAAGTCTTTGGATTTAAAAACAAGTTCCCCAGAGAAGCTGGCACTTCCTTTGCCCTCCAAAAAGGACCTGAAAAGTCCCAATCCAAACTTTAGAAAATTAGTTATGAGATGCAATAAATGATGATCAAAGCAGTCAGAGGGAGAAGGATGAATGTGTCTTCCATTTAGCTAGAGACTGTAGCATAGCCTCTTTAGGTGTTGGTGGATCAGTAAAAACGACTGAAGTACCAGAAGTGCTTGGAAGGATAGGGGTACAAAGTAATGACCATAATACCTTGTCTAAATCAGTAGCAGGGCTTCATGGCTAGGAAACTTTTTTAAACAGTAAAATGTCATTAGGATAGATCACTCTCTCACCAACATTAAATGTGGCAGAATTAACCAAAAAAAAAAAAAAAAAAAGAAAAAAAGATTTACACGTAGATATAGCAGTAACAGAAAATTACAAGGCAGAGAACACAAAAGAATCAAGACAACGCTATAGGTTCAACAGTATTCCATGAGGCTAGAAAACCGGTTAACTTTGAAAGCCCTAGCAAAATATCACTCTTGTTTATAAATCACTTATTTATCATATGACCACACGTTGAATCCTTGTCTTTCCACATACTGAAGAATCCTACATTCAGCCTTTAAGCATTCTGCATTTCTTTGCCAATCTTGTAGCTGAGTATCTTGTTCCAGTCGATTTTGGTGCGGGTAACTGGAAGCTGCCGGCGCAAGGCCTTGAATGTGGTATCTGACATTGTTTGATAGTTTTCACTAATTGCTGTCTGCAATAGATAATTGAAGATGAGTTGCTTGAACAGAAATGGGGCTGGTTGTGAACAGAAAAGTAATGCTATAGTCAATGGATATGCTTGAGTCCCCTGTGAAGGATAGACAGGATATATTATTTTCAATGAGCTCCTCTCCAATCTCTGAAGTAGGTCAAGAAGTTCACCTATATTATTTCTAAAATGAGGGCTACAGTCCCAAGCAATCCTCAAACCCTGACTGTAAGCAGAATGCCAACTTGGAAGGTCTGCAAAGTCTCCCACATTTAGTAAAACTGAAGAGCATGTATATTTACATTAAAGGACACAAGGCCTAACAAAATATGCTAACAGCGAAATAATAAGATAGTAGATCTAGGAAAATTAACTCCAAATCTTCTTACCTGATACTCATTTTCTGCATTCTCTATGATTTTAATAAACTCCTTGGCAGTTTGGGCTTCATTCTAATGAAGGAAGGAAGAAGGGGAAAATCAGATTTTTTTTTAATGTGTAAGCAGTAAGATCCTGAAAGTAAGTCCATCTTAACTAACATTTGTATGACAATTTCTAGTTTTCCAAGTGTTCCCATGCCCACTACCCTCCTTTGATTCTCACAACAACTCTATGGAAGACACTATGTTATAATCATAACCCCCATTTTGCAGATGAGAAAACAGAATCCTCTTAAGCAACTTGACCAGAATTATACAGCTTTTGAATGATAAAGATGGGATCTGAAATTAGGTCTTCACCAAAAAAACCCATGCTGTTTCCACTCTACCACAGTACGCCCAAAAGACATCATCAAGTCTTGAAACCTTGATGCCTTGAAAATATTTCTGGTTTAAAATGGTATGAACAATGCCCTTGGACACATCAGTCATATACATAAGCTCACATATGCCTTTATTTGCCACTTATGATGTTAAACTAGCCAATCACATTTTGTACCACGTGGTTCAAGTCTAAAATGAAATGAATCTCCCTCTTCCTGTTACCATTAAGTACAACAGAATTAAAGGGAAGAGGGTAGGATTTAATATCTAGAGCTGCAGTCCTAAGACAGACTATGAGGTCAAAACTATTTTCTACTTTCATAATAATACTAACACAAAGTTATTTGCCTGTTTCACTTTCACTCTGTAATGTGTGTATGATGTAATTTCCTAGAAACTACATGATGTGTGATGACTTTATCACTTTCAGGGATAATGAAAGGTATGAAGCAGAGGCCAGGTACAGTGGCTCATGTCTGTAATCCCAGCACTTTGGGAGGCCGAGGCAGGTGAGGTCAGGAGTTCAAGACAAGCCTGGTCAACATGGTGAAACCCTGTCTCTACTAAAAATACAAAAATTAGCTGGGCATGGTGGCAGACACCTGTAATCCCAGCTACTCGGGAGCCTGAGGCAGGAGAATCACTTGAACCTGGGAGGTGGTGGTTGCAGTGAGCCAAGACAGTGCTCCAGCCTGGGCAACAAGAGCGAAACTTCATCTCAAAAAAACAAACAAACAAGCAAAAAACAACTAATATCACAATAAAGTCCGCCATCTTTTAATACACAATTTGTGAAGACACAGACTAATGCCATTCTTCCCACTATTTTTTTCTTTTGATTTGGAAAATATATTCACAAAGATGTTACTTATTAACAAGTAATGGGTTTGTTATCATTATTTTTAATTAACGAATAGTTTTAACACTTCTTAGTTTTCTTTCTTTCTTTCTTTTTGAGACAGGGTTTCATTCTGTCACCCAGGCTGAAGTGCAGTGGCACGATCTTGGCTCACTGCAGCCTCAACCTTCCTGGGCTGAGGTGATCCTCCCACCACAGCCTCCCAAGTAGCTGGGACTACAGGAACTCAGCTGATTTTTATATTTTTTTTGTAGAGACAGGGTTTCACCGTGTTGCTCAGGCTGGTCTTGAACTCCTGAGCTCAAGCTTTCACCTGCCTCGACCTCCCAAAGTGCTGGGATTACAGGTGTGAGCCACCACTCCCGGCCCACACTTCTCAGCTTTAATTTTTAGTGAGGTAAACATTGATAGATCTAACACATAAACAAAAACTCTTTGGGGGTACTCAATAACTTCTAATAACTTAAAGAAGTAATGAGACTATCAAAGAAATGCAAGAACAAATCATGTCTCTTCTTTCAAGGTATAGAACACAATAGTGGCCAGGCATGGTGGCTCACACCTGTAATCCCAGTACTTTGGGAGGCTGAGGCAGGGGGATCACTTCAGTCTAGGAGTTTGAGACCAGCCTCAGCAACATAGAAACCTCATCTCTACCAAAAATAAAAAAATTAGCTGGGCATGGTGGCATGCACCTGTGGTCCCAGCTACTTGGGAGGCTGAGGTGGGAGGATCGCTTGAGCCTGGGAGCTCAAGGCTGCAGTGAGCTGTGATCATGTCCTTCCTTGCACTCCAGCCTAGGCAACAGAGTGAATTCCTGTCTCAAATAGACCACCACCACCAAACCACAAAACATTCTAATTGAATACTCCTAAAAATGTTGTTTCTCTAATGATATAAATGCAGCCCTATAGGATGCAGTTTGGTAAACTTTCCTTGCTCTTGGTATTTATTGAATGAAGGTATTGCTGTCCTTGAGTAACTATTACAATTGAGAGAGCGACTAAGAAGGACATTTGTCTAAAGTCATAATCAATATTGTGAGTCAAAAACTGTGAACTAATATATGCTGGTTGGTGATAAGAGGCACTAACAGAAGTGGCCAAAATCAAAACATTAAAAGCAAACTGAATTTCTACTGGCAGAATCAGCACTCAGGATCAAAACTAATTTTTTAAAGAAAAACGAGACATGAGTAAGACAGACACTAAATATTCCATACTCACCGAAACAGTTAGTGAATCCTGTACATCTTTATGACTAACCAACTGAACATTGCCATCTTCATAATAGTGAACCTGTGTGAGACAATGTTTGAGCCTTTTTAGGGGAAGTTCATAGAGAAACCTGTTATTTAGGACACAAATCCATGCTTTAAGCTATCTTTAAGTTGATGAGCCATTTTACCAACTCTGAACAAATAATTAATATAAGCAGTGGTAATTCACAATGGTGGTTAATTAATCCACAGAACACTTAAGTTTAAGAACGCTTTTTCCTTAGCAAGGAAAACTGATTATTAAGTTCAAGAAACATTTATTACATGCTTTTCACATTCTAAGCACTGTGCTAGGCATTGTGAATACAAAGGTAAATGAGATCCCACTCTTAACAATATTAAAATAATTAAAGTTATTAAACATTAGTTTTTCTCTGTGAAAACCAAGGAATTTTAATGGATCCTCATACCTAATATTTGGCACATTTCTCCATATACATTATCATCAATGTTGGTAAGCAGAACTGACCAGGTACAGGAAAAGTCACATTGAGGGTTAAAGACAGGACAGAAAAACAAATATTTTATTGGTAAATCAGATATTTTTAAAAAGTAAGATAAAAGTAGTTCTGAATATGTAAGGTAAAGTGAAGTGCTACAATTATGCAAACAATTAGCAAAAAGGAGAAGAGACTAACAAGTCAATGACATTTTAGGTTAAGTTTTGGCAACTTAAGATAGGTTTAGTCACCTTGACAAGGCTACTAATTGGTCATACACAATAGGATGAGGGTATCCTTTTGTGCATTTGAATAGGATCTTGAAAACAGTAGTTGTCACCTAAGTAGACAGGTAGAGAATGACATCTACACCAAGGAGATAAAAAAGTATAACAGAATGGAGTATAACTGGTTTAATTTGGAGAAGAACAAAGAACTCACTGCATATGAATATGTGTAAAAAAGGAGTGTGGCAGGAGACATTGCTATGAAGTGGAAACACAGACTGTGAAGAACAAAGCACCTTATAAACCATGTTAAGAATTCAGACTACTCAGGAGGCTAAGACGGGAGGATCACTTGAGGCCAGAAGTTTAAGACCAGCCTGGGCAATATAGCAAGATCCCCATCTTAGGGAAAAAAAAGAATGCAGATGTTATCCTATTATAGGTGACACACGGGAAAAGGAATGTTTTAGAAAGATTATACTTGTGCTATGAAGAAAATAAAACGAAGGAGCTGCTATTGGAGACATAATGCCAGAACAATAGTCCAGGTAATGCCATTTATCTAGTGCTATGATTTTAATGTTGGTACCTTCCCAAAATTCTTATGTTGGACCAATATGCAATGGGATAATATTAAGAGGAGGGGCCTTTGGGAGGTGATTAGGTCATGAGGATGAAGCCTTCAAGGGATTAGTGCCGTTCTAAAAGAGGCTCAATCAAGCTCTCTTGCCACTCTTCTACCTCATGAGGACAGTGTTCACCCCTTCTGTCACGTGAGAATGCAGAAGGTGTCACCTATGAGAAACAGAACTCACCAGTCACTGAATCTAACAGCACCTTGATCTTGGACTTCTTAGTCTCCAGAAGTATGAGGAATAAATTTCTGCTAAGGTATTTCTGCTAAGGTATACCAGTCTAAGGTATTGTGTTATAATAGCTGAAACAAGGCCGGGCGCGGTGGTTTATGCCTGTAATCCTAGCACTTTGGGAGGCCAAGGCGGGCGGATCACTTGAGGTCAGGAGTTCGAAACCAGCCTGGCCAACACGGCGAAACCCCATCTCTACTAAAAATACAAAAAAAATTAGCCAGGTGTAGTGGCAGGCATCTGTAATCCCAGCTACTTGGGAGGCTGAGGCAGGAGAATTGCTTGAACCCAGGAGGCGGAGGTTGCAGTGAGCCAAGATCATGCCACTGCATTCCAGCCTGGGTGACAGAGTAAGACTCTGTCTCAAAAAAAAAAAAAAAACACAAAAAAACCCCAAACAAAGACATCTAGTCTATGCTACCAGGAGATATGTGAACAAAACAGAATGTTTTGAGGGATAAAGCAGAAAAGGAAAAGAGAAGAACAGTAATCTTCACTTACTTCATCTCACTTACTCAGTAATCTTAGCTGTAGGAGCTATTATTTATTAAGCCTTTACTATGTGTTAGACACTGTGCAAACACTTCACTATTACTTATATTCCCTCATTTAATCCTTTTTTTTGAGACAGAGTCTTGTTCTTGTCGCCCAGGCTGGAGTGCAATGGCACGATCTCGGCTCACTGCAACCTCCGATTCCCCGCTTTAAGTGATTCTCCTGCCTCAGACTCCCAAGTAGCTGGGATTACAGGCACCCGCAACCACGCCCGGCTAACTTTTGTATTTTTAGTAGAGACGAGGTTTCACCATGTTGGCCAGGCTGGTCTCGAACTCCTGACCTTGTGATCCACCCACCTCGGTCTCCCAAAAGTACTGGGATTACAGTCATGAGCCACTGCGCTAGGCCACCACATTTAATCTTTACAAAAACTCTTATGAGATGAGGACTACGACTAACCCTATTTTACAGCTGAGGAAACTGAAGTTTGCCTTGAGGCAGTTATTAAACAATAACTTATCCATGTTCACACACCTAGTAAGAGGAGGAGCTAGGATTTGAATTAGGTCAAATTCCAGAGCTATCCAACATATGTAATACCTCCCAATGCTATGTTTTGTCAAAAAGTTAGAAATTCCTTGATCTGGGGAGAAATAGTGTCTCAGCAGGGGCTTACTCTTTGTGGATATCATTAGAAGGGCATAACTAACAGTCAAGCTTCATCTAGGCAGAAAGCTATTTGCAACAAAAAGACTTTCCTGGATAACAAGAACCCCCTACCTATCCTTGTTTAAAGGACAAAAATAAGTATCTTTTTTTTTTTTTTTTTTTGAGACAGTGTCACGCTCTGTCGCCCAAGCTGGAGCACAGTGGCTGATGTCGGCTCACTGCAACCTCTGCCTCCTGGGTTCAAGCAATTCTCCTGCCTCAGCCTCCCACGTAGCTGGGACTACAGGTGCGTGCCACCATGGCCAGCTAATTTTTGTATTTTTAACAGAGATGGGGTTTCACTGTGTTGCCCAGGCTGGTCTCGATCTCTTGACCTCATGATCCCCCTGCTTTGGCTTCCCAAAGTGCTGGGATTACAGGCGTGAGCCACCGTGCCCGGCAAGTATCTTCTTGAATGAGGACAAACAGCTGGCTCTATCCAGATGGGCATGAGAAGCTAGACTTTCCATACCCTCTCTAAACCCTGAAATTTTACCTTTTGGCTTTCTAAGAGGTTAAAGAAGAAAAGACAATATAAGAATCTACTGAGAACAGGCATGGTGGCTCACACATTTAATCCCAGCACTTTGGGAGGCCGAGGTGGGCAGATCACTTGAGGTCAGGAGTTCGAGACCAGCCTGACCAACATGGTGAAACCCTGTCTCTACTAAAAATACAAAAAAAATTAGGCAGGCATGGTGGCAGGTGCCTGTAATCCCAGCTACTTGGGAGGCTGAGACAGGAGAATCACTTGAAGCCAGGAGGCAGAGGCTGCAGTGAACTGAGATTGCACCACTGCACTCCAGCCTGGGTGACAGAGAGAGACTGGAATCCACTGGAGACAAGATGAGAATCCAATGGAAAAGAAGGGTGATAATAAGAACCACTAATACTTACATGTAAAATCAGAACAGCAAAGATGTGGGCAAAAAAGACTGGGCTAAATGATGATGACATATAAAGGTTAAAATCCCAATAGATAAGAATATTTAAAATACAAGTAGGTCACAATCAAATATCAGTTTTGTTTGTTTTTTCATTAAAAAAACTAGAGGTTCAGGGACTGAAAAGAACATTCAAAAGGGGAATGAGCCGGGTGCAGTGGCTCACGCCTGTAATCCCAGCACTTTGGGAGGCCAAGGTAGGCGCATCACGAGGTCAGGAGATCAAGATCATCCTGGCTAACACAGTGAAACCCGGTGTCTGCTAAAAATACAAAAAATTAGCTGGGCGTGGTGGCATGCGCCTGTACGCCCAGCTACTTGGGAGACTGAGGCAGGAGAATCGCTTGAACCCAGGAGGCGGACGTTGCAATGAGCCAAGGTCGTGTCACTGCACTCCAGCCTGGCGACAGAGCAAGACTCCATCTCAAAAAACAAAACAAAACAAAAAGGGGGCAGGGGGGAATTATTACAAACAGGATGGGAGATATTTAAAAAAACAACAACAGATCTGGCCATAGAAGAAACAAGAACTTCTGTATTTCTCAGAACTTGTCTAAAGAGAGGAGGTATGCAGAGCACATTCTTTTTGTTCGAGAATAAAGACTATACAATTAGTTTGAACTTCTGTTATGTTTTTTAATTAGGACATGGAAAGGAATATAGGGTAAGGTCAATAAGCCTCACTGTTTTTGATCTCAATGAAAAATTCTAGGGCCAGGCGCAGTGGCTCACGCCTGTAATCCCAGCATTTTGGGAAGCTGAGGGAGGCGGATCACAAGGTCAGGAGTTCGAGACCAGCCTGGCTAACACAGTGAAACCCTGTCTCTACTAAAAATACAAAAAATTAGCCAGGTATGGTGGCGGGCGCCTGTGGTACCAGCTACTCAGGAGGCTGAGGCAGGAGAATGGCATGAACCCGGGAGGTGGAGCTTGCAGTGAGCCGAGATCCTGCCACTGCACTCCATCCTGGGCAACAGAGCGAGACTCTGTCTCAAAAAAAAAAAAAAAAAAAAAGAAAAATTCTAAAAAATATTAATTTCATTACCTAATACACTAATGTTATTATAATTTTTAGAAATTAACCCAGCCTGGGCAATATAGTGAGACCCCGACTCTACAAAAAAATAAAAAAAGTTGGCCAGGTACAGTGGTATGTGCTTGTAGCACTAGGTGCTTGGGAGGATGAGGTGGGAGGATCATTTAGTTGAGGAGTTTGAGGTTGCAGTGAGCTATGAAAGCACCACTGCACTCCAGCCTAGGTGACAGAGTTGAGATACACCGTTTCAAGAAAGAAATTAAGCTCAAAACTTATGTGTTCTAAGACCTTTTCTAGGTCTCATCTGCTAATATGAAAATGGTTCAATTAACTAACACAAATTTCAACATGATTGTCATCAACATAAATCCTCAGAAATTGTTGCCTTCTCAGAACGATGTTTTTGCCTATAGACTAGCCTGAAAGGCTAAATATCTTAACGACTTTTCCAAATAATTCTCACTCCAAAATTTAAAAGATATGTAAATGAAATAAGCTTTCCCCAAAAGTGTGCTCAATCTGTGCTTAAAAAGGTTTAAATGTGGGTCTGTACACTGGGCTGTATTTTGAATCTTACCATAAATTATCACCCTTTGTGATGTGTGCTCTTATTTTATAGGTTTGCACTGGCAGAGCTAAAATACAAATGGCTGTTTCCATCTAGAAACAAAGTAAAATTTATTTACACAAAATTTACAATAAGCTTCTACAATGCTGATACCATGGTTCTAGGAAGTTAATGCTAATGCCACAGTTACAAGAGATCTAGAGCGCTAGGCTACTAAGATATTTTGTTAACAGAAACAGAACAGTATGCTGTCTTAGGTTGCACCTTCCCAGAAGGAGACCCCAAGACAAAGATTAGAGAAAAAGTAGTTTATTCAGGAGCGAATCTCACAAAGCTACAGTAGGGGACAGAAGAAGTGGGACACAGAAGGGAAGGAAGCCTTAGAGGTACGTTTATGAGCAGGTTACAGCTGTGGGTATTGGGCTCCGGAAGACTAAACAGAATGTGCTTGAAAGTTGTCCTACTTGAGGAAGCTGCCATATTTATCTACCAACTCTTACATATCACTGAGGGCTCCTCCTAGAGCTGTGAACTCAACACCAGCCTGTCTCACCTGAGTTGGGCATGCTCCTATGGCCAGGAGCTACTTGTTGCAGGAAGCTATAGGTATATATAAAAAGAGCAGATTTACTTTTACAGAATTTATTACCTATGCACTTGATTAAATTAGAGCATTAAAAAAGACAACTCTTGGCTGGGCACAGTGGCTCACCTGAGGTCAGGAGTTCAAGACCAGCCTGGCCAACATAGTGAAATCCCACCTCTACTAAAAATACAAAAATTAGCTGGGCGTGGTGGTGTGTGCCTGTAATCCCAGCTACTTGGGAGGCTGAGGCAAGAGAATTGCTTGAACTCAGGAGGCAGAGGTTGCAGTGAGCCAAGATTGCACCACTGCACTCCAGGCTGGGCGACAGAGCGAGACTCCTCCTTCTCCTCCTTCTCAAAAAAAAAAAAAAAAAAAAAAAAAGACAACTCTTGGTAATTGTTGTTAAAGCACAGCTTCACATAATATAATACAGGTACGATTAGGTACTGATCTTCTCGGTTACCTGTACCTATTCTGACCTTACAGTTAGTGAGGCTTAAATATTAAATCACCCTGAGTTTAGAAAGTCAAACCTCTGCTAGGATATTAAACTTCAATCCAGACAGGCATCAAATGAGTTAACAGCTATCTTATTCAGCTGCCTGTCTACCCTGACATCAGCATTAAAAATCTACTTCTGGGCCAGGTGCAGTGGCTCACGCCTGTAATCCCAGCATTTTGGGAGGCCGAGGCGGGTGGATCACCTGAGGTCAGGAGATCGAGACCAGCCTAACCAACATGGAGAAACCCCGCCTGTACTAAAAATAGAAAATTAGCTAGGCGTGATGGCGCATGCCTGTAATCCCAGCTACTCGGGAGGCCGAGGCAGGAGAATCACCTGAACCCAGGAGCCAGAGATTGCGAAGAGCCGAGATCATGCCATTGCACCTCCAGCCTGGGCAATAAGAGCAAAACTCCATCTCAAAAATCAATCAATCAGTCAATCAATCAATCAATCAATCAATCTACTTCTGCTTGGCTATTTATATTCCAAAACACCTGCCATTCTCTCTAGTTATAATTTTTAGGAATTAACCCAGCCTGGGCTGGGAGGTGGAGGTTGCAGTTAGCTGAGATCACGTCACTGCACTCCAGTCTGGGTGATGGAGTGAAACTCTGTCCCAAAAAATAATAATTATTATTATTATTAATTTTAAATCTTTCCTAAAACTGCTGTTTGATAATTCCTAGTTATATCTTATGTTACCATTGAAGGAAAAATAACAATAACCATGTTGCCATACACTCTACATGCTATCCTTTATCAACTCAGAATAGCTCTCTCTGTTTACCACCCCAAGAAGGAGGCTTCTATTTCTATTCACTGCCATCAGTCTCCCTTTGCATCTACACATACTTGGTCCTTATTTAATACCAAAGCAACCTGCACATGTTTTAAAGATGTGAAGTTTTAAGTCTATAAACATGTTGGAATCTCACCTGAATCTTAAGCACGCCAACCACCTGGGCTGTAGGTGGTGTGATGGTGAACTTCCACTCTGATCTCCAACGACCATTCCTATTAAAACACACACACAACATTGCAGAATTAGCAATAAGCACAAGAAAGAGGTGATTTGCCACTGAGGTACAGAAGTTGGGAAAGAGGGGTGCAAAAAAAGAAAAAAAAAAAGAGAGAGAGAGAAACTGTCATTTCCAGTTTGGCAAACCCAAAGCTCTGTCTACTCAAATGTAAGTCTGGATCTAAGTGGCCTGACCATAAGCCTTTTCTAAGTTATTTTGTCTTTCATTTTTCCTTTTTTCCCTTGAAATGGAAAACCATGCCTATTCTGCTCATGGGAGGCTCTTCCAAAATCAGATGAATAGGCTGCTGAGTTACACAATTAACTCAAGTAGCAGTAACCCTAAGCCAAGTAAAACTCAGATTTTCAACAGGGCACTTTACTAATCACTTGTTCTCACTCAAAATAAGAGTAACTTTTAAAGGAAAATATAATTATAAAACCTTAGAACTGTAAGGAATCTAAATCCCTCATTTATAGATGGAAAACTGAAGTCTGTAAGTTAAATAATTATTCCAAGCTAGTTGGATTAAAAACCAAGTCTCAACTGCTGGTTTCTTTCAGATGTAAATAGAAGAGAATATCTACTTCTTACCAGAAGTTTTTAGGCTGAAACTGGTGGCTTTCAATACATGCAATAATAGTCTGTTGCCCATCGATAGTTTTAGCATAAACCTATTGTTGGGAAAAAAAAATAGTTAAAGACTCCAAACACTTTTAATTTAAACAACATGCATTGTACAAAAGCAGAGTGTTAAATCCTTGGGGGAGACAAAGAATCACATAAAATGAGCTTAGAACACAATAGTGCACATGGGATATGAAAACAAAGCAGAACATGTTAGGTTCTACCAGAGACAGTGATACAATGAAAACAGAGGGAAATACTGCTCTTGGTTTGGGGTACAAGGCGGGTGCCATTTAGGCTGGGTCATACAAGACAGATGAGATTCTGATAAGCAGAGACTGAAAATAAAGGCAAGACAGGAAACTAAGGACTTGTTCAGTGAACAAGACTGTCAGGTTTAAAGGGTGTGTGTGAAGTGGACTAATGAAAGACAAAACAGGATGGTAGATTTAGGTCATGTAATAGTAGATGTAAAGTAAGAAGTTTAAGATTTTATTCTATAGGCAATGGAGAGACAGCAAAACATGACTAGAACTAATATTGTGGGAGAATAATCAATACTGGTATTCAAGATAAAACGAAGAAAAGCTGAAGCTTGGTTAGGAGGCCACAGGATTAATCTAGGCAACAAGTCAGAGTTATATTAATGGGAATGGAAAGGAAGAGTTGCACACAGAATGTAGAAGTACAATCAAAGTCTAGCAGTATATTGCAAATGATGGGCAAAGGAAAGAAGGAACTCAAGAGTGACTAAAAAGATGGTGGTGTCATTAACAAACTGGAAATTACAGATGGAGATGTCTAGTTAGTAGTTAGAAACACTAACTCTTCTTTAGTGTGGGAGAGGTGAATGGAAATGCAATCACCAAGGGAAAGTAAGAAAAAAAAAATAGCGCTTTATAGTCCACAAAATATGTTCTTACATGTATTTTCTTTTTCCTCTAATAAATCTGATGAAATACAGTGTTATCTACAGATAAGAAGTTGAAGTTCACAAAGCTTCTTGCCTAAGGTCACTCAGGAAGTGGTAAAGGTAGAATCCAAACCCACTGTTTTTGTGACACCGAAGTCTGTGTTACTTTACCTGCATTAAATGAATTATGAACTTTGGGGGAATGCCTACATTTACAAAGGTAGGGGAAAAAAAGAACTTAGTATAGAGTAAGAATAATTAGGGGGCTGGGTGCAATGGCTCAAGCCTGTAACCCCAGCACTTTGAGAGGCTGTGGCAGGGGGATTACCTGAGGTCAGGAGTTCAAGACCAGCCCGGCCAACATGGTGAAACCCCATCTCTACTAAAAATACAAAAATTAGCCAGGTGTGGTGGTGGGCACCTGTAATCCCAACTACTAGAGAGGCTGAGGCAGGAAAATCGCTTGAACCTGAGAGGCGGAGGTTGCAGTGAGCTGAGATCATGCCACTGTACGCCAGCCTGGGCAAAAAGAGCAAAACTCCATCTCTAAAAAAAAAAAAGAATTAGGGGTTGCTGACAGCAGCCTAAGTAAAAGATAATTTCTAGAAGTGGTTGATTGGCTTCAGTGTGAAATGCCATTCGGAAGTCATGGACAAGGAAAAGGACACTGGACCAGGTAACTCAGGAACCATTAGTAAACTCAGAGCAGTTTCTGTAGAATGGAGACTAAAGTAAAAAATTAAAGGGTTCAGAAGTAGATAGAGGAAATGGCATTAGCAGGCAAAGAATATGTACTGACGTGGTGGTGATGCAGAGAGAGATGAGAGAAGGGAAAAAGTGGAGAAGAGGGAGAAAGGGCAAGGTGGAAAGGGCAGACAAAGAAGGAGAAATAGGCCGGGCCTGGTGGCTCATGCCTTGTAGTCCCTACACACACACAACACACACAGAGAAAAATTAGATAGGTATGGTGGTGTGCACCTGTGGTCCTAGCTACTTGGGAAGCTGAGGCGAACGGATTACAAGGTCAGGAGTTCAAGACCAGCCTGGCCAACACAGTGAAACCCCGTCTCTACTAAAAATACAAAAATTAGCCAGGTGTGGTGGCAGGCGCCTGTAATTCCAGCTACTCAGGAGGCTGAGGCAGGAGAATCGCTTGAACCCAGGAAGGGGAGGTTGCAGTGAGCCGAGACCACACCATTGCACTCCAGCTTGGAAGACAGAGTGAGACTCTGTCTCAAAAAAAAAAAAAAAAAATTTCTGTCAGTTTCAATCCTTACAAAACATGGGGGATTAGATGCCTGTCAGAGGACAATGAAAAATGTTTGGAACATACTATGTAGAAAATGTGATAGGGAATAAGGAGATGAAATTACGGACTACTAAGCAGGTCAGCTGAAGACATAAGACATAGGATACTTATATACAGCAGACACCATCACAACAATTCCATGACTTTCTGTAGGTCATTTGATAGCTAAGGACACAGTAGGGTTATTTGGTGCTGGAGCTCTCCAAATTAAGAATGGGTAGTGACAAACTTTGAACAGGTAACAAACAATAAATTCAAAGTATATTTAGGATTAAACAGTCAATTTCTAAATGGGAGTCTATCATGTCTCCCCTTTGCAATACTGGCTTCCCAACAGGAATTCTATACTTGTCCAGTCCACCATAATGGGTATTCTCATTAAAAAAAAAAAAAAAAAAAAAAAAAATCAAACATAATGACACCTAGCCTAACATTCATCTAACATTTATGTAGAGCTTACTTTGTGCCAGGCACTGTTCCAGGCATATATTACATATATTACTAATTCATTAAATCTTCACAACAACTCTATGAGATAAAAACAATTATTTCCATTTTACAGTCAAAGAATTGAGGCACAGAGATGTTAAGTAATTTACCTAAGGTCACACAACTAATTAATTGGCAGGGCCAGGAATCAAACCAGTTAGTAAGGCTTCAAAGTAGGTGCTCTTAACTGTATTCTAGACTGCCATGTAATTCATCATCATTGTATATTTAAAATATTCTAGTGAAAATTGCTGATTTTCCCACAACAAAAAAATGATAAATATGTATAGAAATCCATGTTATTAGCTCAATATAGCCATTCCACAATGTATACATATTTCAAAATATCATGTTGTACATATCATATTTTTGTCAATTTAAAAATAAAAAATATTCTAATCAATATTTTTCTTAATATGCCATAATTTTATAAAGGAAAAATAATAAAGCCAAATTTATCTATTTTTACAGTCAAGAGGGAGTAAAAGAAAATTAGGCCAGGTGCAGCAGCTCACGCCTGTAATCCCAGCACTTTGGGAGTCCGAGGCAGCTGGATCACCTGATGTTAGGAGTTCGAGACCAGCCTGGCCAACATGGTGAAGCTCTGTCTCTACTAAAAATATAAAAATTAGCCAGGTGTGGTGGTGGGCACCCGTAATCCCAGCTACTCAGGAAGCTGAGGCAGGAGAATTGCTTGAACCCAGGAGATGGAGGTGACATTGAGCTGACACGGTGCCCCTGCATTCTAGCCTGGGTGACAGAGTAAGACTTAGTCTCAAAAAACAAAAGAACAACAACAACAACAGCAAAAACAACAACAAAAAGAAAATCACTCCTGATTAAAAAAAAATTGTTTGGTTTTTTTTGTTTTTTGTTTTTTTGAGACAGTGTCTCACTCTGTTGCCCAGGCTGGAATGCAGTGGTGTGGTCTCAGCTCACTGCAACCTCCACCTCCCTGGTTCAAGTGATTCTTGTGCCTCAGCCTCCTGAGTAGCTGAAACTACAGGTGTGCACCACCACATCCAGCTACTTTTTGTATTTTTTAAGTAAAGGTTTCACCATGTTGGCCAGGCTGGTCTCGAACTCCTGGCCTCAAGTGATCTGCCCACCTTGGCCTCCCAAAGTGCTGGGATTACAGGCATGAGCCACCATGTCCAGCCAATTGTTTAGTTCTAATAGTTTTGATTACTGAATATAAACATCTAAACTATGTAGAAGTAGTTTGTGTAAAAATGCCTATATCAAAAAGCCATAAATATGAGCAAAAGCTCTCTCAACAATCTTAGTATACCATTTTTTTCTCCATGTCCAAACCAAAGACCTTTTAGATCTGGGTAAAAATACAAACAAAAAAAAATTAATTTAAAAGGTTAATTTAAAAAAAAGAAAGAAAAAAAGAAAAACCAAAGACCTTTTTCTGATGGGTGTAAGGCATTTTTCATAAGTCAAATGTGAAAACAGAATACACTGATACCTAAATTTTTTGTGCATTGGGATTTTAAAAAGAAATTTTCCATATAAAAATTTCATTTATACCCCTTTCCAAAATGATTTAGGGAATAAAATGCAGAGGAGAAGAGAGCATGGCTAAGAAGAAAGTAGGGATGTTTGGTAGGCCAAAGCCTCCAAAGGATAAGGTAAATATAAGAAAACACTCTCTGATAACGAAGCAGTCAGATACTTAACAGTACAGAAGCCGTTGGAATAATGGTCTTTCACATAGGCTCTTAAAGCACTGTCACAGGATTCTCTCCAAGACTTCAGACCTCCATCTGCTTCTTCTGGCTGGGGGTCACTTGCTTCTTTCCGTAAGTGGTCAAATTTAAAGGAAATTTTGTTTCTTGGATCTAAAAATCTGCTATTACCCAGGTCACCGTGCTCTGTAATTAAGACCTTCCAAAGAATCATTAAACATATGAGTAACTGTAAAAAAGACAATTCTTACTGCCTTTTATGAAACACATCAATAAAAATTCTGAGGCAGTTAACTTTTCATTTAGTCAGATTTCTTTCATATTAATTTTTCAACCAAGTCCCGTATTATTAAGAATATTGTATTTATGAATAAGTCAACTTTAAACTACAAAATATCCCCCATACTAATAATATTCATTTCTTGGTTTCTAATATATACTTATACATAACTATATATGTACTTTATACATAGCTGTAATAACTTTTATGTACACTTTTGTATTTTTTTCACATATTTTTCCAGAGTCATTATGAAACTTTAGGGCCATTACACTTAGCATTTAAAATAGGTAATACATTCACATGGTTCAAAAATGAAAAAATACACAAAGTGAACTGTTTTCTCATCCCATTTCCCAACCACCAAAATCCTAAAGTAATAAATAAGTAGTCTAAATTTCAGGAGGAACGCCTCTGTTTTTCCATTAAATATAATGTCTGTTGTTACTCTTATCAAGGAGAATTAAAGACAGCTGGAAAACCTGTAAAACTTAAATACTTCCATTTTCACTGTTCTTGTTAAGAGGCTGCTCTCCTTTCTTGTCAAAGAAACTGCTAGTGTTATGAGAAAGAGAAGAATATCCTAACACGTACAGTACACACAAAAACTATAAAAACTAAGACAAATTTATTCAGCACCTGGTTCAGACATCTGCTTTGGTTTCCATTAATAGGATCTCTACTATCTGCCAGGCATAGCCTGTCTAAAAGGCAATTATTACCTGATCTTCATATCCTTCTATCTTCACAGGCGTGAACTGATCCATGTTATACTGGGCAAATGCACTGTTTTTTTTTAAAAGTTTTTTAAAAAAAAAAAAAAAAAGAGGGAGAGAGAAAAGAATTATGTGTAAATAAACACAAAAGGTGGTTCACAGAATAGTGAAAGGAAATGTGAAAATAGTACCCTGTACTTTTCCCTTCTCCCCAGACATCCAGTGTTAACATAATGCCTTCCAGCTTTCTGAAGGGACTCCTCTCTACGGAGATCTTGGAAGCTCCTTAAACTCTGAAATTACCTTTTCCTCTCTGCTCCTGAGCTCCAAAAGACCTTCTGCTTAGACAATTCCAAAGTTGGTTTGTTTTGAGATAGAGTCTCACTACGTTGCCAGGCTGGCCTCAAACTCCTGGGCTCAAGAGATCTTCCCATCTGTTTCCTGAGTAGCTGGGACTACAGGTGCACACCACCACACTCGGCTAATTCCAAAGTTTGAAGCAATCTAATTATTGTGAACTGCCAACAATTTTAATCATTTGGGCAGAAGCTTTCAGTAATTCAAAAGAATCCTCCATTGATACACTATTTTGGAAATGATCTTTTTTCTTGGCTCTCAAAGTCACGAGAAACTATAATTAAATGTCAGAAGGCATCTGACATGCGAAGAAGGTGAAGTGAGAGTTGAGCATGAGTCAAGTATAAAAGTAGAGCCTCAGGCACAAAGTAGTTATTTTTAAAAGAGGAATGCATAAATAATCAAAGTACATGCCTAATATTACTATTTGTCCAAAGCTTGATTTTTGAAATTCTGCATTTTTAATGGCTCTCTAATACATTTTACAAAGCTAAAGCAAAAGACAAGATAAAAGAAAGATGGAAATAAGAGCTACACTTATATTCTTAAAAAGTATCAGTCTTCTCACAGAATTCCCAATTTTAACCTATTAAAATAGACTGCTAGTTTTTTTTTTTCCCCATGTCAGACAGGTAATGTGCCAACATAACAAGGTTTGAGGGAGGCACATCTCACACATGCATGTGAAAACTCAACCATCACACTTATGAACTACAAAAGGATGGAGACCACTAGTTTTAAGCAGTGGTTAAAACTAGGCTTCTCAAGATAAAGCAAAGTAACAAACATTTAAACTTCTTCAAATATTTAAAGCTTTTTTTTTTTTTTTTTGAGATGGAGTTTAGCTCTTGTTGCCCAGGCTGGAGTGCAATGGTGTGATCTTGGCTCACCACAACCTCCACTTCCCGGGTTCAAGCGATTCTCCTGCCTCAGCCTCCAGAGTAGCTGGGATTACCATGTGCCACCATGCCCAGCTAATTTCTGTATATTTAGTAGAGACTGGGTTTCTCTATGTTGGTCAGGCTAGTCTCGAACTTCCAACCTCAGGTGATCCGCCCACCTCAGCCTCCCAAAGTGCTGGGATTACAGGCATGAACCACCGTGCCCAGCCTCTAAAGCTAATTTTCAATCTTATTTTGTTAAAAGTTGTTACTGTATACTTTGTGTATTTATTTTTTTGGGGGGTGGGGGTGATGCAGTCTCACTCTGTTGCCCAGGCTAGAGTGCTGTGGTACGATCTTGGCTTACCGCAACCTCTGCCTTCCGGATTCAAGTGATTCTCCTGCCTCAGCCTCCCAAGTAACTGGGATTACAGATGCGCACCACCACACCCAGCTAATTTCTGTATTTTCTTTAGAGATCGGGGGGAGTCTCACCATGTTGGCCAGGCTGGTCTCGAACTCCTGACCTCAGGTGATCCACCCACTTTGGCCTCCCAAAGTGCTGGGATTACAGGTGTGAGCCACCACACCCAGCCAAAAGTTATTACTGTGTTTTACTCCTTAAAACACCACATCCCCATGTAGCAAAATTAATCCCAAACACATTAGCTCTTCAGAAAGGATACAATTTATTCATAAAAAGTAGAATAAATGTTAGTTTAAAAAAAAACGAGTAGGAAGTAAATATTTTATTCTAGTATATGTCCTAAGACTATAGATTACCAACACCAACACCAAAATGTCCTTACCTTTAATTCCATCTCAAGTAAACAGCATCTCCATTTTACCAGCTGCCTAAGCCAAAAACTTGGGGTGATCTTTGATTCTTCTCTTTTTCTCACACTTCACATCCAGTCCATCAGTAAATCTTGTAGGCTCTACTTAAGTACATATTCAGAATCTGACTTCTTCCCACCACCCCCACTGCTACCACTCTAGTCCAACCAGTAGCATCTATCCCTGAACTATTCTCATTGTCTTGGAATTACTCATCTTACCTCAGCTTTTGCCCCTCTACACAGGAGCTAGTGATTATTCTAAAATATAAGTCTCATTATGTTATTCTCTACTCAAAACAATCTTACTTCCTATCTCTGTCAGAATGAAATTCACTCTTTAACATAACTTACAACACCCTATTTATTCCAGAAGCGCTGGAATTATCTGGGGATGGTTCTGGTGGCCAGAAACTGGTGGAAATCCAGGAAAGATGGTAAATCTTAGCTACTTCAAGCCCTTCATTTTATACAGACTGAAGGCAATAATTATGACAATGATTATGAAAACATTAATTGAGCAGTTACTATGAGGACTATGGCCAAGGGACTGAAATGCTTTAATACAGAAATAAAACTGAATTTTTCTTCTCTATGGAAAATCAAATATTTGGGTCCAGGAAAATTCTCTTAACAAGAGGGTTCCCCAAGAACCTATAGTCTATAAGAACCAGAATAGTTATAAATACAAAGCTTTAGTGTCAGTGCAATTAAAGAAAATGAAGTATCTGAACTACATACCAACTTCTCTTAATCTTAGCCAAAAGGCCGAGAAGCTACATACCAACTTCTCTTTGGTTCTATTGGAAAGAGGATAACAGGCTTTAGGTTGCAATGACACTTAGGTGATACTCAACATCCACCCCTTTCAGCTTATCAAGTGACGTACAGAGCATATTTACTGTGGGTAGTTCTCAAGGATAAAACTGGGACCAATATGGCAGGCAAATTGAAGAACTTGCCTTGTGAGATTGTGAATTCCTTATTATTAGAAGCATTCAGATTAGATAACTGTCTATTGACAGATGTTGATGAGATTCTTTCAGTGAAAGAAAGTAGAGAGGAGTTAAACTAGCAAATCATGAATGTCCTTTTCTATGGCAGATTCTATGAATCTAAGAGAAACCATCATTAGAGTATATCTCCGATGTGAGCCTAGCTTCCTTAAATCAATGTATAATTAGGGTATCATTCACGATGACAATTACAGTAAAGCTGTGCAAATTCTACGTTTGCAGAATCTAGTCCCAAAATGAGTTCCAAAAAAGCAGCATGGACAGGGCAGATTATTGTTTCCCAGGCAGCAGCTCTTACAACTGTTTTCTATGGCTAAAATCTAAACCAATTATATATCATACCCAATGACTTTATGATAATTATTTGTTGCTCTGCATCAACATGTCCTTGTCCTGTCTCCCCATCCCTACCCACTCTAGCCATTATCCAACTCTTTACAAAGGAACTCTGAGCCAGTTGGGTAGACAGCAACTGAAACAGAACTTTGTGTTGAAAAGTAGAGTAGTGATAAAGCCAGACAACAGGGAGCCTTGAAAGCTACAGCAAGTTTAGATTTTATTATAGAAGATATCAAAAAAAAAAAGAGGCACCACCGTAATATTTTTGAAGGCAAGGACACAATGAAAATATTTTAGAAAGATTAATTAGCTTCAGAGTGGTAAGGAGTCAATGACTAGGTAAGCTAATCATGCTTTTATCTTATGGTTAATTTTAACTATTAAGGCACTTTATTAATATTTGCTATTCTTAAACATTATCATTCCTCACTGGCAGATCATTCCTATGTATAGCTAGCTGTTTAAAAAAATTCAACACGAACTAGAACAACTATAAAGGAAAACCTAACAGCTAACATTAAACTCTGCTTTAATCGGGCAAATGTGGGCAGAAATAAAAACTAGTTCATATATTATAGTAAGCTTTGAGGAAGTAAACAACAATTGGGGGAACATGTTTTCTCCAATTAAAAAAAACAACGAAAATTGCTAAAACCAACTGCTTTACTTTGAAGTATTTTAAACTTTGTTTTCAGGGTGCTAGTTTACTGTCAACATAGTTTATCCAATGTTAGAGTAACATTCTAAGTGGATTTGGAAAGATACTTACTGTGCTGCCCCTTCCCTGAGGAGATTGTCATTATTAAGTAGTAGCCGAACGTCTGAGGAGGAAAAATGTTACAATGTTCAGTGGAGGATAAATTTGAGAAATTTTAGCAGATTTCTAGATTGAATTTTTAAATGTCAGGCTTTGTAAAATTAGTCTTCAGGTGTACTATATGAGTAGAAATTCTAAACATGCAAATAAAAAGATGCTAATGTTCACAGATTTGTGTACAATTATGTGTGCTATATAGTCTCAAGGAACTTTATAGCAAATGACAAACATGGTTTACAGAAAGCTACAGTTAAAGAGTGTTAATTCTGTATTTAAATGAATCCTTTAATATGAGCATAGATTAAGAATTGCAGGCGTTTCTACAACATCATATCAAGAAAGCTGGGCACAATTCAGTCAGTAAGAGTGAAATTCTTAACCTTGGAGAATCTAATGTGGGGTCTACAACCTTTTTAAAAAGCTGTGTATCAGAAGTCTAGTCACCTTTTTTTTTTTTTGAGACGAAGTCTCACTCCTGTCGCCTAGGCTGGAGTGCAATGGCGCAATCTTGGGTCATTCCAACCTCCGCTTCCCCAGTTCAAGAGATTCTCCGGCCTCAGCCTCCCGAGCAGCTGGGATTACACGCACCTGCCACCATGCTTGGCTAATTTTTGTATTTTTAGTAGAGACGGGGTTTCACCATGTTGGTCAGGCTGGTTTCGAACTCCTGACCTAAGGCGATCTGCTCACTTTGGCCTCCCAAAGTGTTGGGATTCCAGGTGTGAGCCACCACGCCTGGCCTGTTAGTTAAGAATTTATCTGAGCTAAAGTTCAAGAAGAATTTTCTACTGAAAATTGAAAATTTCGGGCAGGTGTGGTGGCTCACGCCTGTAATCCCAGCACTTTGGGAAGCTGAGGCAGGCGGATCATGAGGTCAAGAGATCGAGACCATCCTGGCCAACATGGTGAAACCCCATCTCTTCTAAAAATACAAAAAATTAGCGAAGTGTGGTGGTGAGCACCTGTAGTCCCAGCTACTTGGGAGGCAGGGGTTCCAGTGAGCCAAGATCACGCCACTGCACTCCAGACTGGCAACAAAGCAAGACTCCGTCAAAAAAAAAAAAAAAAAAAAAAGAAAAATTCAACAGGAAAATTTATTAAAAATGTTACTAAGAATTTACATTTAGTCAATGTAAAAGACTAGAAAAAGGCTGCATTTGTTTCCTTTGCTGTTGGTGCTCAAAATCCACAAACAATTTTAGAAAAAATATCTTGATTTACTTCTATTATATCTTATACTCCCTGAAGCAAATGTTTATGTTTCTCCTAGTTACTTTTTCCAATTTTAGCAATAAAGATTATTATTGACTGTTCTACCATCTGGGCCAGGTACAAAGGAATATCATACAGTTCCTCTCGAGTAGCTAACTTTCTAATATAAAATTAGAATCTCAAAATAAATGTTTGCTAAACTGAACCAAGATGCACAACAATTATTATTTTGCTTAAGGCATCTTTAAGACAAACTTAATAACTTAAAATGGGATTATGATTATTTATTTCACCATGAAGTTTAAGATGCTCCATCACATTTTCCATCTTGTAAAATGTATTAAGACAGCAGATAGTATGGAAAGTTGTAAATGTATTTAATTGTGGTTCCCCAACCTGCTGCGATTCAGAATCACCTGGTAAAGAACTTGATGAAATACAGATTAACCAGTTCCACCTCAGATCTAATGAATGTGAATCTTGAGGGGAAGATAAAGTTGAATCTGCATATTTAATAAGCTCCCCAGATATAGTCCGTTCAGCCCCACTGGCCCAAAAAAGTGTTCCATATCATGTGACTTCCTAAGTGAAAGCAATGAAGAAAATTAAGCTATGATCTATAACGATAAAAATAAAACTATGAAAATAATTTAGTATTGTTTCTACATTTATTGATACTAATCTGCATTAAATCTTTTCTCACATAAGATAGGCATCCTAATTTATGGGTTAGGAGCTTTATTTTCACTCAGACCTGGGTTTGAATTCTTGCTTTGACATTTACTAACTGGGGGACCTTGGACAAGTTATTTCAATTTTTTTGAATCTTGATTTACTTAGCTATGGCTACAACAAGTCGTAAGAATTAAAACAGACAGCAAGTACTCAATAAATAATGGTAATTAAGGAGGGATTAAAATACTAATCTTTACTCACCATTGAATACTTCATTAAATTCCCCTGGGGGTGCATGAGTGATGAATTTAGCAGCTATGCGTACCTAAAGAGAAACAAAATTTACACTTAGGAGAATTATGAAGAGTAACATATAAAAGGAGAAATAATTAACAAATTATAAATTTTCATCATATCCCTTGAAAAAAATGTTCTGTTTAAACATTTACTGTTTAGGAGTCTTCAAATTTTCTTTTCATAAAGCACCCCAAAGCTGTTACTATCAATATAGGTACATTCTGATTTGGGAATATACGTGTTTTGATAAATCTGAATTCGTCTTTCAAAAACAGGATAATAGTTTTTGACCAAATACATTACATTCACAAAAAGAGAAAGCTATGATCTTGATTATGAACATTTAAGCAAAACTAAATAAAATATTAGCAAATTAAATAGTATACCAATACCAATTCTCCCAATACAAGGACGGTTCAATATAATAAGTTACTGTAACTTACAAATTAAAAGACCAAAACCATGTGATCATCTCAACTCATGCTGAAAAAAAAAAAAAAATTAACACCTACTCCAATATCATAAAAAACCAAAACTATTAATTTTTGGTAGATATAAAATAAACACCTTTAATTTAATAAAGGACTACCTACCAAAATTCTACAACAACCTTAATAATGAAACATAAGCAATGTCACTAACTTTATTAATTTATTTATTTTGAGATAGGGTCTTGGCTGTTGTCCAGGCTGGAGTGCAGTGGCATGATCAAGGCTTACTGCAGCCTCAAATTCCTGGGCTCAAGCGCTCTTCCTGCCTCAGCCTCCTGAGTAGCTGGGGCCACAGGCATGTGCCACCACACCTAACTTCGTAATTTTTATTTTTGTAGAGACAGGTCTCATCATGCCCAGGCTGGTCTCAAACTCCTAGGTTCAGGTGATCCTCTGGCCTCGGCCTCCCAAAGTGTTGGGATTATTGGTGTGAGCCACCGTGCCTGCCCTAAGTCATCAACTTTAAACACAAGGCAAAGATGACTCCTATCACCTCTACTATTCACCACTGTATTAGAGGGCACAAGGAATGCTATGGAAAATATTTCTCCTGTTATTCAACCTAGCCTCTGTCCTCTGCCCCCTGTTGCCATTCTCCCTTTCTGGATATACTATTATAAATGGATGATAAAATGTTAGGTTCTAATCCGCTTATCTCATTGTTTTCCTCTATATTTTATCTTTTTTGTCATTTTATGATTTGTCTGGGGAAAATGCTCTACTCCAATCCATTAATATGCTCTTCGTCTGTGCCCATTTTCCTGCTCCATTTTTTTTTTTTAAGAGACAGGGTCTCGCTATGTTGTTGCCCAGACTGGAGTACTGTGGTGTGATCATAGCTCACTGCAGCCTCCAACTCCTGACCTCAGGAATCTTTCCGCATCAGCCTCCTGAGTAGCTGGGACTACAGGCACTCATCAACAGGCCCAGCATAACAATTATTTTGACTGTTCAATTTTTAATTTCCAAGATTTTTGGTAATTCCTTTTGTCTTTTTTTTTTTTTTTTTTGCACTGGCAAGTATGTAGAGCAAAGCAATTTATTTTAGTGTGTATACAATATCTTTATGAGGACACTAACTACTTATTTAATTTTTGTAGTTATTTTTTCTCAGAGACAGGGTCTCACTTGGTTGCTCAGGCTAGAGTGCAGTGGTGTGATCCTAGTTCACTGTAACCTCAAACTCCTGGGTTCAAGTGATCCTCCTGCCTCAAGCTCTCAAGTAGCTAAGACTACAGGTGTGCCTCACCATGCCTGGCTAATTTTTAAAAAATTTTAATTTTCTGCAGAGAGAGGGTCTCACTATATTGCCCAGGCTGGTCTCAAACTCCTGGCCTCAAGTGATCCTCCCACCTCAGCCTCCCAAAGCATTGAGATTACAGGTGTGAGCCACTGTGCCCAGTATAACTACCGATTTTAAAGTCTTGTTCTACTGATTGTTTCCTAAAAATTTAGATCCTATCCTCATTGAATTTGATTCTTCCCCTTCATGGTATTGGTTTTCCATAAATGGTGCTCTGACTTTAATTTAGTTTGCCTATTGTTTGCTGGTAGCTTGCCTCTAGTGACTACAGGGGAGGGAAAGAGTAGATTTGCTTCTGCTCATCAGGGTATGTGAGCAGTTTATCTTCTGAGTGAGCCTAAGGTCCACAGGCTATGTGGGACACCACTCTGCATCTATGGTCCCAGTGCTCATACTCAGTGCTATATTCTGAGGACAAATGCTGTTTTTGTCTTCAGCTTAGCCCAAAGAGGAGAGAAGGGAGGAGCTAAGTGGTCCAACTAGCCAGAGAGCAATTCTCCAGTTAATCTACTCTAAGACTGTTCTGGATCCTTTCCTTCTTGATTCTTAAACTGATGTAAGATCCTCCAGAATGGCTCCTATCTATTTGGCATTTGGCAATACCAATATATAGATATTTGGCAGTATCTATACATAGTAATAATGCTAGTAATGATAATAAATAGGACTCACCACAAATGGGTCTCTCAGTATAGTTCTAACATACTATGAGAGAAAGGATGAAAATTCCCTAATATTTGATGTAATAATGAGTATGAAGATGATTCAACTCCCTAAGGTAGGGCAAAGAAGAACATGGTATATCTAACAATAAACTGAGCCTTATTTCTAGCTAGTTATCCTCTGTTGACTTATTTCCTTCAAACAATTTTAAGTTTATTGATGACCCCATCAAACTATTCTTCAGCAGAAAAAAAAATACGTTCAAGAGTCTCTTGAATACAAAGCTGGGGCCAGGTGCAGTGGCTCATGACTGTAAAATCCCAGCACTTTGGGAGGCTGAGGTGGGTGGATCACTTGAGGTCAGGACTTCAAGACCAGTCTGGCCAACATGGCAAAACCCCATCTCTACCAAAAATACAAGAATTAGCTGGGTGTGGTGGTGGGTACCTGTAATCCCAGCTACTTGGGAAGCTGAGGCAGGAGAATCACCTCAACCCGGAAGGTGGAGGTTGCAGTGAACCAAGATTGCACCATTGCACTCCAGCCTGGGCAACTGTGGGAGACTCTGTCTCAAAAAAAAAAAAAAAAAAAAAAAAGCTGGGAGAAGAGAATTAGAAAAAAAAACCCAGCAATTTGGGTTGGGTGTGGTAGATCACGCCTGTAATCCCAGCACTTTGGGAGGCTGAGGCAGGTGGATCATTTGAGGTCAGGAGTTCGAGACCAACCTGGCCAACATGGTGAAACCCTGTCTCTACTAAAAATACAAAACTTAGCCGGGCATGGTGGCACACACCTGTAATCCCAGCTACTTGAGAGGCTGAGGCAGGAGAATCTCTTGAACCCAGGAGGCAGAGTTTGCAGTGAGCCGAGATCCCGCCACTGCAATCCAGCTTGGGCGACAGAGTGAGACTGTCTCAAAAAAGAAAATAAACAAAACAGAAATACTTTACAACTTTAGTATTCCTAGGCTTATACAGATAATCTTACTGTAAGTTCACTCTTATTCTGAAAAGGACAAAGAAAAGCTGCTCTGTGATGAAACCGTTAGTCAAGAAAGGCCTAGTGATTGATGGAGCAAGGTAGAATGGAAAATTTGGGTTCCAATAACTGTCTCTGTTGGTCCATTAGCTAACTAGATTTGTGATTCTAGAAACATTACTAACTTTTTTCGGTCCTGAGTTTTCTCATGATAATCCATCTCCTCATAGAGTCATATTAGAAGATCTGCAAAATTTCTTTTAGCTACAAATCCTACACATTTTTTAAGACTTGGAAGACAAAAGTTGGTATGTGGACTACCTGGAAACAGGCATCAGGAATTCACGCCACAAAAATACATGTTAGAATATTCTTAGGTACATAAAGTTTTAGAACCCTGCCTTGACAGGGTAATTACAGATAGTGTATTATTTTTTCTGGGATGAAAACTGGTGGAGAGGAAATGCTCCATAAGGCTCCTTATATTAACTGAGCAAAAACAATAAAAAGAGAGATTCTAATCAGGAAGAAATCCTGCTCAACTCATGAAAATTATGCTACATAGGACTAACCGTTACAATAAAGATTTCTATCTATATTTTCCTTGGCATGTACACTTAATCACATTTCTGCACTTTTCAACTGTTGGTATCAATCTCTTATTTAAAAAATCAGTAATCCTACTTTTAATAATAAACCTTTTTTTTTGGTCTATTTGTGACAAATCTGTGGAGTGAGCTATGGTCTATCCCCTTTCTGTCAAGGTGCATTTCCCGTAATCTTTACATAATTATAAAACTCCTCGGTCAAGTGTGTGTAATCCAAAAAATAAGTATATACATATTCACACACTATCAAAAAAGTAACTTCCCTGCAAGGAAAAAGGAATAAAGCCACAGCCATATTTTACATACTACTTATATAACATAATATTTGAATGTATAATAAAATTACCAAACTGAAAATTCAAGATACTAATATTCCCGAAGTCCCACCCAAATTTTCAAAAGTTACAAAATCTGATGGAATTGGTACAAATGAAAGAACAGCAGTTTGTTTCGATAGAAGATGAACTGATACCGCATATAAAAAAGTAATAATTCACCCATTCGGCAAACTAGGAAGAGAAGTATCAATAAATAAAGACCGAAGACTGGATAAGACATTGTCACTACCCTCAAGGACCTGATGCCTAGATAGTAATGTAGCAAGCAGGTAATAAATGCAGAGTGAGGCACAAAGGAAGATGCAATCAACTCTGTATACCTACATTAAAAAGAGGGTGGTCGGCCAGGCGCGGTGGCTCACGCCTATAATCCCAGCACTTTGGGAGGCCAAAGTGGGCAGATCACGAGGTCAGGAGTTCAAGACCAGCCTGGCCAAGATGGTGAAACCCCATCTCTACTAAAAAAAATACAAAAATTAGCCAGGCACGGTGGCAGGCAACTGTAATCACAGCTACTCGGGAGGCTGAGGCAGGAGAATTGCTTGAACCCAGGTACCAGAGGTTGCAGTGAGTCAAGATTGCGCCACTGCACTCCAGCCTGGGTGATAAGAGTGAGATTCTGTCTCAAAAAAAAAAAAAAAAAAAAAAAAAAAAGGTGCGGGGTAGTCTTCAGAGGCTGTGATGTTTGAGATGGATTGGAGGATGAGTAGTTAAGATCAAGGAAGGCATTCCGAGTACAGGAAACAATATACACAAACTAAGACAACATGTGGTAACAAACTGAACGCAGGAGTTTACAAGACTTGCAAAATGTAAAACAATGTGACTTGTCACACTAATTCCTGTTCTATTTTGGAAAATAAAGGTTTTTTTTTAAACAACAAATAACTATGTTAAATGTAATAGGTTTATTATTTTCAAATGAGTTATTTTAAAAATCAGTTTTAGTATTTTTTTTTTTTTTTTTTTTGAGACAGTCTCAGTCTGTCACCCAGGCTGGAGTGCGGCAGCACAATCTCAGCTCACTGCAACCTCCACCTCCCAGGTTCAAGTGATTCTCCGGCCTCAGCCTCTTGAGTAGCTGGGATTACAGGAACGTGCCATAAGGCCCCGCTAATTTTTGTATTTTTAGTAGACATGGGGTTTCACCATGTTGGCTAGGCTCGTCTTGAACTCCTGACCTCAAATGATCCACCCGCCTCACCTCCCGAAGTGCTGGGACTACAGGTGTGAGCCACTGCGCCCGGCCTCAGTTTTAATATCTAATTTAACAGATATAAGCCACATAAAAAAAAAATTCAGTTTTTAAGTATGTAAAGGGGTCCTGACAGTAAAAAAGTTTGAGAAGTGCTCCATTTGTTGACATGGGTTTATAATATGCTGTTTATATATGTTTATAATGTGCTGTTGAATGAAAAGGGCTTTTACTTCTTTCCTGGTCTTTTAGAAATTATATATATTTACACCTATGTATAGCTACTAAATTTTAACTGGGACTATCTCTAGTACAAAAAAAATTGTTTTCTTTTTTTGGCTTACCTCTGTGTTCAAAAAGTTATAAGAAATATAATGTTACTAGTATGATAAAGCAAATTAAAATTTTTTTTTTCAATTATTTATTTATTTATTTTTTTTTTTATTGATCATTCTTGGGTGTTTCTCACAGAGGGGGATTTGGCAGGGTCATAGGACAATAGTGGAGGGAAGGTCAGCAGATAAACAAGTGAACAAAGGTCTCTGGTTTTCCTAGGCAGAGGACCCTGCGGCCTTCCGCAGCGTTTGTGTCCCTGGGTACTTGAGATTGGGGAGTGGTGATGACTCTTAATGAGCATGCTGCCTTCAAGCATCTGTTTAACAAAGCACATCTTGCACCGCCCTTAATCCATTTAACTCTGAGTGGACACAGCACATGTTTCAGAGAGCACAGGGTTGGGGGTAAGGTCACAGATCAACAGGATCCCAAGGCAGAAGAACTTCTCTTAGTACAGAACAAAATGAAAAGTCTCCCATGTCTACCTCCTTCTACACAGACACGGCAACCATCCGATTTCTCAATCATTTCCCCACCTTTCTCCCCTCTCTATTCCACAAAGCCGCCATTGTCATCCTGGCCCGTTCTCAATGAGCTGCTGGGCACACCTCCCAGACGGGGCGGTGGCCAGGCAGAGGGGCTCCTCACTTTCCAGCAGGGGCGGCCGGGCAGAGGCACCCCTCACGTCCCGGATGGGGCGGCTGGCCGGGCGGGGGGCTGACCCCCCCACCTCCCTCCCGGATGGGGCGGCTGGCCGGGCAGGGGGCTCCTCACTTCCCAGGAGGGGCGGCCGGGCAGAGGCGCCCCTCACCTCCCGGACGGGGGGCTGACCCCCCCACCTCCCTCCCGGACTGGGCGGCTGGCTGGGCAGAGGGGCTCCTCACTTCCCAGTAGGGGCGGCCGGGCAGAGGCGCCCCTCACCTCCCGGACGGGGCGGCTGGCCGGGTGGGGGGCTCACCCCCACCTCCCTCCCGGACGGGGCGGCTGGCCGGGCGGGGGGCTGACCCCCCCACCTCCCTCCCGGACGGGGCGGCTGGCCGGGCAGAGGGGCTCCTCACTTCCCAGTAGGGGCGGCCGGGCAGAGGCGCCCCTCACCTCCCGGACGGGGCGGCTGGCCGGGCGGGGGGCTGACCCCCCCACCTCCCTCCCGGACTGGGCGGCTGGCCGGGTGGGGGGCTGATCCCCCCACCTCCCTCCCGGACGGGGCGGCTGGCTGGGCAGAGGGGCTCCTCACTTCCCAGTAGGGGCGGCCGGGCAGAGGCGACCCTCACCTCCCGGAAGGGGCGGCTGGCCGGGCGGGGGGCTGACCCCCCCACCTCCCTCCCGGACGGGGCGGCTGGCCGGGCGGGGGGCTGACCCCCCCACCTCCCTCCCGGACGGGGCGGCTGGCCGGGCGGGGGGCTGACCCCCCCACCTCCCTCCCGGACGGGGCGGCTGGCCGGGTGGGGGGCTGACCCCCCCACCTCCCTCCCGGACGGGGCGGCTGGCCGGGCAGAGGGGCTCCTCACTTCCCAGTAGGGGCGGCCGGGCAGAGGCGCCCCTCACCTCCCGGACGGGGCGGCTGGCCAATTTTTTTAATAAAAAAAGGAGCATGTCAACATCCCTCATCCTTTAATTTTTTTTTTTAAGATGAAAGGGGAAATAAAGAAAGATAAAAGCTACTGAGTGACATGAAAACTGAAAGAACCAGGTCAAGGAAGCCAAAGGACTGAGGTGAGGATGTCCAAATCCTAAAGGCAATAAAGAAGGCTTCTTAAAGTTACTTCTTGACCAAGACCTTTGACCTTCATATCCCCATAGTACCTCATGCTTAAAAAATTGATGAATTGGTTAAACAAGGGGATTATATGAAAGAAAAAGGTAAACTAAAAGCTCACTTCCATTTTCTAAGTTAAAAAGCAGGGTGAGGGAAGAAAATCTAGTAGTAGTATTTGAATTCGGGTTCAAGTGCTGAAAAAACTTAATATTCCCTGTTCATCTGTGAATATCAAGAACAGGAGAAATATCCAATTAGAGGAACCAAAACATCTCCCAGTTTTTAAATGAAAGCGAGGAGATTTGAAAGTATATGCAATGGCAAGGGTGAAATACTTAATGAGTGGTTAAAAATAATGTAGTTATCATTAGATGCCAACATGGAATCCTAAAACACATTGTCATAGCAAGGAATCCTATGTTATTTCCTGACAGTTACTAAAATGGTGGATGGTTATTAGATATTTGATAGTTTCTGAAGTGTTGATTTTTCACTATTTGAACACAATACCACAAAAATACCTTTAAGTAGTAGACATAATACATATAATTATATTAAAATTATATAATATATAATTATATATTATATAAATTATTCTCTCTCTATATATATCTCTATCTCTATATCTATACCTATATCTATATCTATATCTATATCTATATCTATATCTATGGAGTCTCGCTCTGTTGCCCAGGCCGGAGTGCAGTGGCATGATCTCGGCTCACTGCAACCTCTGCCTCCTGGGTAGCTGGGATTACAGGCATGTGCTACCACACCTGGCTAATGTTTGTATTTTTAGTAGGGATGGGGTTTCACCATGTTGGCCAGGCTGGTCTCGAACTCCTGACCTCAGGTGATCCACCTGCTTCAGTCTCCCAAAGTGCTGGGATTACAGATGCGAGCCACTGTGCCCGGCCTGATATATTTACATACTCACTATAAAATCTAAAGTCTGGGCTGGGTGTGGTGGCTCACGCCTGTAATCCCAGCATTTTGGAAGGCTGAGGTGGGTGGATCAATTGAGGTCAGGAGTTTGAGACCAGCCTGGCCAACATGGTGTAACCCTGTCTCTACTAAAAATATAAACACTAGCCGGGCGTAGTGGTGGGCACCTGTAATCCCAGCTACTCGGGAGGCTGAGGCAGGAGAACTGCTTGAACCCAGGAGACGGAGGTTGCAGTGAGCCAACACAGTGCCACTGCACTCCAGCCTTGGTGACAGAGTGAGACTCTGTCTCAAAAAATAAATAAATCTAAAGTCTGTTCCATGGCTCCTCCTTCCCTAATTCCTCCACTCATACCACTTAGCTCCTAGACTTACAGCTACACTCATGCCTCAGGGTATATTTCTTGTTCCTTTGGCCAGAAATGCTCTCTTGGATTATTCACTCCAATCTTTATTTAGTCTCTGTTCAAATGTTACCTGCCAAATAAACTACCCTTCCCTAACTCCCATATATAAATTAGCTGTTGTACCCTTCCAACCTTCACAATTCTAGCCCTTTTACTGCTTTATTTTTCTTCAAGGAATTTGCCACCACTTAACATATACTTACATGTTTACTGTCCAACATCCCCCAAAGTCCAAGATCATAGAGCAAGAGTCAATAAACTGCTAATGTAAAGGGCAGATGGGCTTTGGGAGTCACAGCGTTTCTGTCCCAACTGTTAAGCATGGTTGTGTTCCAATAAAACTTTATTTTGTACTCTGAAATTTGTATTTCATGTAATTTTCACATCATGAAATATGATTATTCTTTTTTTGTTTTCAACCATTCCAAAAGCATTAGTTTATAGATCCTATAAAAACAGGCAGTGGGCCCAGCACAGCAGCTCACACCTGTAATCCCAACACTTTAGGAGGCCAAAGCTGGAGAAACGCTTGAGCTCAGGAATTCGAGACCCAGCCTAGGCAACACAGTAAGATCTTATCTCTATTACAAATAACAAGAAAATTTAGCCGGGCATGGTGGCACATGCCTGTAGTCCAAGCTACTCAGGAGGTTGAGGCAGGAGGATCACTTGAGCCTGGGGGGTCAAGGCTGCAGTGAGCTATGATTGTGCCACTGCACTCCAGCCTGTGCAATAGAGCAAGAGCCTGTCTCAACAAACAACAAAACAAAACAAAACAAAAACAGATGGTGGACTGGATTTGGCCCACTGGCCATAGTTTGTCAACCCCTGACACAGAACAAAAGAACTTGTTATGTTTGTTCACTGCAGTATACCCAGGACTGAGACCTAGAACATGCTAGGAATGTGAATGAATGAATACTATTTTATTGTTTATAAAACTCTTATGTAAGCTGTTTCTTTTATTGATCTTTAAAACAGCTTGTTAAAGAAGGCAGGGGAGAGACTATTATCCCCATTTATAAATCAAGAAATAGGTTCAGGGAGTGTAAGTGCCTTGTCTAAGATTGCATGCTTATAATAAATGGGTGGAGCTGGAATTGTAACTTAGACATTCAACTATATCATGCAGTATTAAAAGGAAGTATAAGTCTGGAGGATTACCTTTAGTGTGTCACATGAATTTGACTGTCCTTTTAGACTGTTTTAACCAAGAATTGAGTCAAAGCTATGCTTGTGAAAGATGCAGTTGTTACAAAGTTGAGAAGAATAGATAAAATGATAAATAAGTTTAAAAGTTAACATTTTATCCAACTTCAAAACTGGGTCAAAGCTAAGATGAAATTAATAGAGCAAAAGGGGAGAGGGAAATGACTAAGCAGTTAGTGACTGAAAAAATATCTTTGCTACAATACAGATGAGGGATGACATTTTCATTAACAGTGATTTAGTCAATCATTCTCAAGGGTGGGAGAGTGAAAGAAAGAAGGCAGTTATCTCCCATAAAGGGGAGGTATGTCAGCTCCTCTAACTTGAGAATCACTAATATGAAGGTTTTAGTTGAACAAAAACTGAACTGCTGCTTAAAAAAAAAAGCCTTTAAAAAACTGTCCCTATTTCATAAAGTAACAGTTTCACTACACACTGTATTCATCAGATAGTATCTACACTAAACGGTGTAACTCCTTGAATATTTTAAAGGGAGACTATCCGAGGCTTTTACATAATTTCCTCTTTCATATATTTAAATATTACAATAAAATTACTAGCATAAAATTAATTATATTTTGTTCCTAACCTAAAAAGGGGGGATTTAAAATATATAACCAACAAAAGATAAGATTTCCTAAATTTCAATTTCTTCCCATTCGTCTTATTCTCTTACCTCTAAAAGGGGGAAATAATAATAAACCAATCCTTGCAAGATTCAAAATTTCATTTTCACATTACTAGTATCTGTACTGAAAGTTTAAAAATCAGTCGCACTGAAAAGTCCTAAGTTTCATTTTCCCTAGAAGTGGCTTAATTTTCTTAGATTTTCATATACCATATTTTAGCAAGAATCTTAAGAAAATGTCCTAAGGAATTTATAAAACTGTAGCTTATTAGATAATCTTTTAATAACAGACCCCACACATTTCATCAACATTGCACCTATTCATAACTAGCTTTTATTTTTTATTTTTTTCTAGAAAGAGTCTCGCTCTGTCACCGAGGCTGGAGTGCAGTGGCGCGATCTCAGCTCACTGCAACCTCCGCCTCCCGGGTTCAAGCAATTCTCCTGCCCCAGCCTCCTGAGTAGCTGGGACTACAGGCGCCTGCCACCACGCCTGGCTAATTTTTGCATTTTTAGTAGAGGTGGGGTTTCACCGTGTGACCAGGCTGGTCTCGAACTCCTGACCTCATGATCTGCCTGCCTCAGCCTCCTAAAGTGCTGGGATTACAGGCGTGAGCCACTAAGCCCAGCCATCACTAGCTTTTAAAATTATTTCCTTGGGCCGGGCACGGTGGCTCACACCTATAATCCCAGCACTTTCAGATGCCGAGGCAGGTCAGGAGTTCAAGACCAGCTGGCTAACAGGGGGAAACCCTGTCTCTGCTAAAAATGCAAAAATTAGCTGGGTGTTGTAATCCCAGCTACTCGTCTCAAAAAAAAAAAAAAAAGTCCTTGACAAACACATACAAACGAACTTTAAGTTAAATATTTAACAACTGCAACTCTTTGTGGGCACTGGTGGATAATTCTAGACAGAAAAGGGAGAATTCTTTCGCTAGATAATATCCACATTCCACTTATCAGCAAAGGCCTGGTCAGTTTATACCACCCCAGTTTTGTATACTTTAGGAGCCAAATCTCTGCCAGCATGTCTCCCTGGTCAATAAAAATCTTTACCTCCTTCATTAGTCTACTGAATGTATTAAAGATTTCACCTCTTGGCCTTGACTCATACTCTCCTTGAAAGTTGTGCCTTTCTCCCTATCTTGGTCTGTCTAAATCCTTCCCATTTTTTAAGGTTGGGTTCTTCCAACCCAACCGTAAAAAGTGTTCAAAGTGTATTTGAATGCTTATCATAGCACCTAAAATATAACTGCTACTGATAATTAGTTCTATAGATACTAGTCTGCCTCCAAAGACTCAAGTTTTTTTGGGAGGGAAACTGCCTTGCTTTCCTCTTCTATATATTACAGGGTCTAGCAAATTAAATTACACATGGCAGGCAATGAGTAAATATTTACAAAATCCTTTTTGAATAAGAAGATGTAAAGGAAATGTTCTCAGTTTTAAAGATTATTATGAGGTACTATGGCAAAATGGAAAAATATAGGCTCTGGATTGGACAGACCCAGTTTTGAATTTCAGTCACTTAAAAATCTCTTTGAACCACATCCTCTCCCTAAAGTGGGATAGTATGTACTCCTTAAAAATTGTTGGGAGTTGTTACAGCTCTTTTAGAATTTGTGTAGCAGGTTTTCTGGTTTTCACCAGAAACCAACCTACCCAATATTAAATTTAAAAAAATTGTTGTAAAGATTAAATGAGACAATATATGGTCAAATCTTTAGCAGAATACTTAAAATATAACAGGAGAGGCTCAATAAATGTCAGCTACTGTTATCTTAACTGGTCACAGCAGGATAACTCTTACTTTAAATTATAAACTGAGCAAACCCTTCAAATTACTATCAAATTACTACTTCAAAGAAAATAATCCTCTTGTTCTAGAAATCCTTTGGGTCCTAGCCACTTTATATTCTCTATCATTGCCATCATAATAATCCCCACCAATAACTACACAACTTTTTACTGACCAAAAAAGCTTTATGAAAATGTCTGTTCCAATTTCCCTTTGAAGTAATAACACATATTTCAAAGTTTTTAAAGTTTTCCAAATAGGGTATACTTAAAGAAAGTATAATAGTAGTAAACTATGCCTCCGTAAATATTTATTTTACTTATTTTCACTCTAACCCATTCCAAAAGTATTCAAGAATAAATAGTTGCATTTATTTTTCCTGAAAGAGATATGTACAGGATGTTATTCTTATCCTGGTAAGTTCTGCTTGCACAGAATTCAATGCTATTTCCTAAGGGAGTTTTTCCCATTTGAAGATATTTCGGATGTTGCATCAAACTAAAAAGCTTCTGTATGGCAAAGGAGAAAATTAACAGTAAGAGGAGACAACTAAGTGACTGGGAGGAAATATTTGCAAACTATACATCTGATAAAGGGCTAATACCAAAAATATATAAGGAACTCAAAACAACTCAATAGCAAGAAAACAAATAACCCAATTTTAAAATGGGCAAACGGTCTGAACAGACATTTCTCAAAGATATACAAATGGGCAAGAGATATATGAAAAAATGCTCAACATCTCTAATCAGGGAAATGCAAATTAAAACCACAATGAGATATCACCTCATGCCTGTCAGAATGGCTATTATCAAAAAGACAAATGATAACAAGTCTTGGGCCAGGATAAGGAGAAAAAGGAACCCTTCTGTTGGTGGGAATGTAAATTAGTACAGCCATTTTGGAAAATACTAACAGCATGGAAATTCCGCAATATACTAAAATTACCATATGATTCGGAAATTCACTTCTGGATAGATAGCCAAAGGAACTGAAATTGGTATGTCAGAGAGATATCTGCACCCCCATGTTCATTTCAGCAGTGTTCACAATAATCAAGATACAAAAGTAACCTAAGTATCAATCAACTCAACAGATGAATGGATAAAGAAAATGTGTTATATACACACAATGGAATACTATACAGCTTTTAAAAAGAAGGAAATTCTGTCTTTTGCAACAACAAGGATGGACCTGAAAGATATATGCTAAGTGAAATAAGCCAGACACAGAAAGATGAATACTGTATGATCTCACTATAAGATATGCAGAATCTAAAAAAGCCTATGTCAGAGAAACAGAGAATAGAATGGTGGTTACCAGAGGCTGAGGGGTCAGGGAAGGGATGGGGAAAGGAAAGATATCAAAGATAGAAATTAGAGGGTATACAGTTACAGTGAGACTGGAAAAATAAGTTCTAGTGCTCTACTGCACTGCATGGTGACCACAGTTAGTAATAATGTATACAGTACTGGTTTCACTAAATAAAAGTTACTGTTATCTGTGTTTCTTAAAATTCTAAATAAACTAAATATTATTTTCCCAGCTGAGACCTGGAGATACACAGAATGTACTTAGAAATAAAATTGTAGATGTATATAGTTTATCATTATCAGCAAGAGATAAGACTTGAAAGCATAAAGATATATCTTAAATCAGAATCAACATTATAAAAAATAGATGCTGGCATTTCCAAATAATTTGCTTCACATTCACTCTTTCAAAAGTCATTTTAATAGTCTTTAGAAATTGTTTTCTCTATTAGTAGCCAATTAAGAGTTTTATTAGACATAAGTAGGTAGGGAAGTCAGGCAAGTTAGTTTTAAGTAGAGCAATTTCACTTTAAAACATTCTACAAACTCTAGGGAATAATTGCTTTTCTGGTATGTCTTAAACACTTGACTATTTACTAAAGCAATTATGTACATCTCACAACACATGGAATGGCAAACTTTAGGCTTCTCTCTAAGGCCTCTTTTGAACTAGGATTTGACACCCCACCCCGCCTCCCTGCCCCACATCCCCCTGTCTTTGGCCTGCCTAGCCCAGTTTTAGCAAGAATCTGCCCACCCTTGATATCTGATCAAGTTCTTCATTCCCTACTTTTGATGTGTAAGTCTTTGAACTGCCTTCAGCATGAATCCCCCTACCCTCATGGTCTCCTCTTAATAATTTTCTCCCCAACTCTGCTTATTGGCTATACGTAAATACCCAGCTGTCTTTACTGTATTAGGAGTTGAGCCTGATTTTTCTCCCCTATTGTAATAGTCTTTTCTTTGGTTTGTTTTGAGATGTCACCCAGGATGGAGTGCAGTGGCGTGATGTTGGCGCACTGCAACCTCCACCTCCCGGGTTCAAGCAATTCTCCTGCCTCAGCCTCCCAAACAGCTGGGATCATTACAGGCGCCCACCACCAGGCTCTGCTAATTTTTGTATTTTCAATAGAGATGGGGTTTCACCATGTTGGCCAGGCTGGTCTTGAACTCCTGATCTCAGGTGATCCGCCCGCCTTGACTTCCCAAAGTGCTGGGATTACGGGCATGAGCCACCACACCTGGCCATAATAATTTTGAATAGTCTTCTTTACTGTTTTAACATGCATTAGAATAATTTTTACTTTAACTAAGAGTCATTGTATTTCATACCACTTAGTAGTGTTTAAAAATGACACATTTAAGCATAACATTTACAACACACAGAAAAAAAATTAAAATGAGTGAAAACATCCCATAAGCAACTTGTTTAGGAGCTTAAATGTGCTTAAAAAAATACCCACAAGGTTAAAAAATTAGGAAAAAGCCTCTTTGAACCTATTCTGGTCCGGAGGTTGCCCAAGAATAAATAAAATAAATTAGGGAAAAATGACCACACCAGGTACCTTGAGATTCACGTGTTAGCGAGCAATGATGTAGATGTCAAGTTTGAAAGGGTAAAGTTCGGCGGTGAGAACCCAGGCTAGATGGAAAAAGCAGCAGTGGGAAACAAGAACGGTTTTGCCTTTAAGATCTGGTATGTATCTGGCATGTTACGGCATTCTAACTTAAAGTATATCTTTTTACCAATTTTTTTTTTCCTCAAAATCACTGGGAGTCAGATACAGTTTCACATGCCAGCTTTACTGCTAAATTGCTTGGGTCTTAGTTTCTTCATTTGTGATTATAAAACCTACTCATATCTAGGACTGTTTTAAGAACCCATGAGGTAACATGAGACAGACTCCCATACAGCAGATCCTTAATTTTCTTCCCTAAGCAAATACCTAGACATCACTGAATTCTGAGTTATGTTGTCTTTTAAAAAGTTCAGCTCTTTGTGTTTAACAATTTGTTCATTCACTCAAAACAAACCACAAAACAATTCATTTGGTCTCAGGCACTGAGGTGAATACTAAAGATAAAGACAAAGAGTAGGATTGTCAAAGAGGTAAGCCAACAAATTATCTTTTGCCTTAAATCAGTGGTTCTGGACCTTGGCTACACATTAGAATCACCTGGGAAGATTTAACTATATTGACATATGGGTTCCACCTGCAGAAATTCTGATGTACTAGTCTGGGGTAGGGCTTGGGCATCAGTTTAAAAGCTTCCTCAGGTGATTCTAACATGCTGTCAGGGTTGACAGCCACTACCTTAAGCTAATATAAAGTGCAATTCATCCTGGTAGATACAAACAACATAAGACGAATATAACATACAGTAAGCACCTTGGCTTTCCAATCTCTGTATACTTTACCACTGTTAACAAAACAATTTATACAAATAATAGCCCTCAGTAAAGATGTGCCAGCATTTAAAAATAACTTTAATTCAGGCTGGGCACAGTGAGCTCAGGCCTGTAATCCCAGCACTTTGGGAGGCCAAGGCAGGAGGACCGCTTGAGCCAAGGAGTTTCAGACCAGCATGGGACACAATGATGTCTCGTCTCAAAAAATAAAAAATCCGGCTGGGTGCAGTGGCTCACTTCTATAATCCCAGCACTTAGGGAGGACGAGGTGGGTGCATCACGAGGTCAGGAGTTCAAGATCAGTCTGGCCAAGATGGTGAAACCCCGTCTCTACTAAAAATACAAAAAATTAGGCAGGTGTGGTGACAGGCGCCTGTAATCCCAGCTACTCGGGAGGCTGAGACAGGAGAATCGCTTGAACCTGGGGGACGGAGGTTGCAGTGAGCCGAGATGGCACCACTGCACTCCAGCCTGGGCGAAAGAGTGAGACTCTCTAACAAAAATAAAAATAAATACAAATAAAAAATTAAAAAATAAAAAATAAAATAATTGCCAGGGCCGAGTGCCAAGTGCAGTGGCTCATGCCTGTAATCCCAGGAGTTTGAGACCAGTCTGGGCAATATAGTGAGACTGTTTCTACAAAAAAAATACTTAAAAATTAGTTGCGTGCCTGCAGTCCTAGCTACTCATTAGAAAGGCTGAGGTGGGAGGATCACTTGAGCCCAGGAGGCAGAGGTTGCAGTAAGCCAAGATCCCACCACTGAACTCCAGTCTTGGTGACAGAGTGAGACCCTGTCCCAAAAATAAAATAAAAAAATTAAAAACAACTATAATTCTAAGCAGCAAAACTGCCAAAGCAGTAGTACAGATAACATAAGGCACAGAACTTAAGAGTAAGGAGTTGGATATTGAGCTGGGTTGGTGGAGGACAACTACAGAGAAAAGGAGAAGCTGGGCTCTGCAAAGTACTTTAGATAGGGTGGAAGGGAGGAAAGGGAGGGCACTATGAGTGAGGGAATAAGAACAAAAAAGGTAGTGGGAAAACACTCTCTTGTTTGGTAGAACAGAGGATTTGGAGAGAATAAAAGAGAAGGATGAACTAAGGTAAGTCAGATAGCAGTAATGATGGTAATACCAAATCTGGTTTCATTCCGTATGTCATTGGCAATGGCCACTTGCTAAAGCTTTCTGAGGACAAAGCTCCATTAATAAAAATCTATCAGTAATACAGAAGTACTGGAGTCCTCAATATGGCCTCACAAAACTTGGAAATCAGACTGCCCTATGAGAGTTAACAATGAAATCAAGACAGATGCTATCCAAGCAAGATTCATGCATTCAACAAATATCAGAAGACCCACTATGTTTTAGGCAATGGTGACTCACTAGCATACTGTCCTCATGGAGTTTACATTCTAGTGGGTAAAGACAACAGAGAAGATTAAGTAAAATACTACCTGGCAAGTGATAAATGCTAAGGAGAAAAAACAAGGCAAAGAAAAGGGACAAGAAATGTTAGGATTTGCAACTGGACAGAATAACCAGAGAAAGCTTCACTAAGGAGATGACTTCTGGTTAAGTATCTGAAATGAGGGATACAGAAGGAAAAGAACTCCAGAGAAAAGAACAAATGCAAAGATTATTCAGCGAGAATACGTGATTGGAACAAAGACCAGAAGAAGAACATGTAGGAGATAAAGTCAGAGATAAATGGCAAAGAGGTAACATCCCAGAACATAGGGACTTAGAAAAAGATGGGAAGCCACCGGAGGGCTTTGAGCAGAAAAGTGACATGTACTGACCTACATTTTAACCAGATCACTCTGGATGCTTCATCGAGGACAGACTGCTGGGCAGGAGCAACAGCAGAAGCAGGGAAACCATAAAAAATAGTATTTTAATAATCTAGAGGTCACAATGGCTTCTTCCAGAGTGGTTAGAATAAGGGTGTGGTAAGAAATAGTCAAATTCTGGGTTTATTTTAAAGACAGAGCCTACAGGATTTACCAGTGGACAACAAGTGGATTGTGAAAGAAATAGTAGTCAAAGATAACACTAATGTTTTTGACCTGAGCAACTAAAGAATGGAAGTGTCATTAACCAAGGGCGGGCAGACTGTAGGAGAAGCTGCAGTATGCAAAATTTTGACACATAACCAGTCCTGCAAAACTCCCCTGCTAGTAATGTGATAACAAATGAACCTATCTAGAGGAAAAATGTCCAATGCTGTTATACAAAGACGTGACTTGGTTTTGGTGTTGGGTACATATGCCTATTATGAAACAAAATGCCATCAATACTTTGGACTATCTAGTTAACTTCCTTTGTTCTAATTCTATGCTCCATTAAAACATTCTAACTTGATTTCCCATGTTCCTGACCTATCTGAAAAAAAGAACTTAGTTCCTTCTATATGTATTAAATTGTTATTCCAGTTTTATACATTAGTTTCATAAGCCTAGCTAAAATGAGTTTATCCCCGAGAGAGACCTGGTTTAGTATCCTGATCAATCAAGCTTCTGAGCTAAATAAGCAGAGGACTAAGATTTGAACCACAGCAAGTTCACTAAGATAATGGTTCTCAAGTATTCCAATAATTATTGGGAGGCTTATTACAAATAATTCCTGACAACTGGTTCCAAAAAATTCTGATTCAATATACCTAGGATGGAACTCAGAAATCTGTTTTTGAAGGAAACACAGATTCTGCCATAGGCAAGGATGTTCTAAGATACTGTCATACTGTAAAGTTTCTCCTTGGCCTTGTTACGGGGACTTTAGTGATCTTTAAATTTCTAGAGCCATGTTTTTCAACACCTGTTTAATAACACAGCATAAATACTAGAACTCTTCACGGCATACTTAAGCTCAAAGAGCACTAAGCAACTTTTTTTTTTTTGAGACAGAGTTTCACTCTTGTTGCCCAGGCTGGAGTGCAATGGCGCAATCTTGGCTCACTGCAACCTCCGTCTCCTGGGTTTAAGCTATTCTCCTGCCTCAGCCTGCTGAGTAGCTGGGATTACAGGCATGCGCCATCACGCCCAGCTAATTTTGTATTTTTAGTAGAGACGGGGTTTCTCCATGTTGGTCAGGCTGGTCTCAAACTCCTAGCCTCAGGTGATCCGCCTGCCTCAGCCTCCCAAAGTCCCAAAGTGCTGGGATTACAGGCGTGAACCACTACGCCTGGCCCTTCTTTTTTTTTTTTTTTTTTTTTTTTTTTTTTGAGACAGAGTCTCGCACTGTCGGCCAGGCCAGGCTGGAGTGCAATGGCATGATCTCGGCTCACTGCAACCTCCTACTCTCAGGTTCAAGTGATTCTCCCAAGTAGCTGGGACTACAGGCGTGTGCCACTATGCTGGGCTAATTTTTGTATTTTCTCTAGAGATGGGGTTTCACTATGTTGCTCAGGCTGGTCTTGAACTCCTGGGTTCAAGTAATCCGCCTGCCTCAGCCTCCCAAAGTGCTGGGATTACAAGTGTGAACCACCGCACCTGGCCATTCAGCAACAATTATAATGCAATCAGGACCACAGAACACCAATGTTTCAGTGTCTATAAAGGCATCCAGGTTACTACATGATTAACTTGGTTGCTGTTTAGGACTATGTCATTATTTCATCAAAACTGCTTACTATCTTACTATCTACTTAAAGGAATCAAAATGGGTAAGAGCATAGGCTCTGACAGCAGACAACAGCATTGTATCCACTCTGCCATTTATTAGTTCTGGACACTTGGGTCATATATTTTAACCTCAAATGTGCCTGTGCCTCAGTTTACTCTACTGTAAAATGGGCATAAGTATCTGTCCTATAAGGATGTTGTGAGATAAATACATGGTTAATACATAGTTAGCACAAAAGAAGCACTTAAATGTTACCCAGATGTAAAACAAAGAATCCACAAAGCAAAGTTCTCTTACCACCTTCCTTTGCTACAGTCTGCCATTATGCTGTTTTCTTGTTTAAACAGTATGTTATACCATGACTACACTCAACAGAATTCGATCAATGTTCCATTTCACTGACACTGCCTTAACAATCTGTATGTGCAGTTGTACCAAAGATAAATTTTACACACTGCTCAAAATTTTGTAATACGTTATAGCTGTGAAGAATTTATGATAAACCAGGAAGGATGTATAAAGAAAGGAGAGGCCTGAGGCAGAGAGATAATTAAAAATGTTGTTAAAAATAATTCAAGCATAAAAAAAGGTCCTGAGTGAAAATAATGGTAGATGGAATGTGGACAGGTTAGAGATATTATTAAGTGAAAAGTGTGTCTGTATATGCATAGAATTAGAAAAGATACAAGAGGAATTGGTAATATTGGCTACTTGTCAGGGAAACTGGGTGGGTGGAAGACAGGGGCAGGAGGCGACTTTTTACTTGTGCCCTGTCCCACCATTTTAATTTTTTTTTTTTTTTTGGTAGAGACCGGGATCTCACTATGTTGCCCAGGCTAGTCTCAAACTTCTGAGCTCAAGTGATCGTCCCGGCTTAGCCTCCCAAAGTATTGGGATTACACGTGTGACCCAACAAACAGAGCAAATTTTAATTTTAAGCCTGTTATTATAGTTCCTATATACCTACAATTTTTAAATTAATGGAAATGGCTTTCAGGGCAAGGGTCACCATGGCAGCCACCTTGGTTAGGCTTGGGCTCTTGTCTGTCAAGCAGGTTCAGGTTCAATTCTACCCCTTTGAGAAGTAGAGATGATGAGGACCTTCCTCTAGATGATGAGTAATGAGAAGGTCCACTCCACCAATCTCAACTGCTCAGCTATTGTGGACATGAGGTGGACATGCAGCATAATGACTTCGAGCCCTGTGTGGACATGCTGTTCAGAGATGCTGTGTGGTCATCGCCTCATTATGTGCTGCACCCATCTCACCACTCTGGAAATGCTCACTGTCTTTGCCTCCCACATTGAGGCCAGAGATGTGGCAAGGAGCCAAGAATGTGCTGGTACTGGACAATGACAGTGCCAAAAAGACCAACAAGCTGATGTTAGACTGGACTAGAACACTTATCTAAAAAGAGGTTTACTTAATCATTCAAATCACTATCTGGAGGGCCACAGAGTAAGGCCCTCTAAATGCTTGGCAAGACCAAGATATCATAATTAGGAAGCTTACTTATGGGGGTGGGAAGCTGAAAGTCCTGTGAACACAATGTTTCTGGGTCAAGGCAAGATTATGGGGGTGTCTGGATGAACCTGAATTTATTTTACTTTCTTATGTCAATCACTGCTTATCCCTTCCAGTATGACTTCTCCCAGTGCTCACTCGAGGTACCTCTTCACTCTTATTTACCAAATCCAGTTGGAAAGAATACTGTCAGAGTGAGTGCTGTTTTCTCCGTCCTAATCTTTCTATCTCAGTAGCATTTGCCACTCTTAATTCATTCATGCCTTGGAAACTTTTTCCCTCTTGGGTCCTTTTTCTTTAAAACACACACCTGGGTGTGTGTTTTAATCTGATCGCTAAAGGAGAGTACTTCTAGCTGGTGAAGGAAATACTTTCATTAGGGGCTTTGCAAGGCTCCAAGTATATATATACACCATCATTTTGGTAACCATAAGGCTTTGCAGTTTATGGGATCTATTAGGAAGATGCTCCCAGAGGGGTCAAATGTTCCCAGCAGTGGCATGGCAGAGCACCAATGATGGCAGATGCTCAGATAGAAGGAATGCACAGAGGCACCCAAACTGTGGACATACTCTTGAATACAAGAAACACCTAGAGACTAACAGAAATAATTGTAGGGGAAGGGGTGTTTTACAGGAGATGAAGGGGTGTGAACTGGAGAGATATGAGAATTAATGAAGTTGTGTTCTCTTTCATACCAATAGGCTGTGCATACACTGTGTGCTTGGCACTATGCTAGGCACTAGATAAAGAGACATGGTTTCAATTATCAAGGAACTCAGTCTTGTAATCAGGGCAAATGTAGGAAAGCAGACAATGAATAGAACCTCCCAGAACATTTTTGTGTTTCAATTTTTAAAGTAGAGATTTTTCATTAGAGTTTGAAATAGTTAATTAAATTTTCTTGGGCTGGTTTGATCCAATTCCTCCCTACTTCTCTATTTTAGATGGAAATTGAGGCCCACCCATAGAGGTTAAGTGAGGTTTCCAAAATCAGTGACAAGGTGGCTAGAAGCACGAAAGGGAAAGGCCATATCTAACACTCACAATCACTCTTTTCCATTACATCATAATACCTCTTTTTTTTTTTTTTTTTTTTTTTTTTGATGGAGTTTTGCTCTGTTGCCCAGGCTGGAGTGCAATGGCGCGATCTCGGCTCACTGCAACCTCCGCCTCCTGGGTTCAAGCTATTCTCCTGCCTCAGCCTCCTGAGTAGCTGGGATTACAGACATGCACCACCACACCTGGCTAATTTTGTATTTTTAATAGAGACAGGGTTTCACCGTGTTGGTCAGGCTGGTCTCTAACTCCTGACCTCAGATGATCTGACCGCCTTGGCCTCCCAAAGTACTGGGATTACGAGCGTGAGCCATCATGCCCAGCCCATAATACCTCATTTATAATCCACTAAATGGATGTCTCTACTCTGGTTTTTCATTCATACCTATATGGAAAAGAAAAGTATAGTGAAAAAAGCATGGCTACATAATCAGAAAAACCTGGGATCTGAATTTTCTGACAAATTTACACTACTTTGTTTAGCATTAAGCCTGGTCGTAATAAAACAGCTAAGTGTTCTGGAAGAAATTATGATAAATCAGTACTACTAACAAGACTGGACATGTGAGTTTGCACCTGCTTATTAGGCTTTATGCTCCTGTCCTAGGATTTCTTTTTCTTTTCTTTTTTCTTTTTTTTTTTTTTTGAGATGGAGTCTTGCTCTGTCACCCAGGCTGGAGTGCAGTGGCACAATCTCGGCTCACTGCAAACTCTGCCTCCCGGGTTCACACCATTCTCCTGCCTCAGCCTCCCGATTAGCTGGGACTACAGGCACCTGCCACCACGCCCGGCTAATTTTTTTGTATTTTTAGTAGAGACGGTGTTTCACTGCGTTAGCCAGGATCTCGATCTCCTGAGGTCAGGTCTCGATCTCCTGACCTCGTGATCCACCCGCCTCGGCCTCCCAAAGTGCTGGGATTACAGGCATGAACCACCGCGCCCGGGCTTTCTTTTCTTTTTTTTTTTTTTTGAGACGGAGTTTCGCTCCTGTTGCCCAGGCTGGAGTGCAATGGCGTGATCTCGGGTCACCGCAACCTCCGCCTCCCAGGTTCCAGCGATTCTCCTGCCTCAGCCTACTGAGTAGCTGGGATTACAGGCATGTGCCACTGCGCCCAGCTAATTTTTGTATTTTTAGTAGAGATGGGGTTTCTCCATGTTGGTCAGGCTGGTCTCAAACTCCCGACCTCAGATGATGCACCTGCCTCGGCCTCCCAGAGTGTTGGGGTCACAGGCGTGAGCCACTGGGCCCGGCCTGTCCTAGGATGTCTTAACAGATTATATGAATACCTCTCAGCAAAACTAACTGAAAAGTGAAGATGGAAGAATGACAGTTTTAATATTAATTGATGACTTGTTAGAAAACAGCCACACCAAACAATCTTTAGGGCTTGCTTTATCCTACAATGGTAACTAGTAAATTAAGGAGGTAATACATAATCAAGGATCCAGTTTAAAAGCATAAATATTTGGCAGGTGCAGTGACTCACGCCTGCAATCTCGGCACTTTGGGAGGCCAAGGCAGGCGGATCACGAGGTCAGGAGTTTGAGACTAGCCTGACCAACATATTGAAACCCTGTCTCTACTAAAAATACAAAAAATTAGCCGGGTGTGGTGGCAGGTGCCTGTAATCCCAGCTACTTGGGATGCTGAGGCAGGAGAATCACTTGAACTCAGGAGGTGGAGGTTGCAGTGAGCCGAGATCGTACCACTGCACTCCAGCCCGCTGGGAGACAGTGCAAGACTTCGTTTCAAAAAAAAAAAAAAAAAGTATAAAATATTTTTCATGTGCTCTAACAAAGCCCTCATATTTCATCTATTTACAACATTTTCTACTGCTCTACTAAATAATTTTGATAAACTTGTTTCTCAAAAATGCCTTAACACCACTACCATTGTCTAAACTGAAAGCATGTAGTTTTTCTTAATACTGAAAACTTTATCTTATTACTGAAAGCATTGTCTAAACTGAAAGCATGACTTCTCAATTACCATACTTTTGAAATTGTACACAAATATTCCACTAGTTAGGCTGAAGGGAAAAAATATGCTAGTCACACTTTTTTCCAGCCCCCCAAAATTCTCTTTGCTTTTATGTTTTACAAATGTTGAATGAAATAAAGGAAATAGACAATGAAAAGAACCCAAAGAAGTAATTCATCTCATATTTCAGGATTCCTAATTATAGTATCTTGGTCTTGCTAAGCATGTAACTAAAGAGCTCAAGTTCATTCTCAGAAACTGTGAACTCAAAGCTACAACTAAAAGATTTATTTCTAAAAGTTATTACACTTTCAACTTCCTGTTTTATTTAGACAGCTCATCATGACCATTTCAGGTAACAAAACCCAACTTCCTCTTTATAAAGTGATTAAAAAAACTTCAGCAGTTATGAGAATAGATGATATTACTAGCTTTTACATAAATATTTACAAGGAAACTAAGAGTCCATTATCACCAAATTTTCTAAAGGTTCACTGCCTTTAGAAAATGTAACAAAGATAAAAAACAATATTAAAATATACTTGGCAACAAAAAAAGTATGCTAGAAGAGGAAACTGGTCACAGATCTGCTATTAAAAAAAACAATACTGGCTGGGCTCGGTGGCTCACGCCTGTAATCCCAGCACTTTGGGAGGCCAAGGCGGGCAGATCATGAGGTCAGGAGTTCGAGACCAGCCTGGCCAACATAGTGAAACCCCGTCTCTACTAAAAATACAAAAAATTAGCCAGGCTTGGTGGCGGGCGCCTGTAATCCTAGCTACTCGAGAGGCTGAGGCAGGAGAATCGCTTGAACCAGAGAGGCAGAGGTTGCAGCGAGCGGAGATCGCACCACTGCACACCACCCCGGGTGACAGAGCGAGACTCCATCTCAAAAAAAAAAAAAAAAAACCATAACCCAAGACATTAATGTTATTAATTAAAACACTGCCAGTATCTAAAGGCATCTTAATTGGCATTTTAAAATATATATTTTCCCAAGTTTAATTAAAGGCATTCTAACCTGGTATCAAAGACAAAAATCCAACAACACTGGTCAATGTGTATCAGGTAGGCACAATAAACTTAAAAGTTTATTATTTAAATTATTTGTGAAATTTTGGCCGGCCGCGGTGGCTTACGCCTGTAATCCCAGCACTTTAAGTGGCGAAGACGGATGGATCGTTTGAGCCCAAGAGTTTGAGACCGGCCTGGGCAACAAGACGAAACCCACTCTCTACAAGAAATACAAAAATTAGCTGGACTTGGTGGCGGGTGCCTGTAATCCCAGCTACTCGGGAAGCTGAGGCAGGAGAATAATTTGAACCAGGGAGGCGGAAGTTGCAGTGAGCCGAGCGAGACTCCGTCTCAAAAAAAAAAAAAAATTGTTTAGTTGTATTGTAACAGGATTTTTGCTTAATTTTATTTGAATAGTAACTATTTGCCTTAGAACAATTTATTATAGATCGATTTCCAGCATAGGCTTATACATAAATGTTTTTGTCCTAAATCTTAAACATGTATGAAGATCAGTTTCCAAATAAGAGAAAATCTAACGCTGTTGTCAATGGCTTGTTAAACATTTCAAAATGGCATGCCATATCTACATATATCAAGTTATTCCGTACAGAGGACTTATGGATCATAACAGTCCCCTTCCCATCCCAACTTCTTATTGAAAAAAACACCCAGGTAGATTTACAGAGCACTCAAGGGGACACATTTTCTAATAGCCACAGTGGGAGACAAATGTCATAATTCTTGTCCAATAAGTTGCCTTGTGAGGTCATTCTAAGTTCTACGTGCCCTAAAACCATGTACTTACTGAAAAGCCTGACAAACTGTTATGAAACTGTGCAACTGTCAGAAGAAAAGTTATTCCACCTTAGAATGTGCTCTTGTATTTAAGACCCTTTTCAAGAAATGAGCATACAAAATGCACACTGACAAATTCAACTGATCAAAGACTCCACAGTGGAGCATCAAAGAAGGCAGGATGCTTTGTTCAGTCTTGAACGTGTTAACATAAGGTTTATTATGTGTTACAGAAAACCTTTCTGGAGGTTAAGAAAATCCATCAGCTATTCTAGATTTGTTAACAAGAAACAAAATTTTCAAAAATTATCGTTAAAAGGGATGTGTCTATAGGGAAAGACTGGTGTTCAAATTCTGAAGCAAATGCCCTGAGGCTCACAGATTTATTATAGCGAATCAGACAGGCGACAGTACAGGAGAAAAGTAGTGCATGTGTAGGGAGATGGACAACATTTGGGACCTCTCCTTGTCGAAGAGTCGTGACAGCAAAATCACTTCCTGAGGAAGGAGGAGCAAAAGGGAAGTTAAGAGGCCATCCTGACCAGGAAGTGACTCGCCCTAAACTAACCCCAATTATATCTACAAATGGGGGGATGGGGTGAGCCCCAACTGCTAAAGGCGGTAAAATAACTGCTTTTTGATATGTCGCAACATAACCACCACCCTCTCGCAAAATTACAGAAAAAAGTCCACAGTCACGATCCAATAAAGGAAACGTCTGTTCCCTTGCAGGGAGGCCCCTGGGCTGTGCCTCAGGCCTGAGAGAAAAGGAGAGTCGAGGAACGAGGAACTGGGGCCACCGTGAGGCAGAGGAAAGCCCCCTAAGAGGGAAGCGTCCCGACTGCGGAGAGCGTATGTCAGCATGGACCAAGAAGCTTCTTTTTCCTGGGGACACTGCTAGGCTCCCAACGCAGCCGGGCCGGGCCCCAGTTCCCTGTCGGGGGAGGAGGTAAGAGAGAGAGGCGGACCCCTTACCTTCTCCTCATCCGACACACGATCATCGAAGTCGGCCATCTTGGGCTGTTCTGGCCCAGCCCGGCTACGGGCGCGAGGCAGGCCGGGAAGAAAGCCGAGTGATGGAATCACCGCGGCGGCCGTCGGAAGGACCCGCCCGGAAACGCCGACCAAGAGGGCCCCATGTCAGTTATGCGCGGGAGTGACGTCTCCTAACGCCAGCGCCCGCGCCCGCGCCCCAGGAAGTAGGGTTTGCCTTAGGTGATTTGAAGTCTAATATCTTTCCCAATGAGTTACACTCATTTCCCATCCATCTAATGGGCGCTGGCAGCGTGTTTCGATTATTCTTGGCTTCTGGCCTCCATCCGACCAAATAGCTGTTGCTACTCCTACAAGTTTTTCTGGTGCCCGTTATCTCCACGACAGCCGAATCCAAAGCTTTAAGAGCTGCTCGGCAGCTGGAACGATCGGTGGCTTTTCCAACCCCGGGGGGGGGGCGGTGTGAAAGGTGACCCTCATTTCGTTTGGAAGCGGTAACACTTCGGGGTCACATCTCAGTCCAGTTCCTCCAGAATAGGCGCTGCTGTCCGCCCCTTCCCTGCCCCACGAAAGAACAGGTAGCCCCAATCTTGAGACACGCTCCTCCACCTTCGAAATCTTCTCGGTCCCGGTTCCCCAGGACTCAGCCTTCACAGAGGCCAACTTCAGGTCCGCCACTATCCCAGGATTCCCGACTCCCGGTTTCCTGTCCTTCTCCCCTCCCAGCTCCTGGCGCCTGCGATAGCGGCAAGATGGCGGACCGTGGCGGCGTGGGTGAAGCCGCAGCTGTTGGAGCGTCTCCTGCATCTGTCCCTGGCCTAAACCCGACGCTAGGCTGGAGGGAGCGACTGCGGGCCGGGCTGGCGGGGACTGGGGCCTCGTTGTGGTTCGTGGCGGGGCTGGGGCTGCTTTACGCCCTGAGGATCCCTTTGAGGCTGTGTGAGAATTTGGCAGCGGGTGAGAGGACCAGACCTCCTGGGGCAGGGCGGGGGGCCAGGAGAGATGTCGGGGGCAAGAGCCAAAGGGCAAGAGATTCTCGGTAGTCCTAGAGGGCCTCTGAGGAGTCGATGATGAGCGATCAAGTGAGTTCTTTTTCTTTTGGGCTGCAACCTTGCAGTTGATTGACAAGCCTGCTGCCGTTACCGGCTCCTCCGTAGAACTCTTAAGGTCCGCCCTCTCTCTTATGTCCTCGTTTTTCCATGGAAAAGCCACCTGACAAGCTATAAGCTTCAGGTATTAGGACAGAAGAGTGTCTCAGATTAGGATACGTAATTTATATTGGCTCCCCCACCTCTGGTAGGATCCCTTAAAAGTCACTACTTTGAGTCTCCCGCTGCCCAGCTGAAAGAACTCATATCCAGGCAACAAAGATGAGCACATCTGTAATTTAAAGATTTCAGAGAAAGAAAATGGCATGATTTTAATTGAGGATTCTCTTGTTTTAAAATAGTTCTGTTAAGAAATCGTTTTCGTGATAGTTTTGTCTGTTCTTTTAGGCTTATCTTGAGTAATAAAATAGTACAGGAAGTGAGAGCGCCACAAACAACAGTGGGTTTGCTAGTTCTTTCGACGTCTGTAGAACACTTGCTACGTATTCTGTGCTGACAATACGAACACATGTAAGAAGTGATGATCCTGATGGATTCTCATATACTGTACTATTCTTTAGCTGTAGACAGGATGAAGTGTTTAGGGCCCAGGTCCCCTTACCATGTGATTATATTTCACTCAAGATCTGAGCAGCAACCTCAGAACAAGATATAAGTATTTCCATTACATGATTCAGTATGGTGGTTGATTTTTCTGAAGCAAAAGGCAGCAAATGTCCCCTTTCCTGTTCAGAGATGACATGAAAGACTGTGAGTTAATGTTCGGAAATATTTTGGTTTTTTTGGAGGATAGGTATCAAGTTCAAATATAACTAGCACTCTAAAATAAGCTAAACTGAAGAGCTAATTTGGCATCTCTGTAACAGGTGAATGAAGTGCTTAACGGTGGTTTCTATGCACAGTGTTACTGATTGACTTGTCATTTATTTTTCTACGTTAACCATATGCAACATTTAGATGAGAATAGTTGATTACTATAGATTTTTCTTTTTTACGTTTCGTGTGTGTGTGTGTGTGTGTGTGTGTGTGTGTGTGTGTGAGAGAGAGAAAGACAGACAGAGTCTCCCTTTGTCACCCAGGCTGAAGTGTAGTGGCAAGATCACTGCAGCCTTGAACTCTTCTGCTTAAGCGATCCTCTGGCCTCAGCCTCCCAAGTAGCTGGGACTGCAGGCGTGCACCACCACGACTGGCTGAGTTTTAAATTTTGCGTAGAGACTGGGTCTATTTTATTTGCCCAGGCTGGTCTTGAACTTCTGGCTACCAGTGATCCTCCTGCCTTGGCCTCCCAAAACTCTGAGATTATGGGAGTGAGCCATCCTACCTGGCCAGATTTTTATTTTCTTTCTAAAACCCACAGTACTTATGAGATAATTATTTGAAGTGAAAAATCTGCTCCAGGATTTCAGTAACTCAGGGAGATTTCTGTTTGTTGCTTTTCTCTTTGAGCCATTTTGCCTCTCTAGCTGATATACCAAATACATATGCTGTTTCCTTCCCTCTAATTTGAGACAGTGGTTTTGTATCCTACCAAAATAAATATGGAGTAGTTTTGAACCTCCTTTGTAAAAGCATATTTATCTTTTTATTCTTACAGACTTGCAAAAGTTCTATCTAAATTATGACTTATAAGTGCTTTAGTTTTATTCTCCAAAGCAAGCTGAATTACCTCATTTTGATTTGTTGCAAATAGTGATAAGCCATTATGTATAATATATATACAAATTAAAACTTTTTCAAGTGAATTTCACACTAGATATTAATACTACTTAAGTCCCACCACTCATAAAGATACTTGCATATTTGTAACCTAAGTACTTTAAATTTGCATTTTTTAAAACTTTGATTCTTGTTCTTTTGACAGTGACTGTATTTTTAAATTCATTGACACCCAAATTCTATGTGGCACTTACAGGGACCTCTTCATTGATATCAGGACTAATATTTGTAAGTAGTTTCCATTTCCTTCCTTCATGTTTTGGTGTTTATCTAAAGATATTTTTTTTTTTTCTTTTTTGAGACAGAGTCTTGCTCTGTCGCCCAGGCTGGAGTGCAGTGGCATGATCTCGGCTCACTGCAACTTCCGCCTTCCAGGTTCCAGCAATTCTTCTGTCTCAGCCTCCCGAGTAGCTGGGATTACAGGTGCCGGCCACCATGCCCGGATAATTTTTGTATTTTTAGTAGAGATGGCATTTCACCATATTGGTCAGGCTGGTCTCCAACTCCTGACCTCAGGTGATCCGCCTGCCTTGTCCTCCCAAAGTGCTGGGATTACAGGCGTGAGGCACCGCCCTGGCCTAAAGATCCTTTATATGGTTATAATAATTATAAATTATTATTACCTATGGATTAGCATTTCCAAAATGTATTCAGCATTTGAAAAGAGTTACCTATTCAAACAAGTTTGGGGAACACTGCATCTCCCAATCTACTTTTAAGAGATTGACAGTATTTATTTACATATTAAAGGCTTATTGTAAACTGTAGTCAGGGAGGGCTTGGGGTGTGTTGGAAATTAAATGCCTGCAGAGCCCAAGTTGGTAACAAAAATGAGTGAAATGGATAGAGTTTAATAATTAAATTCTTATTTCTTTGAGGACTGGGTAGCCTGGACAGTGCATGCCCCTTCTAAAAGAGGCTAAAGCTAATTGTTGCCATATAGACTTGGAACTAGTATTACCAGGTTTTTCAATTTTTCAAATGATTTAAAGAGAACCCAGACAGGCCGGACGTGGTGGCTAACACCTATAATCCCAGCACTTTGGGAGCCTGAAGCAGGCAGATCACTTGAGGCCAGGAGTTCAAGAACAGCCTGGCCAACATGATGAAACTCCGTCTACTAAAATACAAAAAATAACTGGGTATGGTGGTATGTGCCTGTAGTCCCAGCTACTCGGAAGGCTGAGGCATAAGAATCTCTTGAACTTGGGAGGTGGAGGTTACAGTGAACCAAGATCTTGCCACTGCACTCCAGCCTGGGCGACAGAGAGAAACCCTTTCTCAAAAATGAATGAATAAATAAGTAGAACCTGGACATACAGTTTTTATATAAAATTTGCCCATTAAAAAAAAATTGAGATGGAGTCTCACTACGTTGCCCAGGCCAGAGTACAGTCGATATTCACAGGCACCATTATAGCACACTGTGGCCTTAACTCCTGGGCTCAAGCCATCCTCCCGTCTCAGCCTCCCTAGTAGCTGGGATTACAGGCATGTGCCACCATGTCTGACTACAGCATTTTAATATTGGCAACATTGGGAAGACTAAAATTTATGTGTCATGAATTCAACTTACAGTTTTTTCAAGCCCCAGTTTCCTCATCTGTTAACTGGCAGTTAATAGCATGAACTTTATAGGATTATGAAGAGTAAATCAGATAATGTTGTAAGTTTATAACATGATAGCTGGTTCAGAATGTACACTTAATGAATTTTGGCCATTATTCTGAGAATTCTCACAATTAAGAAACCTGTTTGGCCTGATACAGTGGTTCATACCTGTAATCCTAGCACTTTGGGAGACCGAGGTGGGGTGATAGAGTTCGAGACCAGCCTGGGAAACATGGAAAAACCCTGTCTCTTCAAAAAAATACAAAAATTAGGCGTGTGTGGCGCACCTATAGTCCCAGCTACTGGAGAGGCCAAGGTGGGAGGATCACTTGAACCCTGGAGGGAGAGGTTACAGTGAGCCAAGATGGTGCCACTGCACTCTAACCTGAGTGACAGAGCAAGACTCTGTTTCAAAAAACAAAAACAACAAAACTGTTTAACTTTAATTCAACTTTTCCTTGAAGAAGATATTTTTAATTTAAAAAAAATAAAATATTTTTTATAATTCACGTTAACATCCCTAGGATGTCATGTTTACTAGTGTACACTTTGGAACAATACTGCTGCAGATAAAAATCTTAAGAAGTTTTATGCCATGCATAGCCAATAAATTTTTCTCTTCCCTTTAAATTTTTATTTATTTTTTGTAGAGACAGAGTCTCACTGTGTTGTTCAGGGTAGTCTCAGACGCTTGGGCATAAACGATCCATTCTCCTCGGCCTCCCAAAGTGCTAAGGTTCCAGGCGTGAACCACCATGCCCAGCCTGTTCTTTTTTTTATCTCTAGGTGGTGCTCTCCAGCTGTAGTAGAAATAGCATTTGTATTGGATCTATTTTTTTAAATAGGGACTAAATACAGACCATTTTGTTAAAGTGAAATGCCAAACAAGAACGAGATTTTTCTCTTGGCTAAAAAAAATAGAAGCTATTGAGGAATTCAGGATTAAAACTACATGTTAATATAAGCCTCATAATTTAACATAAGCATATTTTAGCATGTTTAGTCCATAGCATACAAAAGTCTAAGTAAAGACGATAAACTGTCTTTAAGCCAGGCACGGTGGCTTACACCTGTAATCCCAACACTTTGGGAGGATGGAGTGGGAGAATCCCTTAATGCCAGAAGTTTGAGACCAGCCTGGGCAACAACAAGACCCTGTCTCTATTTAATATGGTTTTTGTTTGTTTGTTTTAAAGAAACTATCAATATTAAGCAGCTGATATAGTGGAAAAAGCTCTGGTTTGGGAACCAGAAGATAAAATTTTGAATCTTAACTCTGCCACTTACTAGCTGATAATTTTGGGCAAGCTACATAAACTGTCTAAGCTATAATTTCCTCATTTATAAGAGGGGGATAACTTATATATATGATGTCTAAAACCTTGTAAAAAACTTTTTGTGGCCAGGTGTGGTGTCTCGTGTCTGTACTGCCAACACTGTGGGAGGCTGAGGCAGGAGGATTGCTTGTGGCCAGGAGTTCAAGAGCAGCCTGGACAAATGAACAAGATCTGGTCTCTGTATAAAATTTTAAAAATTTAGCGCGTTGTGGTGGCGCATTCCTGTAGTCCCAGCTACTTCAGAGACTGAGGTGGGAGGATTGCTTGAGCCCAGGAAATCGTGGCTGTGGTGAGCTGTGATCATGCTACTGCACTCCAGCCCGGGCAACAGAGTGGACCTTGTCTCAACAACAAAACAACAACAACAAAAACCCAAAAAAACCTTTTGTTACTCTTTATAAAACCGCATTTTAAATATACACAAATTAGGAAATTCAAGTAACATTTTAAAGGTTAAACTGTATTATTACCCTTGCAATGTTGATGGGTTTTTATTAGCAAAGGTTGTTGTGTTTATAATTTCTTTTACCACCTGGATTTAACAAACTTGTATATACATATAATCACATATACATGTATAAAGAGATATATTTATGAATCAGTCTGGTGTAATGGTTGGAAGCTCCGAAGTCAGGCAAACCTGAATAAGAATCCCAGCTCTGCCAGTTACCAGTGATGTGAACTGTTATTTAAATTTGGAATGTGTGTCCTCATCTCTAAAATCAGTTGTTATAAAAATTAAATGACATAATGCATGTCAAGGATTGGCATAATGTGTGGCTCATAGAAAGCTTTTGATAAGTATTTGCAGTTATTATTACCATTGTTCATTTGTGTTAAAAAGTTGACTCAAAAGTTGAAAAAAGCCCCTAACTTCATACTCATTCATTAGAAAACCCACCTGCACTTTGTATGGTGAAGGGAAGTGTGTTGTTGTTGCCCTTGATGGTACTTATCTTCTCTTTTTTTTTTTCGAAACAGTGTTTTACTCTGTCACCCAGGCTGGAGTGAAGTGGTACAATCACAGCTCACAGCAGCCTTGACCTGCTGAACTCAAGCAATCCTCCCACCTCAGCCTCCAAAGTAGCTGGGACTACAGGCACACACCCTCACACCTGGCTCATTTTTTTTATGTTTTGTAGAGATGGGGTCTCACTATGTTGTCCAGGTTAATCTCAAATTCCCAGCCTCAAGTGATCCTCCCACCTCAGCCTCCCAAAGTGTTGGGATTATAGGCATGAGCCACCGTGCCTGGCCCTATCCAATTTTCTTAGCCAAGATTTATTCAATATAAACCTTTTCTGTCACATGAACAGTTTCTGCTTGTGTAAAGAAGTTTTATCTCACTTCTTAGTAAAATATATGGTAGAAGTCAAACCATGGCCTCATTTGGTGGTAATTCTTGCTAACTTAAGAGTGAGCAGAAAGAGATACCATTTTAGACTGAGCATAAAACATTAGTGACATGATAGAAAAAATGCTGCACCATGATTTTCTCACACTTTCCTATAAACGTTGTGGCATGTAGTCAGCGGGCCCCAACATGACTATACTTTTGGCACCTATGTAGCATATTTGTTCTGTTATTTACTGAAGCAAAAAAATAACATTCCTACAGATTTGAAAATGCTGATTTTTTTGTGATGGGTTCTGTTTGTGGTCATAGTAAAATAGTTTTCAAAAATATTATAATCTGGCCGGTCATGGTAGCTTACACCCATAATCCTAGCACTTTGTGAGGCCAAGGAGGGCAGAGCGCTTAAGCCCAGGAATTTGAGACCAGCCTGGGCAACATGGCAAAACCTTGTCCCTACAAAAAACATAAAAATTAGCTGGGCATGGTGGCACATGCCTGTAGTCCTAGCTACACGGGAGGCTGAGGTGGGATGATCACCTGAGCCCAGGGAGGTCAAGGTTTCAGTGAGCTGTGATCATGCCACTGTACTCCAGCCTGGTGACAGTGGGATCCTATCTCAAAACATTTTAAAAAAAGGAAATAAAAAGATTAAAATCTCTTAGTTGTGCATATGCTTTGTTTATTCTTTAAAGTAATACATGTATCCACTACATTTGGCAGAAGACTAGTCTGTCAGGTGACTTTTTTTTTTTTTTTTTTTTTTTTTGAGACAGGGTCTCACTCTATTGCCCAGGCTGGAGGGCAGTGGTGCAATCTCAGCTCACTGCAGCCTTGACCTCCTTGGGCTCAAGAGATCCTCCCACTTCAACTTCCTGAGTAGCTGGAACTGCAGGCATGCACCACCTCACCCAGCTAATATTTTATTTTTATATTTTTCTGTAGAGATGAGGTCTCACTGTTTTGTCCAGGCTGGTCTAGAATTCTTGGGCTCAAGCGATTCTTCTTGAGGATCCCTCTTTTGGGACTTCTTGGCCTCCCAAAGTGCTGGAATTACAGACGTGAACCACCGTGTCTGGCCTGGTTTCTCTTTTTATATCAGTGATAAACCATGGAAATAGAAAGAAATGAATATCCTGATTTTTAAATGGTTCAATATGGGAATCAACTTGACCTTAACCTTTATTAATAATTTTGCCAAATACCAGAGTAGTACTTTTTGCTTCAGAAAGCACTTTCTTATAATTCTTGTTAACCACATTTAGCTGAGGCTCTGAGATATTAAGAGATTAAGTGACTTGCCCACAGCACACAGCTAATAAATGACTGATTTGGGAGTTAAAACATGGGCATGCTGATGCTAGTCTAGTCTGTTCATCCACTATGCTTATTATTTGAAAACTGTTTATGCTGCAGATAGAATAAAATGACAATGTAACTTAACAGAGTTAAATTACTTATAGATTAAAATGCTTCTTTCTGTTTTTAATGCTTTATTACATATGCCTAGTTTTGCTTAAGCTTGTCTAAATTTTATGACGGAACTATAAAAAATGTATTTCACTTTTACGTGACATGTTATTGGTGAATCTTGTGTTTGTATGTTTTTTTCTTTTTGAAAGGAGAGTGCATTTAAAATGCTGAATTGAACAGGACATCTTGAGAGAATGTTTTAATTTGAGCTCATGTATCTGCTGATCGATTCTAAGTGCAGGATATTTTCTGTTTGTCATAGATATTTGAATGGTGGTACTTCCATAAGCATGGCACATCTTTTATTGAGCAAGTATCTGTAAGCCATTTGCAACCACTGATGGGAGGAACAGAGAGCAGCATTTCAGAACCAGGTTCTCCTTCGAGGAACAGAGAAAATGAAACCAGCAGACAGAATTTGTCAGGTGACTACTTTTCTAATGTGTTTTCAGAGCTGTGTATTTAAGATTGAGTTTGGCTCTGGGAGATAGAAAACTCAAAACAGCAGAGTGCTGTGGTGTGCATGTTTGTGTTTCCCCCAAAATTCTAATCACCAATGTGATGTTACGAGGTAGGGTCTTTGGGAGGTGATCAGGTCATGAGGGCAGTGCCCTCAGGGATGTGATGAATGCCCTTATGAGAGACCCCAGAGAGCTGCTTGCCACTTCTACCGTGGGAGGACACCACGAGAAGGCGCCGTCTGTGAACCAGAAAGCAGACCCTCACCAGACACCAAATTTGTTGGTACCTTGGTCATAGACTTCCCAGCCTCCAGAACTGTTAAAAATAAATTTATACTGTTTATAATCTACGCAGTTTGTGATATTTTGTTATAGCAGTCCAAATGGACCAAGACACAGAAATTTGTCTTTCATGTTAATATAGTTAGTCCATGGCTAGTATGGAAAACAATAATCATCAGATACCCAGACCCCTTCTATTTTGTTAGCCTGCCATCTCCAAATGTAGTTTTTACTTTGTCGTGTAAGACTGTTGCTCTTGCTTCAGCCATCATATCCACATTCCAATCAGTAGGAAGGAAAGAAATCCGGGGTAAGGTCACTACTTCCCTCTACTCCACCCCACAGAAGCCAAGGACTATTCTCAGAAATGTTACATACTATTTCACCTTACTTCCTACTGGTCAGGTCTGTTTCATATGGCCATTACTAGCTATAAGGAAGGCTAGAAATTTTCATCATTTTCTCAGTGTATATATATATATACGCCCAGCAAATCAGGGAATCTTATGACTAATAAAGGAGAGAACAGAAACAGCCATCTCTGCCAAGAGAGAAAAGTAGGAAAAAAAATTTTTTTCAGTATACTTAAAAAGGCATCAAAGTCTCAGCTCTTCATGGATGGATATTCCATTGTCATACTTTTATTGTAGACTGTTCCTCTATTTGTGTCGAGTAATCGCAAATTTATTTATTTATTTAGTTAGAGACAGAATCTTGTCTGTTGCCAGGCTGGAGTGCAGTGGTGCGATCTCGGCTCACTGCAACCTCTCCTTCCAAGTTCAAATGATTCTCCTGCCTCAGCCTCCCGAGTAGCTGGGACTACAGGCATGCACCACCATGCCTGGCTAATATTTTGTATTTTTAGTAGAGATGGGGTTTCACCATATTGGCCAGGATGGTCTCAATCTCTTGACCTCATGATCTGCCCACCTTGGCCTCCTAAAGTTCTGGGATTACAGGCGTGAGCCACCATACCCAGCATTTTTTTTTTTTTTTGAGACGAAGTCTCTGTAGCCCAGGCTAGAGTGCAGTGGTGCAATCTCAGCTCACTGCGACCTCTGCCTCCTGGGTTCAAGTGATTCTCCTTCCTCAGCCTCCCAAGTAGCTGAAATAACAGGCATGTACCACTGCACCCAGCTAATTTTTGTATTTTTAGTAGAGATGGGTTTCACCATGTTGGCCAGGCTGGTCTTGAACTCCCGACCTCAGGTGATCTGTCTGCCTCGGCTTCCCAAAGTGCTAGGATTACAGGCGTGAGCCACTGAGCCTGGCCAGCTAGAAAGCAAATATTTTTAATGATACATAATTAGGAAAGGAAAATTTACAAAGCCAAATACAATTATTATTATTATTATTTTAATAGAGATGAGGTCTCAGTATGTTGCCCAGGCTGGTCTCGAACTCCTGGGCTCAAGTGATCCTCCCACCTCAGTCTCCCAAAATGTTGGAATTACAGGTGTGAGCCATCGCTCCTGGGCCAAAATGAATATTTTGGATTATTGTTCCTTTCACTGGGATAGGTAATAACCATATAGTAATAATACAAATGAGTTAATTCCATAATATTCCAAATGCCTCATTTGTTCAATAGCTTACCACTAGAGTTATGATAGTTTAGTAGAAAAATACTGCCTGAGTGCAACTGGTGGCACTTTTTAGATTTGGTCAAAGTCCCTGAGGAAGCACCATTTAAGTGGAGTCCTGAAGCCTGACTAGGAATAGTGGGGTGGGGTTGGCAGCCATTCAAGAGTACAAGAAGGAATAATGGTCATTTCCTTTCCTCTTCTTTCTTTTTCATAAAATAATTACAGAACCCCTAAGAGTAAGGCATATTAAGATGAATACGATACAGATCTGTCCTCATGAAGCTCAGCGTTCAATATATAAATAATTATAACAATAGCACATGATGTGATTTTATTTTCCATTGTAAGACTGAATATGCCATTAATAATGAGAGTGAAGATAACCTTAAGAACATTTCATCTTGGCAGAGGATACAGATATAAATAAATTGACAGTAAAAGAGTATGGTTAACTGCTTTTATAGAGTATCTTATATATGATACTCTATAAAGATACATGGTGTCTTATATAAGATACTATGGTGACAGAAAAGAAAGAGTGGTCAGTTATTCTTGGAGGGAGGGCCGCAAAATATATCACAGAGGAAATACTTGAATTGGATCTCAAATTGAGTTAAAAGCTGGGCACAGTGGCCCAAACCTATAATTCTAGTGCTTTAGGAGGCTGAGGTAAGGGGATCACTTGAGACAAGGAGTTTGAGACCAGCCTGGGCAACATAGCAAGACCCCCATCTCTACAAAAAATAAAATCAGTTGGGCACAGTAATACGCACCTGTAGTTCCAGCTACTTGGGAGGCTGAGGCAGGAGGATCACTTGAGCCCAGGAGTTTGAGGCTGCAGTGAGCTATGACTGTGCCACTGCACTCCAGCCTGGGTGACAGAGCAAGACCCTCTCTCCAAGGGGGAAAAAAAAATTTTTTAAGTGAATTAAAGCATGCTTTTGTTCAATTTTTTTCTCCCTGGATAACTTCATCTTATTCAATAATATTAGCTACCACAGACATATATGCTGGGGGGAACCAATTTAAAATTTTTACCCCCAAGTTCTCTTTTAAACTCTAGACCTACATTTCTAACTCTTTGCTAGAATTTTCCACCTTTAATGGCCCTAACCACCCTGAACTCCATCCAAAATGAAACTAATTATCTTCTTCCATAGTTCTTCCTCTATAATTCTAAAATCTTCTAATGGCGTCCAATTCCATTTTAGCAATCTTTGGGTTTTTTTTTTAGTTTATATCATTTATATTTCCCCTGTTTTCTCCAATCAACCCCAAATTGTATTCCCCCTTAAAAATCATCGTGACTCCATTCTGCCTTCTTTTTTATTTTTCTTAGATGGAATTTCACTCTTGTTGCCCAGGCTGGAGTGCAATGTCGCGATCTTGGCTCACTGCAACCTCCACCTCCCGGGTTCAAGCGATTCTCCTGCCCCAGCCTCCCGAGTAGCTGGGATTACAAGCACCTGCCACCATGCCAGAGTAATTTTTGTATTTTTAGTAGAGATGGGTTTTCGCCATGTTGGCCAGACTGGTCTCAAACCCCTGACCTCAGATGATTCATCCACCTCGGCCTCCCAAAGTGCTGGGATTACAGGCATGAGCCACCAGGCCTGGCCCATTCTGTCTTCTTTTCTTTCAACATTCATAGCCCCATATCTAGGCCCTTAAACATCTCTTCCCTTGGCTATTGCTATAGTATCCTAAGTGGTTTCCCTTCCTCTTACACTTCCCCTTCTAGTACATACTCTCTCCTTACTAGGTAAAAAAAAAAGTGGTTCTCAAACTTTTTAGACTAAGAAATCCTTTACATTCTTAAAAAATTATCCAGGACCTCAAAGAGCCTTTGTTTAAATGTGGACTATATCCATCAATATTTATCATATTAGAAATTAAAGCAGGAAATTTAAAAATATTTTAATAGTAGTAAATCCATTACGTGTTAACATGTTGTAGACTGAAATGTGTCCCCCAAAATTCACATGTTGAAACTCTAACCTCTAATGTAACTGTATTAGGAGCTAGGGTTTTTAGGAGATAATCAAGGTTAAATGAGGGGATCCTAATCTGATAGTATTGATGGCTTTGTAAGAAGAAGAGAGGGATTGCTGTCTCTCTGCCATGCAAAGACACAGTGAGAAGACTGCTCTCTGAAGGCCAGGAGGAGAGCCCTCACCAGAGCCCAACCATTCTAGTACCTTGATCTTGGACTTCCAACCTTCAGATTGTGAGAAAATAAATTTCTGTTGTTAAGCCACTCAGCATATGATACTTTGTTATGGCAACCTGAGCTGACTAACTCAGATTTTGTTACGAAGAAGTGGGGTGCCACTGTAACAAACACCTAAATATGTGGAAACAGCTTTGGAGCTGGGTAATGAGTTGAGGCTGGAAGAGTTTTGAGGTACACACTTGAAATATGGATAAGGACAGTTTGGTGAGGTCTCAAGTGGAAATGAGGAATATGTGGTTGGTAACTGGAGGAAAGGTGGTCCTTGTATAAAGTGGAAAAGAACTGGCTGAACTGTATTCTAGCATTTTGGGGAGAGTAGAACTTGAGAGCAATGACATTGGATATTTAGCTGAGGAGATTTCTAAGCAAAGTGGCACCACTTAGTTTCTTCTGACTGCTTATAGTGAAATGTGAAAGGAAAGAGATGAATAGGAGAAGCCCTTGTTAAGCAAAAAGGAACCACAACTTGAAGATTTGGAAATTCTCAGCCTATCCATTTTATAAAATACATGAGAAAACTTGCTCTGAAGACAATAGTAGGGATGTGGTTGAACAACTATTTGATATCACGTGTGCACTTCATGGACTTAGTCATCTTAGTAGAAGCCAGGAACAGAATTGAGTTTACACGAGCAAACACACTACCAGTTTGAACTAAAAGGGACAGGGAAGGTGGGACAGAATGAAGGAAGGCTGTTAGACTTTTTGGATTCTACAGGACCAGACCATAGAGCTGTTCAATTGTCAACATGTATTGACTTCAAAGAAAAGGAAGAATGACCAAATCCAGGACTGCTGCTCCCAATACAGGCCCAGAGGGCAAGGCTGTTTCCTCCTTGGTTTCAAAGGGTGAGGCTGCCTTTCCAGTTTCTGGGGCCAGGCCACCCTCACAGAGAACTGCATGGGTGGGGCTGTACCACAGAGATATGGGGGTGACACTGCCACCCCAGTAGGCCTGGAGGGCAGAGTATCAAGCCAAAAAGAATTCTCAAGCTTTTTCTCTTTTTTTTTTTTGAGACAGAGTCTTGCTCTGTTGCCCAGGCTGGAGTGCAGTGGCGTGATCTCGACTCACTGAAACCTCTGCCTCCTGGGTTCAAGTGATTCTCCTGCCTCAGCCTCCCGAGTAGCTGGGATTACAGGCATGCGCCACCACGCCTGGCTAATTTTGTATTTTTAGTAGAGACGGGTTTTCTCCACGTTGGTCAGGCTGGTCTGGAACTCCCAACCTCAGGTGATCTGCCTGTCTTGGCCTCCCAAAGTGCTGGGATTACAGGCATGAGCCACCACACTTGGCCTCTTTTTGTTGTTGTTGAGACGGAGTCTCACTCTGTCGCCCAGGCTGGAGTGCAGGAGCGCAATCTCGGCTCACTGCAACCTCTGCTGCCTGGGTTCAGGTGATTCTCCTGCCTCAGCCTCCCGAGTAGCTGTTATTACGGGCACCTGCCACTGCACCCAGCTAATTTTTTTGTAGTTTTTAGTAGAGATGGGGTTTCATCATCTTGGCCAGGCTGGTCTTGAACTTCTCATCTCTTGATCCACCCGCCTTGGTCTCCCAAAGTGCTGGGATTATAGGTGTGAGCTACCATGCCCGGCCCTTTTTTTTTTTTTTTTTTTTGGAGCCGGAGTTTCACTCTTGCTGCTCAGGCTGGAATGCAATGGCGTGATCTCTGCTCACTGCAACCTCTGCCTCCTGGGTTCAAATGATTCTCCTGCCTCAGCCTCCCGAGTAGCTGGGATTACAGGCATGCACCACCACGCCCAGCTATTTTTTTTGTATTTTAGTAGAGATGGGGTTTCACCATGTTGGCCAGGCTGATCTTGAACACCTGACCTCAGGTGATCCACCCGCCTTGGCCTCCCAAAGTGCTAGGATTACAGGCATGAGCCACCACGCCCAGTCTTTTTTTTTTTTTTTTTTTTTTTTTTTTAAGAGAGACAAGGCCTCACTATGTTGCCCAGGCTGGGGTCTTGAACTCCTGGGCTCAAGTGATCCTCCTGCCTCAGCCTCCTGAGTAGCTGGGATTACAGGCATGTACAGGAATGCCATTGTGCCTGGCATTCAAGTTTTAAGATGTAATGGAATTTGCCTTGCTAGGTTTTGGACTTGGTAACCATTACCCTTTCCTTCCTTTTGATTTTTTTCATTTGAGAATGGGGATGTCTATCCTATGTCTGCCCACCATCATACTGTATATTGGGAGCACATAACTTGTCTGGTTCCATAGGTTCACTTCTGGAGAGGAATTGAGTCTAAGAATGAATTGTACCTTGAGCCTCTCCTATGTCTGATTCAGATAATATTTAGATGAAACTTTGGCCTTTAGATTTTAGAATTGATGCTGGAATGAGTTAAGACTTTTGGGGGAGAATTGTTGTATTTTTATTTATTTATTTTGTGATGAAGTCTCGCTCTGTTGCCTAGGCTAAAGTATAGTGGCACCATTTCGGCTCACTGCAACCTCCGCCTTCCAAGTTCAAGCAATTCTTGTGCCTCAGCCTCCCAGGTAGCTGAGATTACAAGCATGCGCCACCATACCTAGCTAATTTTTTGTATTTTTAGTAGAGACAGGATTTCACTGTGTTGACTAGGCTGGTCTCAAACTCATGACCTCAAGTGATCTGCCCACTTTGGCCTCCCAAAGTGCTGGGATTACAGGCGTGAGCCACTGTGCCCAGCCGAATTAATGTATTATATATGAAAGACATGAATTTTGGGGGGCCAGGGCCAGAATGCTGTAGACTGAATTGTGTTCCCCAAAATTCATATTTTGAACCCCTAATCCCCCATATGACTATTGAAAATAGGGCTTCAGGTGGTAATTAAGATAAAATAGAGTGGAAACCTGATAAGACAGGAAGGCCTTATAATAATAATAAGAGATACCAGAGCTCTCTCTTCCTTGTGAGAACACAACAAGAACTCAGTTTCACCAGAACTCAGCTGTGCTGGTACCCTGCAGGTACCTTGATCTCAGACTTCTAGCCTCTAGAATTGTGAGAAAATAAATTTCTGTTAAGCCACACAGTCAATGGTATTTTGTTACGGCAGCCTGAGCTATACACACATTGTGAAAAATGTATTTCCCACAACAAGAAAAAGTTCAGTTAATAGAAGACAGCTTATTCTCCATTGTCTATTGTGAAATGGTGTTTGATTGAAGTGTATGAAGAAAACCTGGCATCACACAGATGTGTAATTGGAAAGGGGAGGAGTATTTTAATAATCTTCTCAGAAAATTGTGGATACCTTTTTTTGATACTACACTAAAACTTTCTATGAGTACTCTTCTGAAAGTTTAGTTGCAGTGTAAAATCTGAACTTTGCATGCTCTGTTATGTGAAAATCTATTGGTATATCTTAACATTTTGAATGGATCTTTTACCGATGCATAATTTTATATCATACATTGGTTGTTTGGAAAATACTTGTTCACTGAATTATGCATATCATATCCATATCATGATCCATCTTATTGCATAATACGAAAAAACTCACTTGTTAATATCATCACCATTCTCACAGAAAAGTCTTTATTGTGAAATTTGCCAGGCTCACAGTAGCAGACATACATTTTTAAAAATTTCAGTATGTACTTGAAAGCTCAAATTTTATCACTGGCAGCAAATACTTTCATTTTCTTCCTTTTTCTTGACAGACTCAGTTCATTTTTAAGAAAATATCTGCCAGGGGCCGGGCGCGGTGGCTGCCTATAATCCCAGCAGTTTGGGAGGCCGAGACGGGTGGATCACGAGGTCAGCAGATCAAGACCATCCTGGCTAAGATGGCGAAACCCCGTCTCTACTAAAAATACAAAAAAATTAGCCGGGCGTGGTGGTGGGTGCACCTGTAGTCCCAGCTACTCGGGAGGCTGAGGCAGGAGAATGGCGTGAACCTGGGAGGCGGAGCATGCAGTGAACGGAGATTGCACCATTGCACTCCAGCCTGGGCGACAGAGAGAGACTCCGTCTCAAAAAAAAAAAAAAAAAAAAGAAAGAAAATGTCTGCCAGGTACCCATCTAAATAACCGTTAAATTTGTGTGTGGCTCTTTCAAGTAAAAGTGGTGTTTCATTACAAAAGGGGCCAGTTCTCACAAACAATTGCTTTACTAGAGACAACCATCATACCTGCTATAATGTTTAAAAGAAATTTGCCTTATTTTTACTGTAAGGATGTGGAAGTGAAGAATCCAATGACTTCTAGTACAGTTTGTTGTCATTGTCTTGACTCATGCTAATGTACTAGCAGTTTTACCCATCATTGACTTTTCATCACCTGTTCAATTTTGTAGGACGAGTAAGACAAGTGAGGCAGGTGCCTGATGTACAAAATTTAAGGACACCCTTACTCTCAGGGTCATGCAACTGAGTTCAAGTAAACACATTTAAAAAGGCAAATAATGTCTTAGAATTTATTTTGAAGAATTGTTACTTTGCAGTTCCATGAATCATACTTTGAGAACTGCTGATCTAAACAAAGATTTGATATTTGTTATTTTTCTGCTTATAAACCTTTGATGACCAAGGATAATATCTAAACTCTTTACTGTAGTACATAACGGTCCTTCATCAATTTCTTACAGTCTATTTTCTTTTCTTTTCTTTTTTTTTTTTTTTTTTTTGGATGGAGTTTTGCTCTTGTCGCCCAGGCTGGAATGCAATGGTGCGATCTCCATCCACTGCAACCTCCGCCTCCCAGGTTTAAGCAATTCTTCTGTCTCACTCTCAGCCTCCTGAGTACCTGGGATTACAGGCACGCACCACCATGCCCAGCTAATTTTGTATTTTTAGTAGAGATGGAGTTTTATTATGTTGGCTAGGCTGGTCTTGAACTACTGACCTTAGGTGATCTGCCCACCTTGGCCTCCCAAAGTGCTGGGATTACAGACGTGAGCTACCATGCCCGGCCTCTTCCAGTCTATTTTCTAACCCCATTTACACTTCTCCCTCACACTCCTTACCCTGTACTCTAGCCTAACCATGCTGTATGGTTTTATGACACTTCCTCTGCTGCAGATGTTCGTCATTTTGCAAGCTTACTCTCATTTTTTACAGTGATTCAACATCAGTTCAAATATCACCACCTTTCTAAAGCCTTCCCTGATTTTCCCAGAACAAATTTAATCACTTCTTTTTTTTTCTCTTAGAACAAAACGTGTCTGGCCAGGCGCGGTGGCTCACACCTGTAATCCCAGCATTTTGGGAGGCCAAGGCAGGCGGATCACGAGGTCAGGAGATTGAGACCATCCTGACTAACATGGTGAAACCCTGTCTCTACTAAAAATACAAAAAATTAGCCGGGTGTGGTGGCAGGCGCCTGTCGTCTCAGCTACTCGGGAGGCTGAGGCTGGAGAATGGCGTGAACCCGGGAGATGGAGCTTGCAGTGAGCTGAGATTGCGCCACTGTACTCCAGCCTGGGTGACAGAGCGAGACTCTGTCTCAAAACAAAAAGAACAAAACATGTCTGTTATTACAGAGTTCAGGCCATTTACATGACTACTCTCATACTATATTTAATTCAGTTAAGCAAGTCAGTTCTAGATGCTGTGCTTGGTTCTAGGAATAGAAAAATGAGCGAAGTTTTAAAACTTCATATTTTAAAGGGGAAACAAAACCAAGCAGATAATCACATTGTAATATGGTAAGTGCTATAACTGAATTATGAACCAAATACTATGGAGACAGAAATAAGGAAATGACTAGATTTAATTCTGTTTTTTGAAAGCATGCTTTATTCATCTTTGTACCATCTGTGGCTAGCACTGTGATTAGCCTACAGTGGGTAGACAATAGATATTGGTTAAATGAAGATTTTAAAGTGTCTCTTTTTCCCCCTTTTTCTCCCTTGTTTTTCAGAATGTAAGGTATGGAGAAACCCTCTAAATCTTTTCAGAGGAGCAGAATATAGGAGGTATTACATTTTGCTTTCAGTATAAGTAGGGCATTGGTTTTAGAGTAAAGGTATTTACAAAATCATTTGTCTTTATAAATATATCGCAGCTCTTCTAGTAGAAGATACTGGTCTATGATAAAGTAAAATGATTAGTCCACAGTTTATTTGGCAGCATCTTCACTGTGTTTACTTTTTTTTTTTAATTAAAATTTTTTAGAGATAGAGTCTTGCCCTGTCACTCAGGCTGGAGTGCAGTAGCACGATCATAGCTAGCTGCAGCCTTGAGCTCCTGGGCTCAAGGAATTCTCCTGCCTCAGCCTCCCAAGTAGCTGGGACTATAGGCACATGCCACCACATCCAGCTAATTTTTTTTTTTAAGTGAAAGCCAGTTTATTAAGAAAGGAAAGGAATAAAAGAATCGCTACTCCATAGGCAGAGACCACATCCAGCTAATTTTTTTAAATTTTTGGTAGAGGCCAGGTGCAGTGGCTCATGCCTGTAATCCCAGCACTTTGGGAGGCCAAGGTGGGCGGATCACTTGAAGTCAGGAGTTCAAGACCAGCCTGGCCAACATGGTGAAACCCCGTCTCTACTAAAACAAAAATTAGCTGGACGTGGAGGAAGACACCTGTAATCCCAGCTACTTGGGAGGCTGAGGCAGGAGAATCACTTGAACCCAGGAGGCAACGGTTGCAGTGAGCTGAGATGACGCCATTGCACTCCAGCCCAGGCGACAAGAGCAAAACTCCATCTCAAAAAAAAAAATTTTTGGTAGACAGGGGTCTTGCTATGTTGCCAAGGTTGGTCCCAAACTTCTGGGCCCAAGTAATACTCCTGCCTTGGCCTTCCAAATCACTGGAATTACAAGCATGAGCCACCACACATAGCCTGTGTTTAATTTGATAATCATAAGAAACATTACATCAAACTATATGTTTGTGATACGTATAAGTATATATTAGGCCCCTGGTTTATAATACATATAAGTATTTGTGATACGTATAAGTATACATTGTATACATTTAAGTATGTATTAGGCCCCTGGTTTATAAAAAGCCTTTTTCAAAGAATTTGTGACATTAAGAAAAAATTACCAGTGTCAGCATATTCCTGTGCATGAGTGCTAAATTTCAAAATTTGAGGATGCATTAGAAAATATCACTCTGAATGTAAATTGTGCAACAGTAGAGGGACTATATATTGACTTCATATTGCCGCTTCCTATTTTCACTACTGTGTCCATTTCTCTTCTGGTTTTTAACTCTAAATGAGAAAACATCTTTTGAAACTTATGAGCAAAGATACTTTACTTTTATTTTGAGGAGTGCTGCGTTTTACCCAGAAGTAGAATGGGGCATGTTATTTAACTTATTGAATAAGAAACATTATGTTTGTACCATGTACAGGCACTGTGCAAAATGATGGAGATACAAAAATGACTAAGCAATAACTCCTATGCTTAAAGACATGATAGTGTAAGATAGTGACATTCTGTGAAGTGAAAGCCAGGCTTTTATGAAAGATGCCATTAGCCTGTGTTAAGGGATACCTGTAAGAAACAGGTCCTTGTATCTCTTACTGTGTTTAATCAAAGTTTGAGGCTATTTGTTGTATTATGCAGTATCCATTTCCTGAAGATCTTGAAAAGAAGTGTGTGTGTGTGTGTGTGTGTGTGTGTGTGTGTATACACACACATCCACATATATATATATATATATATATATATATATATATATATTTTTTTTTTTTTTTGAGGCTGAGTCTCTCTCTGTCATCCAGGCTGGAGTGCAGTTGTATGATCTTGGTTCACTGCAATCTCCTCCTCCTGGGTTCAAGTGATTCTTCTGCCTCAGCCTCCCAAGTAGCTGGGATCACAGGCGGCCGCTACCACATGCGGCTAATTTTTGTATTTTTAGGAGAGACAGGGTTTTACTATATTGGCCAGGCTGGTCTCAAACTCCTCAAACCCCAAGTGATCCTCCTGCCTCAGCCTCCCAAAGTGCCAAGGATTAAGGCGTGCGTGAGCCACTGTGCCTGGCCTAGGATAAATTTATTAGTATCAGGAATCCTTATGCTTCTTTTGAATGATTATTTTCTCTTAATGTTAAAGTATAACTTTTGGGTATACATTTCATATGTTAGCTCCATTCCAGGCTTCATTTTGTGTCTCAATTCCCAATCCTTAATTTTCGTTTTACTGAGTCTTTTTTTTTTTTAGTTAAAAAATAGAGATAAGATCTCGCTATATTGCTCAAGCTAGTCTTGAGCTCTTGGGCTCAAGTGATCCTTCAGCTTCAGCCTCCCCAGTAGCTGGGATTACGGGTGCAAGCCACTGCACCTGGCTGAATTTTTTTTTTTTTTTTTCTGGTAAAGACAGGGCTCACTGGCTCACTATGTTGCCCAGGCTGGTCTCAAACTGCAGGTCTCAAGTCATTCACCAGCCTCAGCCTCCCAAAGTGCTGAGATTACAGGCATGAGCCACGGCACCCGGCCCAATTCAATTTTCAGAAGCAGTTGTTTATTGAATATTATTTTTCTATTTGGTCTTTGATGTTTTATTATCATACTTTAAGTAGTTTGTGAGGTTATCTTTTGTTTTACTGATTGTAAGATTTTAAAACATCCAAATGTGTAGCAGTACATTTTTGAATTTAAGTAGTGTCTGTTATAGCAGATAGATGCTCTCTCATGTTCAATTTAAATATTTTGTTGTGTTTTGGTAAAGATACACTTGGGTGACTGGTAAAGAGCCACTTACATACTATGACATGAACCTGTCAGCTCAGGACCATCAGACCTTTTTCACCTGTGACACAGATTTTTTACGTCCTTCAGACACAGGTATGTATCATATCTGTTCATAGTATAAACAGTGATCATGAAGATCATCTTAAAAGTTCTTTAGAGTTATTTATTATAATATACAGAGTTATTTAGTTATTTGGCTTGGAGTTGTTTATATTATTGATAACAAACTCAGATTAAATTATGACTATAAGCTAGGTTGATACACTGCTTTTCCTTATAAAGAATTTAAAATATTTCATATTTCTTTTACTACTTCAAAAACCTTTCAGATCAAATATAGCAACTACTTTTCCAGAAAACAGTGTACCCCATTTCTGTCTGGGAAATGAACACCTGCAATTATACATAAAATAGAAGAACAGGTCAATGTATAAACATTGGAGAATGGCATGTACAGAAAACTGGAGTCTATTTTGTTTTAGTCGTGAGTTAGAGATACATATAAAGTGGTAGAAGATCATAGAAATTTCTGTGTTTAGTTTTCTCTAAGTGCTTATCTATAGAAGAGAGTATTGAGACTCTTAATTTTATGGTTTAAAGACAGGGCTGATTGATTGATTGATTTCACTCTGTTGTCCAGGCTGGAGTGCAGTGGTGCAATCATAGCTCCAAGTAACCTCAAACTCATTACAAAGCATTAGGATTATAGGCATGAGCCACTGTGCCCTGGTCTGGGATCTTTATCACAATTTTTCTTCTACTTTGAATGCACTCACCCTCCTTATCTATCTGATGAGTTACTTTTTATCCTTCATTATCCAAATTGAAAGTCACATTTTCTAGAAAGCCCTCTCTGGGATTCCTTGTCATAGAATTAAACATTTTGTTTTCTGCAGTTCTATACTACTTTGTCTAAACCTCTATGAAGTAACTTTAGTTAATTTATTCAGCCACAAACATTTATTTGTTAATGTTATTATATTGCTTTCATGTTTGTCTTTGCTACTAGGGTATAAACTTTTGGACAGCAGGGACTATATTCTCTTCATCTTTGAATCTCTATTATCCAGCACATTGCCTGGCATAATGTAAATATTAATATTTATTCTTTGAGGAAAGTATGAATGGGCTGGGCGCGGTGGCTCACGCCTGTAATCCCAGCACTTTGGGAGGCCGAGGTGGATGGATCACCAGAGGTCAGGAGTTCGAGACCAGCCTGGTCAACATGGTAAAACCCCGTCTCTACAAAAATATAAAAATTAGCTGGGCATGATGGTGGGTGCCTGTAATCCCAGCTACTCGGGAGGCTGAGGTGGGAGAATCACTTGAATCCCGGAGGTGGAGTTTGCCGTGAGCTGAGATTGGGCCATTGCACTCTAGCCTAGGCGACAGAGTGAGACTGCATCTCAAAAAAAAAAAAGTATGAATGAATGAATGGCCTAGATGTCACAGATGTCTAAGCAATTTCACTAATAATAGCTAATACTTGCCTAGGCTTACTATGTGCCAGGCACTGTTCTGAGCAATTTATAGAAATTTAATCTTCCCAGTCACTTGATGAGATAGGTGGTATTATCAGCCCCATTTTAACAATAAAGAAACCGAAGCAAAGGGGGATCAAGTAATATGCCTTGAGTCACACAGCTAATATTGATAAAACCATGTTTCAAACTCAAGACTGGCTGTTAACCACTACACTATTACTGCTTCTACCCACCACAAAATCACTGAAGGGTCTGAAAAATAGCCAGTTTCCTGCATTAAAATGAGTTCATAGTGATTTATCTTTGCTAGATTAAATAGGTTAAGAGTGGATGATAGGAAACCCATGAATCTTTGGTATGATTACATAAAATGGTTTAATTGCAATAAAGGAGTAAAAAAAATAGATTTATGTTTATATGCTTAATGTTTATATTAATGGCAAAAGGATAGGTGTTGGGGAAATAACAGCAGCACAGTATCAGTACTGTATGTTAACTTTAAGGGTTGAGTGACTCTGGAAGTTAGGTCTCACCACCCTTTCTCTCACAGCCCCTCTCACAGAGTGACACTGAATTGCAAACGTCAGCAGGCTTTTAAAATAGCAATCATGGCTATCTACTGAAGTTGTGGTATTAAAACATTTTTATTTGAATATCTCCCAAAAGAATTTTGAAAAAGAATATGTCCCTTCACACATTTTTAAGTTGACATCATAAGGTTAAATAATCATAGAGAATGTAATTTTTGACATATTGCAAAATACAGACATTTAAAAATAATAGTATACCCTATATTTCAATCTATGTTATGAAATCAAATGATTTAATACCCACTACAATCCATTGAAAAATACATAAATAGGCCAAGGACAGTGGCTTATGCCTGTAATCCCAGCACTTTGAGAGGCCAAGGTAGGAGCATCCCATGAGTCTAGGAGTTTGTCAGCCTGGGCAACACAGTAAGACCCCATCCCTACAAAAAAAGTTTAAAATTCATCAGATGTGGTGGTACATGCCTGTAGTCCCAGCTACTTGAGAGGCTGAGGTGGGTGGATCTCTTGAGCCTAGAAGGTTGGGGCTGCAGTGAGCTATGATGGCACTGCTGCACTGCAGCCTGAGGGACAAAGACCCTATATCTAAAAAAACAACCAAGCAAGCAAAACAATACGTAAACAAATGCTCTTTTTTTTTTTTTTTTTTTTTTTTTTTCTTTTGAGACCAAGTTTTGCTTTTGTTGCCCAGGCTGGAGTGCAATGGTGCAATCTCGGCTCACCACAACCTCCACCTCCTGGGTTCAAGCAATTCTCCTGCCTCAGCCTCCTGAGTAGCTGGGATTACAGGCATGCACCACTATGCCCGGCTAATTTTGTATTTTTAGTAGAGACAGGGTTTCTCCATGTTGGTCAGGATGGTCTCGAACCCCAACCTCAGGTGATCCGCCCCCCCTTGGTCTTCCAAATTGCTAGGATTACAGGCGTGAGCGACCACGCCCAGCTTACCAAATGCCCTTTAACAGTAGTAAATGTTGTCTTTTTTCTTCTTGAACACATATCTGTTTTGCATTCCTATATAATTTTATTATCATTATTTCATGCTGTAGAGTCTGGTATCACACTTCCATCCTTTTCCACAATAAAACATTCTAATGTAATTTTTAAAAATTTAAATTGCATTTGACTGTAAGGTTCTAAGTGTTATGACATGCTTTAATTATATTTCTGTCAAATCCTTAGAGCTACATATTTAGCTCTTTAAACTTTGTGGAAGGTTCTGTATATAATCTAATTGACTGGGTGAGTTCTCATTGTCAGTTCTATCAACGAAATCATATTTACTTTCTGACAGAGCAGTCTGACTTCATTTTTCAATTTAAATAAACATATTAACATGCCTCCCCATGACAACCATCTGTCTTCTGAATTCAGATTCTAAGATAGAAAGATAGCTGTGTCTTGGAACTTTGCCTAGAACTTACCACTTGGCCGAAATTAGGCTTCACTACCTTTATTACTCCTTGCTAATGCCTGCTTTGCCTTGATGTGAGGGGACCTTCCCCTAGGAGCAATCCATTCTTTGATAGTAAGTAGGGAGGGGTGCTAATAGAACTGTTAAAAATTGTTATCATTCCCTTCTTCATTCTGTAATATACTTGAATACACGGCCAGAATACTTTCTTTCCAATGCCAAGCTTCACTGTTTAATAAATAAAAGGCAGCAATACTATTATAGGATGTCTTGATTAAACATGGTTGCCCCCAACCCAAACTTTGAATTGTCCCTTTGGCACCTGGAGATTTTTACACTATAGGGCAGTACATCTTGTAAGATTCAGGATGGGTAAGAAGTAAGCCCTTTTTTTTTTTTTTTTTTTCTGTAAAATAAGAGAAAGGAACATATCTTTGCAGTGAGCAGGTATAGGAATTGTGGTTAGGTAGGATAGGGAAACCAGAGAAACATTCTTTGGTAGATCAGTTATAGGAAAGAGTGATAAAGTTGAAGCTTTAGAAGTTGATTTTCTTAAAACCATGTATTCCATTTTGGTCCTTGCAAAGTTTTATGTACTTCTCTAGAGGTGTGTCTAACCCCAGCTAAAGGTTGAACTCAAGGAGGACAGAGTGTATCTGTGAATGATCTTCAGAAATGGACTGTTGATTCCATATTGATCTTTTCAGACCCTCACATAAAGGTCATGATTTATATCAGTAGTTTTATTTTCAGAAATACAAATGTGTATTTTTGTGATGTGGCAAATTTCTCTTGACTTACTGTCATCAGTAATAACTAAATTAGATTTTGTTCTTATTCTATTAATTTATCTAGGGCAGAGAACAAACTTATCCAGAAGGGCCCACCATTGTTTTTTGGATTTTTTTCTTCAGCATTTAAAAATCAGGAGATTTTACATTAAAATCTGAATTTATGCCTTTTGAAGTTTGAAAAATAGGGCAAAATTGAACTTGAATTTACACTTGACAGTAATAAGATGGAACTGAGTTGTGGCTCTCCCTTTGAGACAGTGAATGTGCTTTCAGTTCACTCATTTATGTTTAATGCCTGGCATTTGTAGGCATTTACATATTTATGACCCCTGACCTTATGATAACTGCTGATCTGTTTTGTGCTTGTTAGCTTATTAGAATGTTATTTAACTTGAAAAATAGATAAATTTGAGTGAATTGCTAATTGCTTGTTTTAATTATATTCAGCATATTAAGAGCCCTTAAAGAGGACAATTGAATACCAAATCAGCATTTTGTTTTAAATTACTCCTAAGCCTTATTTTAGAAAAAAATATATACATTTTTCCCCCATCAACTTTATTTCTCCTTTCTGCTTAGGCTTAGGACTGCTTTGGTTGTGAAGAATACTCTTGAAAGGCTAGGTAGAGCATTTGAAAACAAAAGAATAAGATAAAATATTTAAAGGTGAATTAGATGACCTCACTAGAAATTTAAAAAAACACAAATGAAAATAAGTTTCAGATGTTAAATTAGCAAAGATTGATAATACTGTGTTAAGGTGTTAAATTAGCAAAGACTGATTATACTGTGTTACACTGCCTGAAAAAGTATAAATTAATACAGTCTTATTGTGGAATTTGGGGGGTGTATATCTGGAGTCTTTTTTTTTCTCCTAACTCCCCAAACTTGTTACAGATCCAGAATCTTTTAAAATATACATATTTTAGTCAGCTGTTCTACTTCTAGAAAGGAAATATTTAATTAGATATGAAAACACATACTGAAAGATTGTTATCACAATGTTTTGTATTAGCAAAAAACTTAGTATGACTTAATTGTCCATCAAAAGGGAATTTGTTAGATAAATTAGGGTATGTATTTAATATACTAGAGTACCAAATAACAATTTAAAATGTTAATAAAGATTCAGTGTTAAAATTTGACCTGTAAATATCATATAACTCATAGAAGACAGCCTATCATCAAAAATTACAAGTCTAGTATTATGCATTATTTTAATGTAATATTTAGTGTTGCAGCAGAATGATGTTCTTTACCTGGCCAGTATCAGATGGGTGCTGACTTTCATCAGTTTGTCAAGTTCAGGAAGCGTTAGGTGGCAGCTAGCTGGTGACATGTTTGATATGAGAAATGTATTTTTGTTACACAAGTGGAATATATTGACTCCTTTTCTAAGCTGAGACTAATATTTTGTTTCCAAAGGAAAATTCAAACATTTTTCACATTATTCTTCCTGGACAGTTGCAGGTTTTGTTCCAAAAGCAACACTCATAGGTTCTCTATTTTTCTTATCAAACTTGAAATGGGCCAGTTTGTCTTCTGAGTCTACTTTATTTGTTTATTTAATTAAAGAAAACTTTACTTACTGTGAAGTCTTCATTTTGGTACAGTAAATTGGTAGCAAAATTAATATTCCAAAGAAATCCTAACTCAGGCCTTTGTTGAATCCTGATAGAGGCTGACATTTTCTAGAGGTACTATATTCTAAATTAATTCCTTTTTTTTTTTTGCCCTTTTACACAAAACGCAAGCCCGTACATTCTTCGTAGAGTGAATCATTCATTAGACAAAGACTTTGTTTTTAAGTTTTTGTATATTTTTATTTTTAGCAGTTCCATAAAACCTTTTCAGAATGATAAAAGTAGAACTGTAATATTTCATATTGATTATAATGTGATGTCACTTAAACTCAATGTTAACAAGCATTTAGATATATAAATGTTCATACATAATAATGATATAATTAACTTGTTTAGGTACCCTGTATATTGTTAAAATAAATCAGAGAAAGAATATATTTTTATTTTATGTGAAGCTTACAAATTTAATGTAAATTTCTCATAATAGATAATGTGAACTAATAACCTAGTTTCTTGTTTTGTATGTTTAAGAATATATTATTTAAAGCTTTGCTTACTCCACTACCTTATTCTTCATAATTTTGCAGATTATTTTTTTACCATCTCATCTATTTTATGGAATTTTTTTCTACAGTTATGCAGAAGGCTTGGAGGGAAAGAAATCCTCCAGCTCGAATCAAAGCAGCCTATCAAGCTTTAGAATTAAACAATGAGTAAGTTTGAAATATATGGAAAATAAATTTATTTTGAAGGAAACCAAGGCAAATGATTTTTATGTCTCCTTTGTCTGTTCCTAAGACACTTGGAGTCATTAGTCATTTCCTTTTTGCATGTTATAGATATTTAATAAAATTTTCAGTGTTTGCCAACATCTGTATTTTGCTTCTGAAATTGTAAATCTATATATGCTTTTGAATAGAAATTATGCTAGAAATACTTTTCAAAATGGAGAATGCTCATGGAGAATGGTGATAATACTTTATAGTTAAAAGGGTACTAACATACTAGGCCGGGTGTGGTGGCTCACACCTGTAATCCCAGCACTTTGGGAGGCCGAGGCAGGCGGATCATGAGGTCAGGAGATCGAGACCACCCTGGCTAACACGGTGAAACCCCGTCTCTACTAAACAATACAAAAAATTAGCCGGGCATGGGGGCGAGCGCCTGTAGTCCCAGCTACTCAGGAGGCTGAGGCAGGAGAATGGCATGAACCCGGGAGGTGGAGTTTGTAGTGAGCCAAGATCATGCCACTGCACTCCAGCTTGGGCGACAGAGCAAGACTCTGTCTCAAAAAAAAAAAAAAAAAAAGGGTACTAAAATACAAATGTATTTATGCACCTGTTTTAATTTTTTCGTTTAAAACATTCACTTAAAGCATTCAATCTTGAGTACTTTAGTTGCTAATGGACTTGAAGGCATGAGAAGGGGATTAAAAATAAGTAAAACATAGCTCTGTCAAGTTTATTTTTTTCCATGTTAGCAGCATTTTTTTATAGTTCTTTGTTTGAACTTTATATTTTGAAAAGGCAAAATGTAAAATCACAAGGCAACTTACTATTTACAAGGAACAGATCAATAAATACTAATCTAATGCAGACTAAATAAATACCAAGAGTGAAAATATGGTTCCAGTTGGGGTTTATCAAGGAATGCTTCCTGAATAATGTAAATTTAGAGTTGTTCCCTGAACCTTCTCCCCCAAGTATATACGCTATCCTTATTAAGAAGACCTTCCCACGGTGGAGCAAAAATGGCAGAGTAAAGAATGCCAAAATAATAAACTGGCAGAAACTGGCAGGATCAACTTTATTAAAACTCTGGAAACTAATGAAAAGTTTACAGTAACCTAGTGAATGCTTAATCAAGGGGAAAAACACCTAAATCTCTCTAAGAAAGCTTTGTAGTGCTTTATTTATCCTGGCCCCATCCCTCACTCCCTAGCTCAGTGGCAGTCTTGAAGACAACAGAGTACATTCCAGGTATAGGTTTCTAGTACCAGAGGAAGTGGAATGGACCTTATTTTCAAAGAACTGTGGTCGTTTGTTTTGACCTGTCTGTTGGCTTTCTGAAGGACTAGCTCAAAGGGCTTGCTTTATTTCAGCTTACTGAAAGAAGAGAGTTTTCAATTTCAAAACTCTCCCAGAATTGACATAACTACACTCTGGGTCATTTGTTAAAAACATTTAAAGGCAAATGCATTAGCTGCTGCTGCCTGGGGCAAGGGATAACAGGAAGGACAAACAATAGACAAACCAGAAAGCTTGTGAGCAAAGTCTCGGGAATTAGACACTTTGAGGAATAAAGGCTCTAAAAAGCTCCCACATGTTTCTGGGAATCAAGGCCCCACACACAGCCAGAGCTGGGCATATGCTCAGAAAAGACTTGAGAAAGTCCTAAGCTGTCAAGTCTGCCTAACCTTCATGTTCTGTACAAGTAGGAGGAGAAGGCTAAGGCAGAGTTGTAAACTGTTTGGCTGAATGTTGAAGGTGTGCCCTAGCACCCACACAGAGCCCATCTGCAAATACTTTTGCTTTTTGTGTTTTGTTTGGTTTTGTTCCCAGGTGTTTAAGGAAACCTCTATCAAATCACCAACTGACCACGAGGCTAAAATAGCACACACATCACTGGTCACACATGACAGATAATATAGATTTTATAAAATTGGTTCAGAAAAGTCACTAAACAAACAACTGCAAAAGCAGCAACAACAAATCCTAGGGAGTAGAGAAAATTATGTCTCTAGAGTTGCCAGAATATAATATTTAAAATTTCCAGTTTTCAACAAAAAATTACAAGGCATGCAAAGAAACAAGAAAACATGTCCCATACATAGGAAAGAAAAGAAATCAGGTTGGGTGTGGTAGCTTATACCTGTAGTCCCAGCACTTTGGGAGGCCAAGGCAGAAGGATCACTTGAGCTCAGGAGTTTGAGACCAGCCTAGGTAACATAAAGAGACCCTGTCTCAAAAAATAAATAAAAAGAAAAGAAATTAATAGAAACTGCCCCTGTGAAGCCTAGACTTTGGACTTAATAGACACAAAGTTTAAATCAACTGTTTTAAATATGATGAAGGAAGTAAAGGAACCCATGATAATGATATCTCACCATTACAGAATATCAGTAAAGAGGAAGAAATAATTAAAAGGAACTAAATAGAAATTCCAGAATTGAAAAGCATAACTAAAATGAAAAATTTACCATAGGGGTTCAGCAGCAAGCAGATTTGAGCAGACAGAAGCAAGAACCAGTGAGTTTCATTTAAGTCAATTGAGATTACCCAATTCAAGAAGCAGGAAAAAATTAAGGAGTAAAGAAATATGACCAGAGTCTGAGAGAACTGTAGGATGCTATCACGCATATCAATGTATGCATTATAGGAGTCCCAAAGAAGAGAGAGAAAAGGGCAGAAAGAATACTTGAAGAAATAATAGCTGAAAACAAAAGAGCACTCCAAATACAGCAGCATATTAAAAATGTTATACACCCTGACCAAGTGGCATTTATTCATGGATGCAAGAATGGTTCAACATACGAAAATCAGTCAATGTAGTACACTACATTAATAGAATGAAGAAAGAAACCACATGATTATCTCAACTGATGTAGAAAAAACATTTGACAGAGTTCCCCATCATGATAAATATATGGAAATCAATTAATGTAATACTCCACATTAGTAGACCAAAAGACAAGAACTACATGACCATCTCAGTTGATGAAGAAAAAGATCTGACAAAATCTAACACCATTTTATGATGAAAACATTAAAAAACTAGGAATGGAAGGAAACTTCCTCAAGAACGTCTGAAAAATCTACAGCTAAATACGTACTTACTGATGAAAGATTGAAAGGTTTCCCTCCACCATCAGAAAAAAGGCAGGATGTCTGCACTTGTACTTCTGTGTTACATGGCATACTGGAGGTTCTAGTCAGTGCAGTTTAGTCAAGAAAAATTTTACATGGCATCTAAATTGGAAAGGAAGAAATAAAACTATCTCCATTCACAGATGGCATGATCTTATTTGTAGAAAGTCTTAATCCACAAAGAAACTATTAGAGCTAATGAAAGTTTACAAAATTGTGAGAAACAAAATCAACATATGAAAATCAGTTGTATGTCTATATCCTAGCAATGAACAATCTGAAAAGGAAATTAAGAAAACAATTCCATTTACAAAAGCATCAGAAAGATTTAAATACTTAGGAATAAATTTAATCAAGGAGGTGCAAGACTTGGATGCTGAAAACTATAAAGCATAAGTTAAATAAATAAATCAAAAGACATCCCATGTTCATGGATTGGGAGACATTATTGTTAGAATGTCAGTACTCCCTAAATTGATCTACGGATTCAGTGCAATCCCTATAAAAATTTTAATTATCATTTCTGCAGAAATGGACAAGGCGATCCTATAATTCATACAGAACTGCAAGAGACCCTGAATACCAAAACAATCTTGAAATAGAAGCACAAAATTAGAAGACTCACACTACACAATTTAAAAACTTACCGCAAAGCTACAGTAGTTAAATTACAAGGATAGACACCTAGATCAATGGATTCAAATTGAGATTCCAGAAATAAACCCATATTATCTATGGTCAGTTGATGGTTTTGTTTTGTTTTGTTCTGAGACAGAGTTTCACTCTTTTTGCCCAGGCTGGAGTGCAATGGCACGATCTCGGCTCACTGCAACCTCCACCTCCTGGGTTCAAGTGATTCTTCTGCCTCAGCCTCCCAAGTAGCTGGGAATACAGGCACGTGCCACCATACCCGGCTAATTTTGTATTTTTAGAGTAGAGACAAGGTTTCACCATGTTGGCCAGGCTGGTCTTGAACTCCTGACATCAGGTGATCCACCCACCTCAGCCTCCCAAAGTGCTGAGATTACAGGTGTGAGCCACCACGCCTGGCCATGATTTTTGACAAGGGCGTCAAAACCATTCAGTGGAGGAAAGAATAGTCTTTTCAACAATGATGGTGGAAGAACTGAATAGCCACATACATAAAAGCATAAAGGTGGTCCCTTACCTCATACCATATATCCCAATTAATTTAAAAATCAATCAAGGACCTAAATGGAAGAGTTAAAACTACAGAACTCTTAGAAGAAAGCATAGGGACAAATCATCATCACCTTGAATTTAGCAGTGGTCTCATAAATTATAACACCAAAAGTACAAGCAGCAAAAGAAAAATCAGGTAAATGGACTTTATCAAAGTTAAAATATTTTATGCATCAGAGGACATTGTCAAGAGGCAGAAATAGATTTGGGATTGCCAGGGATTGAGGAGGCAAGGGAGATGGGGAGTGACTACTTAATAGGTATGAAGTTTCTTGTGGGGATGATGAAAATGTCCTGGAATTACATTGTGGCGATGGTTGCACAACTCTGTGAATATATTAAAAATTATTGAATTGTATACTTCAAAATGCTTTAAACTGTGAACCTTGTTATTTGAATTTTACCTCAATGTAAAAAACCAACATTCTTCAAAGTAAGATTAATTAGGTATTCACATAATGAATTTCCTGAATTAGTATCCATATAAAATACTTTTGAACAAATCCAAGAAAACTTTAAGGGGGAAAAAATCTTTTCACCATATATCCATACAGTCATTAAAAGTATATACATTCAAAATATAAGCATATAATTATGTTTATATTTTGATTTATACCCATCTAGGTCTTTTAAAAACTGTTTTTATTATGGTTATTTTAAAATATTTCAGTCGGTTTTTGGAATGGCAGTCAGGAAGCCTAGTGTTTTTGATTTTTGTTTTTGTTTAGAGACAGGGTCTTGCTCTGTTGCCCAGGCTGGAGTGCAGTGGTAGGATGATAGCTTCATTGTAACCTCAAACTCCTGGCCTTAAGCAATCCTCTTGCCTCAGCCTCCAAAGTAACTAGGACTACAGGTGCACACAACCACACCCAGCTAATTTTTAAATCTTTATTATTATTGTTTTATAGAGAGAGGGTCTCGTTGTGTTGCCCAGGCTAGTCTCGAACTACTGGCCTCAAGTGATCCTCCTGCCTTGGCCTCCCAAACTGCTGGGATTATAGCCATGAGCCACTGTGCCTGGGCAGGAAGGCCAGTGTTTAAAGCAGCAGTGTATCTAATGCTTCACAGGGATCTAGTGTAATGTAATGGAGAAATCTTTGTTGATTAGTGAAATTGTTATGTATTATAGGGTCTTCTTATTTGAAGGATGATGAAATGGTATGATTTGCATTTTCTATAACTGAAGAACGTTTTTGTCCCCACTTAACGATAGCTACCTGCCATCACTTTTGTTTAATGCTTGGTCTTGTACGTTTATCAATAATTTCTCTCCTCTTGCTGAGATAAGCACTAATTATTAGAAATATAATGCAAGCCACATATGTAACTTTAAATTTTCTAGTAGCCACATTTAAAAAGTAAAAAGAAATAGGTGAAATTAATCTGAATAATGTTTTATTTAGCTATATTCAAAATATTAATTTTTTTTTTTTTTTGAGACGGAGTCTCACTCTGTCACCCAGGCTGGAGTGCAGTGGTGCAATCTTGGCTCACTGCAAGCTCCGTCTCCCAGGTTCATGCCATTCTCCTGCCTCAGCCTCTCAAGTAGCTAGGACTACAGGCACCCGCCACTGCGCCCAGCTAATTTTTTGTATTTTTTTTAGTAGAGACAGGGTTTCACCGTGGTCTCGATCTCCTGACCTCGTGATCCGCCCGCCTCGGCCTCCCAAAGTGCTGGGATTACAGGCATGAGCCACCGCGCCCGGCCCAAAATATTAAACTATTTTAACATATAGTCAGTACTTTTCTAAAATCTGTTAATGAAGAACTTTACATTCTTCTAAGTCTTCAAAATTCGTTGTGCATTTTTACACTTGCATCACATCTCAATTCAGACGCATCACATTTCAAGTGCTCAATAACCACATGTGGCTAATGCCTAGAATACTGGACAGTGCCGTCTTAGATAATCACAACTAGGATATTGTCTGTAGAAGAGATGGATTTGTTATTTCTGGGAATGGAATAACAACATTTTGTTTCTCTTTGTGGCCCCAAAACAAGCATTAGTTTATTAGCCAGGTGTTGACTTAAAAGATACAAAGAAAAGCCTCTGTGTTTTAGTGGGGTGAAGAAAAGAAAACTTGGCATAAGCATAGTTTTGAGGAATGAGAATAGGAGTGTAGGAGGAAGGACCTGAATTCAGAACAAGGGAAGTTATACTGCATAATATTGTGGATAAGTCCATGTGTGGATGGGACAGCATGCAGAGGGGAGTACTCAGATTTGGGGAAAATGTCTAGTCCTGGACTATGTTTCTGAGTCAGATGTTAAAAGTGCCTAGTTGGCCAAGGGACTATCTTCCCAATCTTCACCCTCCCCATACCTGCCCCATGAAATGGATGTCATAAATTATATAGCGACTAAAAGCAGGTATGATCAACCGGGCATGGTGGCTCACGCCTGTAATCCCAGCACTTTGGAAAGCTGAGGCAGGTGGATCACCTGAGATCAGGAGTTCTAGACCAGCCTAGCCAACATGTTGAAACCCCATCTCTACTAAAAATACAAAAATTAGCCGGGCGTGGTGCTGCATGCCTGTAATCCCAGCTACTCGGGAGGCTGAGGCAGGAGAATTGCTTGAACCCAGGAGGCCCAGGTTTCAGTGAGCCAAGATTGGGCCATTGCACTCCAGCCTGGGTGACAAAAGCAAAATTCCATCTCAAAAAAAAAAGCAGGTATGACCAGTAGAGGGTATACAATTCAGATAATTCTTTATAAATCTTCTTTTCTCCCCCCTTTCACAAAAAGAAAACACAGGACAATGGGTCAGAGAATGAGATAGAAGTTTAAAAATTTTGTTTTTTTTTTTTAAAAAACAAAGAGAAGGGAAAGATAAGAAAGTGGAAGAATTGTGGAATCAGACATAAAGAATATACCAATGTGCCCCTATTAAGGTAAAATATTGAACGAAGGTTTTTTTTTTTCTAAAGATGGAAAAAGTGTAGGTAAGGAAATATGACATAGAGCAAAGGGACATAACCAAGAGAAAACACTTGCTTTACCATTTTATTTAAAATTGCCTTCTTG